>NC_000014.9:61429894-61732925 GCF_000001405.40 Homo sapiens
TGTAGGTTTTAGTCTCTCTACCCCGCTGTCTTCCAATATGTATGCAGAAAAAGTAAACATGATCCCTAACCTTTCTGAAACCTTCTTTACCTTCAGTCTACACATACATAGTCTTGGGCAAAGAGTTATCAGGTAAATTCCATGGAATCAAGAGTAGAGGCATATGTTGCTTTTCTTAATAGGAAAAACAGTGACTGTGTCCCCCTAAATAAAGTCATGATTCAATGAAAAGACAAACAGCCCAATTTTAAAAAAATGAGCAAAAGATTTGAACAGACATTTTCTCAAAAGAAATATGAATGGGCAATACACACATAGAAACATGCTCAGCAATTTTAGGCTTTAGGGATATGCAAATTAAGACCACAATGAGATACCACTAGAAAGGCTAAAATGAAAAAGACCAACAACACTAAATGTTGGTGAGACTGTGGAGCACTAGAACTTTTCATATTTTTAGTGGGAGTTCAAAATGGTACAACCGCTTTGAAAAATGGTCTGGCAGTTTCTTACAGAACTAAACAGACCACTACCTTGTTACCCAGCAGTTCTTAGGTATTTACCCAAGACAAATGAAGCATATCTCTGTCAATAGAAAAGCAGATGCCAGCCATGGTATGATTTTGAACAGCCAGTGGAATAAAAGAATAGGGACTATATCTGACCTTGCTGTTAGAGTAGTTAGGCAGATATGAGCGGGGCAGGAGAGGCCCCCCTCCCCCACAGGAATGTCAGGCAACCATCAGGTGATGGTCAGGTGGTTGTTAAACTGTCTCACTAACATACTAGTTGGTCACAGCTTGCACCAGGGAAAGCAGACTCCCAGTAGATAGAAAACACCTTAAGCTCTTAATCAGCAGCTTCCTTTTTTTTTTTTTGAGATGGAGTCTTGCTCTGTTGCCCAGGCTAGAATGCGGTGTCGTGATCTCAGCTCACTGCAATCGCTGCCTCCCGGGTTCAAGCGATTCTCCTGCCTCAGCCTCCCGAGTAGCTGGGACTACAGGCACGTGCCACCACGCCTGGCTAATTTTTTATATTTTTAGTAGAGATGGGGTTTCGCCATGTTGGCCAGGATGGTCTGGATCTCCTGACCTCGCGATCCGCCCGCCTCGGCCTCCCAAAATGCTGGGATTACAGGCGTGAGCCGCGGCACCCGGCCAATCAGTAGCTTCCTCATAGGATCTCAGGCGTTGGATGAGTGGGCTCAAACTTGCATGCTAAGAGACAAAATGGTGGAGTTTAGCTGGTGTATGACCTTCCTCTAGGAACACTCAATTGGTAAGGGAAAAATGCCTCAAATGAACATGTGCACAGCTTCAGTAAACACACTGTACATGCGGCCCTTCCCAAGTGCTGGCAGGCCACTGCACATGCGGACAGCCCACCCCAAGGAAAAACCAAGGGAGGAGAGACACAAACCTCAGCACCATGCCATTGTGTAAAAATCCCAAGTCAAGCGTCGGACAGGGTCCTCGGATCTCTCAAATTGCCCACTTGGCCCTCTTCCACGTGTACTTTGCTTCCTTTCATTCCTGTTCTCAAACTTTTTAATATACTTTAACTCCTGCTCTAAAACTTGCCTTGGTCTCATTCTACCTTATCCTCTCTGGCCAAATTCTTTCCTCCAAGGAAGCAAGAATCGAGTTGCTGCAGACCCATATGGATTCGCTGCTGCTAATGTTGCCATTTGGATTTTTTTTTCTTTTTAGAGTGTTCTAGAATGCATGCTTAGAGAAGGGAATGTAATCCTAGGACACCACTCAGCTCTGCAACAGTATAGCTCTGCAGTAATGAGTAAATGCTGTTTGTTGGTTTACTTTAAAGCTCTGCTACTGAATATATACAAATATACTGTTATATTTTCCTGGTAAAACCTTTTATTATACAATCACTTCTTTTTATTTCTAGCAATTCTTTCTTTTACAGTGTATTTTATCTGACGTTAATGTGGCTGCATTGCATGTCTTTTGGCTAGTATTTGCCCTGCTTTGCATCTTCTTTAATTCATTTACTTTCTACTTTTTCTACCTATGTCTTAGGTTTGTGCTTTATAAACAACAGGTGGTTAGATTTCCTATTTCTAGAAGTTTATTGAGATTCTCCCTCTACCACTGTCTCTACCAATTCCATTTTTTCCCACCTCTATTGGTTTGGAAGATAGAATCTCTCTCTCTTTTTTTTTTTTTTTAAGTGATTATACTTGGAATTTTAACATGTCTGTGTAACTAAGTCTAAAGTTAGCTACCACTTTACCCTCCTACTGAGCAATCTAAGGATGTTAGAATGTTTTTAACTCCAGTCACTTTCCTCCTGGCTTATGTGCATTTCCTTGATATTTTTGATATCTTTTTATTTTTCTTTTGAAGCTCCATTAACTAGATGTTATTAGTTATTCCATCCTTCTTTGTTTCTATTTACTTACATGTTTATAATTTTTTAACATACCACTTTCTTGTATAGCTCAAACCTTCCCTCGAACATTTCCCTCCTTCTTCAAGTAGATTCTCTTCAAGTACATTCTTTATTTAGCGAAGGTATTTGGTAGTGAACAATCTCAGTTTTCTGAAATATCTTTATTTTGCCCTCATTCTGGAAAGCTAGTTTCTTACTTTATTTTTTTAATAGACAGAGGGTCTTGCTTTGTTGCCCAGGCTGGTCTTAAACTTCTGGCTTCAAGCAGTCCTCCTGCCTTGGCCTCTCAAAGTGCTGGGATTACAGGCACGAGCCACTGCGCCCAGCAGTAACGCTAGTTTCACTGGGATCATGGACTCTTAAGAGCTAGAAGGAACTTCACTGATTATTTGACTCAGCCTTTTCCATTTCCAGAAAAGCCTGCCACCAGGCACAGAAAGAATACATGACTTCCAGAGTCCCTCGCTATATTGTCCAGACTGGTTTTGTACTCCTGGCCTCAAGTGATCCTCCCACTTCAGCCTCCCAAAGTCCTGAGATAATAGGCGTGAGCCACCGTGATCCCCTTTACCTTTTTCTTTTTTTTTTTCCTTTATTTCTTCTTAATAAAAAAAAAGTGGGGGGGATACATGTGCAGAGCGTACAGGTTTGTTACATAAGTATACGTGTACCATGGTGGTTTGCTGCACCTATTGACCTGTCCTCTAAGTTCCCTCCCCTCACCCCCCAACCTCTTCAAAAAAAAAAAAAAAAAACTATCAAAAAATGGTGGCCGAGGTTCAAAGCTCTCACCTTGGTTTTGTGATAAAGGTGGTTAATCTTTGGTGTTGGATTTCAAATTAGTCTGTTTACAGTGAGCAACAGTACAGCAGTTTTAAAAATCATGTTGAATCAGAAACATGAAGAAGGCAGCAGAGCTTTCTCTCCACCATGCACTTGGAGAAGGAAATGACTCGGCAGCATACTCCTCATGGCTAATATCCTTTAAGATTTTTCCAAAATCATGAAACCAGAACTTGAGAGCTTAAAAGGGACTTTAGAAGTCTACCAGTGGATAAGAGAGAAAAAAAAATCAAAAGGGAAATGGAATAAGCCAAACTAAAGGGCAGGATTCTTTTAGTTCTCAGCAGGAAACATATGTTTATCTGGAAAAGATTTTGGTTGGACAGGTTGTTTGTGTAAGAATCTTTTTTGTGAGGAAGGAAGATCAACCTGGGCTTGAAGGCTGGGGTGGGGGTAGAGAGAACAGTCCCTGAGCTTCAAGTAAATGAGAAAAATACACAGATTTTAAACAGAGGAGCCCTGCTTTCACGGGGATCATATGATCGTGCTATCAGCTTACTTTTAAGTTGTGATAATGTATACATACTTTATGAAATATGATTAAATGGTAACTTTAGTATTAGTGGCTACAAGAACAGAAACAGCAACTTTTAAAAAGATATGAAAAGATGTTTTGGGTGAAAGTAGTTGGCTGCGCAACACATAGAGTATAACATACATCATTAATTTAAGACTGTAGATGTACAGTATATATTTGGCATGTACACCAGGATTTTCAGTGATTATTGATGTAATAAGATTTATGATTTTTAAAAAGAAACTCTTCATGATAGTTTTCTGTACCACTTACATTTTCCATAGTGATCATCATATTGTCTTTATAAACAATGACAACAATAAATCAAAAAGAGAGATCTTACATGGTGCCTCTTCTCTGACAGCTGAGACCACATCATAGCTACGTTGTTCCCTTACATTGCATTTACATTACATTTAAAATGTTATCAGGAGGACAGAGGCTCATGAATGAGACATGTTCTCTCCAGTTAAATTTAGTAAAGAAGAATCAGAGAAAAATCTCCAGATAACTGGAAAATGTTTACATTTTCAAGTATATAAAACCAGGATACATTATCTTGTTTAAGCTTGGAGTTGACAATAATACCATTTTGAGATGTTTTTCAGATAGAATGACAGTGAGAGTCATAGTGGGGTTGCACCTCCACATGATGCAACCCAAATGTGATGGAACAGAAACATTTTTCTTCATCATCCTGAAACCGAGCAGTGATGATCCGCTGAGGAATGTTTAATTTTCATGTATTAAAAAATGAAGAATGTCTGACCTACTGTTAATGAGAAAAAAAAACACCAAAAAGGAAGAAAGAAGAAGTGGCAGCTAAAAGCCTTTTTATGGATGACGTCAATAGAGGAAAATGAAATATTCATAGAATCACAGCAAGAGAATAGGAATTCTGAACATTTTTGTAGAAGGAAACTGTAGGATTCTTGCAATTGATAGTAGGACAGGAGGGAATTTCCATCCTTATGTGTGCAGAAAGGAGTAGACACAGTGAAATTTGAAGACTATTGTAAACATTTTCTACTTCACTTCACCTTGAAGAAGTCTACAGAAAGCATATATGGCATAGCTGGGCAGAGTGGCTCATGCCTGTAATCTAGCACTTTGCGAGACCAAAGAGAGAGGATCACCTGAGCCCAGGAGTTTGAGACCAGCCAGGGCAACACAGTGAGACCCCAACTCTACTTTTTAAAAGATTTTTTAAAAGCATATATGGCAGTTAAATTTCAGTGAGAAATCAGGACCAGGGTAAATGTAAATACATTACTATAGCAGATAAATAAATATGGATGCCCCACCCATATTTCCTTTCATCCCACAACAGAAAGCTGGAAATGCTGAAAAATTAATACCTCCCACCCCTGAAGCAGCCATCAGCCAGTGAGGAATGGGAGCCAGAGGATAAATAACCCAACTTCCTCACCCGCTGAGGGTGTTCAACCAGGTCCTTGAAATTCCCGACAGGAATCGAGCCTCAGTTGCCCACCCTGGAAACCTGCTCAGTAATACGCTTATCGTTGGTTTCCTTCCCTTTCCTGTCTCACTTCTGTAATCCCCTGGTGCATCTGGGGGTTCCTTCCCGAATAAACTACTTGCAACTTAAGTCCCTATCTTGAACTCTGCTCCTGGGGGAATCCAAACAAGAACAGGTGGAGACAGAGTAGAACAAGGATAAGCAAAGCAAGAGAGGAGATCTGAAGACGTCTCTAAGGTTGTTTGAGTGACTCCAAGGATAGTGGTACAATTAGCTAGGAGAAAGAGAGGGTGGAGGAGGCCGAGAAGAGGGTTCAGCCCAACAAATGCCAAGTTTTAGGTAGCTTGGGGATACCTTGAAGAGATGCTGACAAGCTACTTAGAAATAAGTTTATTAGCTAGAAGCCGGAGCTGGCCAGGCACAGTGGTATGCACCTGTAGTCCCAGCTACTCTGGAGGCTCAGGTGGGAGGATGGCTTGAGTCCAGAAGCTGTTTGAGGTCAGCCTGGGCAATGTAATGAGACCTCATCTCAATATCAACAAACCTTATCTCAATATAAATGAATGAATGAATGAATGAATGAATGAATGAATGAAACCAGAGCTATAGCTGTATATTTGGGAATCCTCAGTGTACAGGCAGTTGATGAATGAACATCCAGAAAGACTAGAAGCATGGTATGCAGGGAACCTTGGAGCATACACATATTTAAAAATTGGGTGGAGGAGAAAAGCCAGTGAAGGAGACTAAGAAAGACGATTATAGAGAGAAGAACCAGAGCTGTTATTGGAGCCAAGGCCTCTTTCTTCAAGGACTGAGAAGGGGAGAGTTTGTACTTTGGAGTTTGCACAGATCACAGACATGAAAAAGGAAAGATGATGATGAGTGGAAAATGGGAGGTCAGGACTCTCCTCCCATCCTGATGTGGCAAGAGGCTTTTCTCATGGTTCTGGATGGAACTTTGGCCCTGTTGCAGATGCTCACATGCAACGTTCTGTTCTAATCACTGTTCTGCTGGCAGAGGAGGCTGGAGTGATGAGTGAGCATGGGCTCAGCTTGCGTGGATGCTATGAGCCGTAGGTCCTACTCAAGAGAGTCAGTCTAGTAACAAATTATTTTCCTCTCCTTCTTTTGCCATCCCATTTAGTTTGCAGGATGGTTGGTGTTTGTGTGGGCTGAGATTCCTCAGAGGGAACCAAAGCCCTGAGAAACATGTGTAGCAGCTGTTGATTTGGGTCTCCACAGTGAGATCCGGGTCTAATACAGTGAGTCCAACCACTTTATCTGAGTTTGGAAATAACTATGAGTACATAGTTAAGCTGTTTTCAAAAAACACAGAGGATTCTGTACTGCTAGTGCCATTGAGGGGGCTTTTGCTGCCATTTATTTTCAACTTATTTTTTTGAGGTGGAGTCTCACTCTGTCGCCCAGGTTGGAGTATAATGGCGTGATCTCAGCTCACAGCAACCTCTGCCTCCCAGGTTCAAGCAATCCTCCTGCCTCAGCCTCCTGAGTAGCTGGGATTACAGGTGCCCGCCACCAGGCCTGGCTAATTTTTGTATTTTTAATAGAGATGGGGTTTCACCATGTTGGCCAGACGGTCTTGAACTCCTGACCTCAGGTCATCTGCCCGCCTCAGCCTTCCAAAGTGCTGGGATTACAGGCATGAGCCGCCACACCCGGCCTTGCTGCCATTTTTAAATACCAAAACCTTTTGTTGCAGTCTTTGTCACAGGTGCTGGCACAAAATTCCTGGTACCTTCTCCCTGCTCTAATTCACCAAGTTCTCCTTCCTCTTTTCCAAAGACTACTAACATGGAAGTCTTCCTTAATTAGTTACAGGACTATATCTGCAACTCCTGTGATTTATTCGCTCAGTGCCCGTGTCACTGTCACCCACTGGTGGGGTGTGCTTGTTGTAAATACCCATTTAAATGTTTACATTTTCAAGTATATAAAACCAGGATTGTAAAATACCGTTGTATTTCCAGTTGTAAATAGCCGTTTAGTTAAGTTAGGCATTTGTTTATCACGCGTCCTAATCTCTGTTTGTGTCGTTACTGTCTCAGAGATCATCATCATCTGTGTTTACATTTTTATGCATCATTCTTTATGCAAGTAGTTCTTATTCAGTGTTTTTGATGATGTTAAGCAAAATTCTGTTGCTACCTTACCTCATTACCTTCCCGGGATATATTTTGCAGATATAAACCAATAATATTTTCTGGTTCTTTCTTGACTAGTAGCTTTTGGTTAACTCTAAGGTTTTTCTGTTTGTTTTTCTCACAGTTGTTTTCTCCCACGTGTACAAATGATAAAACAAATTATCTCAGGAAGAAGAAAAAAGACATTTGATAGTATATCCAGTAGTTCAACAATAGTCAACGGAGTCTGGTGTCCTCACTTCTGTCATTGGCTGCTTGACCTCACTTAACCTTCCTGTTAGTTTCTGTTTCCTCACTAGAAAATTTATTACTTTCTAGGGATACCAGGAGACCTGGTGTTAATAAAGGGCACAGTGCAGGGTGTGTGGAAGATTTTAGTGTCAGTTCTAGCACAAGCTAGCTAAATGTGTCTCGGGGTACATTAACTTCTCTAGGCCCCAATTTCCTAGGTATTCATTCTTCTTCTAGACAATAGACAGTTGAATTAAAAAATCCTTTCTATCGACCAGGTGCAATGGCTCACACCTGTAATCCCAGCAGTTTGGGAGGCCGAGGCAGGAGGATCACTTGAGCCCGTGAGTTTGAGACCAGCCTAGCAACACAGCAAGACCCTGTCTCTTAAAAAAAAAAATCCTTTCTATTCCTAGAACTCTAGGGTAGTGTGAAGTAAGGGTTTTCACAGTTACACTAGGTAAGTTACTACCTGTCGGGTACTTCTCTAATTATGCTGTGCTTATTAACTTATCAAGTCCTCAAATGGCCCTATGAGGAACATATCCTTTATGTTCTATAGATGAGGAAACTGAAGCATTGGATGTTAAACAACTTGCCCAGGGCCACCGAGCTTATAAGGGAAGAAGCCGTCTGCACACCCCAGGCTCCAGATTCCACAGCCTCAACCACCAAACTCTCTTGTCTGTCGTCATATAGAAGGCTGTTCTGTTTTCTCAGTGTAGCCCCCTTAAAGATAAGCCACAGTAAACCACAGTGCTTTTGATATTAGGCAAATTAAACTTGAGTTCAATCGTATGTTACACTGAATCAAAGTTATATTCGCTGTGCATTTTACGCCAGTAATTCTGGAAACTAAAAAGTGCCATGCCAGAAATTTTCTCTGATTTAATTTGCTTACAATCATTTTAAAAATGAGGAGCTGTGATCCACGCTTTTGCCCCAGGTTGGAATATTTTAGAAGTACTTTCAAATATATATTTCTGCTGCTGGGATATAAAACCATAAATTCGAGCAGATAGAACAAAAGACCAAAGAGGATGATGTATTTACTGTTTTTGAGTTAAAGTTACAACAGTTTACAGAATCACAGCAACCGAGAATAGGAGTTCTCAGAGACATACTCCTCATCCACAGAAGCCTCACATGACCAACACAAGTTTCAGTCCAGTGCAACTTTTTGCAAATGAAAACTTACCCTGGGGTTGTTTGGTGACTCCTAGTCACATGTGCTTTCTAAAGTTCTCAAAACAAGCATGGGGTGACAGTCCAGTTTTATGAAATATAATTTTAGTTCAGAAGAGATGGGATTTTAGAATAGTTAATCTTCATTATATTTGACATAATTACTCTGCACCCTGTGGATGGGGTGGCTTTTCAAAACCCACTTCTGGTGAGGCAGACCAGGGCTCCAGGCCAGCACCCCTCTGGAGATTGGAATGTGAATTTCCGTGCTGGGACACAGAGCCAGCTTCCTATTTATTTAGAGCCATTGGGCACCTAAGGAGCCAAACAGAAGTTGTGATGCAAGTTTTGGCTGCAGAGCATGTTAGGGTTGCCTGACGTGTCTAACTAAAACATGATCTGAGAGATTTCTCAAAGCCCTGGTTGATTTAAGCACCATAGTATTCAATAGGGTTTTTTTTTAGTCCTTTTAACTCAGTCCTAAGTAAACAGGAGGCGGTGCAAACAATGAGGAAGTTCCCTCTGCATTCCGATGGTGAAGTGGGGTTGGAGTCTGTAGGCAAGTGAAGAGCGTGTGGGAGAGCTGTTTCCTTTTGCTCATGGCAGCAGTCTAGAACATGGTGACAGTGAAAGTCATTGGAAGCCATGGGGGCCCATTTTCTTTATGTGACCAAATGTCTTGCAAAGTCCCAGGTGTGTGTGTAGGTGCATGAGTGTGTATGTTTGTTTTCTAAACGAAGCACACGTGCAAAATAATGTAAAAGGGCAGAGTGAAGTTTGTCCATGTCCCTGTATGAAAGTGCATGGGAAGTGCCTGGGGCAGAAGTGAAAGAGACACGGCCCCAGGTCGTGAGAGAAGACATTGAGGTGCACTCCCGGCCTGCTGTGGGAACAGTGGGTTAGCATGTCACCGGTGCACTCCCAGGCTGCTGTGGCAACAGTGGGTTAGCATGTCACCCGGCTTTAGGATTTGGGGGAGTTTGCTCAGGCTCTGAGGCAGGTAGGTTAAGGCTAATTTAACTCTTAATGGTTGGAAGGAAAGAGGGAAGGGCCGTTTAGGAAGGTGAAAAGGCAGGAGTGAAGGTGGCAAGAAATGATTGGCATGCAGTTTTTTCCTAAATCCTCCTCTGGTTATAAGGAATCAACTGGAAAATTGCAGTGGCAATAGCTGTTAAGAAAAAAAATAGGATTCAGTTGATGAAATATTAAACATGCAAGTGGGCTGGTCTTTTAACCAATCTTTGTAGTATTAAGGGATTAAAAAGTTAATTCTTGGTAATTAGATCCCCAGGGAGAACTTAATTTGCATCTATACATGATAAGTGTTTACTATTAATAATTCAAGACAAGTTTTGCTTTGGCCGGTATTGAGCTGGGTCTCAGGCTGGTGATAACAGAGGCTGGATAGAGAGTGATACCATTAGCCTAATTTTGTCATCTGCAAGCAAAGGAATGTTAAAATCTGTTCACTTCGTGGTTTCTAAATGACTTCTAGAAGTATCATGAGTGGAAGAGGGCAGTGTAGTGTAGTAACTTTTGTTCTTCCGCAGTCCTTAGAACCTGTCAGGATTATTGGTTATGACACTGTTCCCACAGGGTGGACAACAGGGGCATTTTTATCTTCTTGAGACATATGGGAAACTTAAGAAGGAAAGTAACTAGGCTGTTTGCCAAAGATTACACCTACCTCCAAACAAAAACTGAGGCAGGTATAATTTTAACTGTGCTGGAATCTCTGAAGATGTTGGTGTCTTGGCCAAATTCATTTGGACTCTTTCTGCATTTCACTCTTTGAGATCTATTGTGTAGACTCTAATTTCTTTGACAGGTATTGTCACATTGGTCTCCACAAAAATTATTATTGAAAGCCAGGCATGGTGGCTCACGCCTGTAATCCCAGCACTTTGGGAGGCTGAGGCGGGTGGATCACAAGGTCAAGAGATCAAGACCATCCTGGCCAACATGGTGAAACCCTGTCTCTACTAAAAATACGAAAATTAGCTGGGCTTGGTGGTGTGCACCTGTAGTCCCAGCTGCTTGGGAGGCTGAGGCAGGAGAATAGCTTGAACCTGGGAGGTGGAGGTTGCAATGAGCTGAGAACACGCCACTGCACTCCAGCCTGGTGACAGAGTTAAACTCTATCCAAAAATAAAAATAAAAAATAAAAAATTATTATTGAAATAACTACATTTTTTTTCTTTTTTTTTTGGAGAGAAAGTCTTGCTCTGTTGCCCAGCTGAAGTGCAGAGGTGCAATCATGGCTCATTATAGCCTCAACCTCCTGGGCTCAAGTGATCCTCCCTAGTAGCTGAGACCACAGGTGCACACTTGGCTTTTTTTAAAATTTTTTTTGGTAGAGAAGGAGTTTCATTATGTTGCCAGACTGGTCTCCAATTCCTAGGCTCAAGTGATCTCCCACCTCAGCCTCCCAAATTTCTAGAATTAAAGATGTGAGCCACTGCACTTGCCCTAAATAACTACATTTTTTTGAATGCTGCGATGTGCCTAGCTTTGTGCTAAGCTCTTTGAATGTGTTACCTGATTCAGTCCTTGGGAAAACCCTAGGAAGAAGGGGCCACCTGATTTCTAGATGGGAACCCTGAGGCTTAGCAAGAAAAAGAGAGCCGGTGTGGTAGGGTCAGGACTGGAGCCCGGTTTATACTCCTACTGACAGGATGGGGATGCCTGTTTCACCTCACCCTTGTTAAAAAGGACACTTTAGCAATCCTTTTAAGTATTTGCCAGCTTAAGAGGTAAAAATGTGATTTAGCTTCTGGTTCTTATGCGTCCGTCTTGGGTAGCATTGGACATCTTGGCATGGTTATTGGCTGTTTGCACTTACAGTTTTAGGAATTGCCTCTTCACATCCTCTGCCCCATTTTTACTGGATTGTTCATACTTTTAAAAATTGATTTCTGTGTATTATAAATAGTAACCCTTTGTCATGTGTTACAAGTCCTCTTCTCCCTCAGTTTCTTTCTTTCAATTTTCTGCTTTGTATTTTTTTTTTTTTTTTTGCCAAATAGAACTTTAAATTTCTTAAATTGCAAATCTGTGAACTTTGGATGCCTTTAGAGTTTATTATCCCTTTAAAAAAATTTTTTTAAGAGATGGGGCCTCAGTATATTGTCCAGGTGGTCTTGAACTCCTGGACTCAAGCAGTCCTCCTGCCTCAGCCTCCCAAAGTGTTGGTATTACAGACATGAGCTACTGTACCCGGCCAAGTTTTATTATCCTTATCTTATCCTAGGAGTATAATATTTTTCTGTGTTTTCTTATTGTTCTATAATTTCCTTTGTAACAGGTATCTGAGATTATCTTTGAAATCTTCTGTCTCTTCCAGGGTTTAAAATTTTTTAGCAAATTATTATTTCATGGTTTCTTAAATTTCCTTTGTTTCAATGATTAAAGCATTATTGAGGAAATAAGCTATATTTTATTAATCACAAGTCTCTGCATACACTAGAAAAATTCTAGTATAATTATTTGGAAGACATAATGATGTAGTTTTCAGAGTCCTCAGATTAGAAGCCACTGTTTTAAAAGCGTGAGGTTAGAAAAGGAATTTTGCACCTATTCCAGGTTAATTTCTACCTATTCCAGGTTAACAGAGGTGATCCTGTACCAATGGGTTTTGGACAGAGCTCTCATAGTCTGTGCTGTGGGCGATTCCCTCATTTAGTTTGCGAGGATACCAGAATTAAAGGAAAATAATGAGAAATGCTTATAGCTCATAGATAGACGCGAGGTCACAGACAGCCAGACTGGAGCTAGGAGACCATGCTGATGTCACATACTGCCCTATCAGAACCCTGGGAAACCCTTGGTCTGTGCTACAAGAGATTGGCCCATGATAGCCAGTTATAACCAGGCAGTGGGCATCTCAGGGGTTTGCATAGGTCTAACCTTAAAAAGCCACATGACTGGGTGCGGTGACACACACTTGTAATCCCAGCACTTTGGGAGGCCAAGACACAAGGATCACCTGAACCTGGGAGTTGGAGACCAGCTCTGGCATCACAGTGAGACCTCCATCTCTATTAAAAAAAAATTATTTTTAATTAGCTGGGTATGGTGGTGCATGCCTGTAGTCCCAGCACCTTGGGTTGCTGAGGTAGGAGCATCACTTGGGCCTGAGAGTTCAAGGCTGCAGTAAGCCATGATTGAGCCACTGCACTTCAGCTTGGGTGACAGAGTGAGGTCCTGTCTCAAAGTAAAGAGTCCTGTTAGGAAGCCATAATGATTTTAGGGGGGATGGTTTAGATCTTGAAGAAAGAAAAAATAATTTGAGGAGTGAGCACTTGAACTATCAAACTTTCTCATCTATTAGGTGCGTTAGGTTCCTTACATCTTATTCTTTTTTTCCTTCCTTTTAATATATAGCTACTCTCCAGAGAGACCGGATCTTCAAACATTTTACCAGGAAGCGCCAAAGGGCTATGCGAAGGCGAGTCCACCAGATCAATGGACACAAGTTCATGGCCACGTATCTGAGGCAGCCCACCTACTGCTCTCACTGCAGGGAGTTTATCTGGTAAGGGGTTCCCTTACTTCTGTCCTCCTCAGAGCTTCCATCTAATAGGCTTCCTCTGGTTATGTATGACTTCAGCAGAATGCATGATTATTTAAGAATTCTTTCAGGATCTGATTTTTGCCTCTTACTCTAGTATGTTGACCCAGTAATTTAAATCTCCATTGCAAAAACATCTAAATAATTTACAGATCCAAGTTTTAGATACCATTTCTTTTTAAAATCATCTTGGTAAAGATGCTAATGAATCCTAAACTGGTCAACAAGCATAAATCAGAGAAAAAGGCTAATAAGTCAATAAACAATCAGTAAATTGGATAATCAGCCCCTAAGGACCAAAGAATAATCAACAGTATTGCTTTAAGAAGGCATGAATCGCATAATGACTTATGGAAATTAATGGTTGCGAGAAAACTAAACACAAAGTAGTCTTCGGCCTCTTGGTATGTAACAGAAGATAATAGCCTTCAGTGATCATATACTGTAATCTAATCCCTAGGAATTAGTAGGAACTAAGATAATTCAACATTGAGAAATTCTAGAGATTTGGGGCAATATCTTACTAGACATACAACTGAAGCTTAAGTCTCAGTCTCAGTGGCAAATGTAAAATAAATTTAAGCAGTAGTTATCTTTAGTGATAAATTAAGCATACTTATTTGGAAAGGGAAGAAAGAAAGATGCCCTCACACACCCATCTCAGAAGGAGAAAACACAGTTTGGTAGCGTGAAAGGAGATCTATATTTTTGTTGTCAACTTTAATTATTTTGTTTAGTGAAGGCAGAAGCCCTTGGATCAGAGCAGTTTCTGAATGTTGATCAATTACTTTGTATTTTGTTTTCTGTGATTATTTTGGATTTTATATCTTCAACAGTCAGAACCTAGGGCTAGTTAGTATTTCTGACATTTTTAATCAAGAAACAACGATTTTGAGATGCTAAACCAGCTGTAGATATGAAGCCAACAAATGTGTCATAACATTTATTGTATTTAGGGAAAAAATTGTATTACTTTTTTTTGGGAAAAAATTAGCAGCCCTGGCGTCTTTGAGTTCACGTTTCCTCTTTGCATGAGGCTGCACTCGACTTAGCCACAGCCCCACCTCTCTGTGGTTTGCTCACTTGTGACCTAAGGGTGCTTGCCTCTTGCAGTGTATTTCATGTCACACTTTTCTGTTTCTTTTACATGACCTGCCAGGCCCCTGTAGGCATTAGTGGTGATGGCCCCTGACCTGAACTGACATTCATAATGGAAACTTATTTGATCATTTCACTGACTTTTTTCCACCAGAGAAACATTAACTGTACCCAACCAGCCTTTAACGCTCCCCCCCTCCACACCCATACACTGTCACCCTCATACTCTCTCTCTCACACACACTTAAAATATTGGTGTATATATTAATATATATGGCTAAGAGTATGGACTCTGACATCCAGTCTCATCACCAACTGGGTGTGTGACTTAGTCAAGTTGCGTAGCCTGTCAATGTCTCTTCATTTGCAAAATAGACACAACAATCTTATTTTACTTGTATAATAAACTTTCATATAGTACTTAAAGGGCCAGGCACTATTGTGAGCATTTTATATTACAACTTTTAATCTTCATTAGAGCCCTGTGCAGTAGGAACGGTTATCATTAGTCCCTTTTATGGATGAGGAAACTGTGGCTCAAAGCATCAGGTCATCTGGCTTCAGAGTCTGTGCTCTTAACCATGTTATTTTGTGTGCTGCCTCCCGTGGCTTTTTGTGAGGATTAAATGAAATGGTATATATCAGCTGCTTGGTTCAGTGCCTGGCACATCCTATGGGCTTAGTTACTGTGGTCTTTGTTAATGAGAATGAGAATACTCCTAATGTTACCATCATTATCATCACCCATAGAATATATTTGGGAGAGGCAAAGATGGAAGTGGTGGGCCTGAAGGGCATATTGTGGCAGCAACTCTGCCCACCTGTGGACTCCAGGGGTGATATGGACACAGGGACAAGGGCAGGTCCCCTGGGACAGGCAGCTGCGGTAGACTCATCTGTGCACTTCCACAGTGTATCTGTGTCCGTTTACTTCAGCATCTGAACATCTTTATGTGAGAGAGAATAAGGTGGGAACTCTTCAGGCCAAGGCTTAATCACACGTACAGATGAGGATTTATTGCCACTGAGGACTTAGGAAATTGCCATGGAGGTAGATGGAATGGGAATGGTTTTTACCCACCCATTTGTATCATACAGCACATTCTAATCCAGCACATGGTTTTTTCTGGTGTCTCATAGTAACAAACAATGGCTCAGAAAGCACATGATCTTTGCTTCTTCCCTGAAATTGTGTTTTTCATAAAGGAGGAGAGGATGAAATTTGTTTTCCTTAAGGACTATAAGAGGGTTATTGCTGAAATACTTGACTGATGGTAGTTTTCTTCTCTTCAACAGGGGAGTGTTTGGGAAACAGGGTTATCAGTGCCAAGGTAAGGAAACATTTTTAAAACCATGTTTCATTTTGTTCCTATGTTAAAAGAAATGATTATACCAAGAGAAAACAGGGTATCTTCCCTTAATATTGTGATAAATAACTCTCTGTAGGTCAAAGGAAACCCCTGTGTAGATACAACTCTTTAGTTTGGTGAGATCTTGGCCATATTTTAGACAATGTAAAGGGGACGTTTTTATTTCTAAAGCCAGGATACCTAATAAATTTTCATTGTTTAAAGTCTTGTCTCTGCAGTAACATGAGAGTACTAAAAGGTAATGTGATTTTGTGAGCATACTCTTAAATTTTGAAGATAAACTTTTGTTTTTTACAATCCTATTGATAATAGATAGGGATGAAAAGTAGCACACTGCTGTTTTCTCTTTTTCCCCGTCCAGGGAACATAAGCTATTATCCAAGTTGTTTTTTGAAATGTTATGATTTCAAAAAAAAAAAAAAAAAGTGAGAAATGTTCAAAGTTAAGCTGTCAGTGATCTTGTAAGTTACTACATGTTATATTTAGTTTTCACAATCTAAGATGAAACCAATTTACTAGTGTTTCTAGCATAATTGGAAAGAAATACAATGGCAGGAATGGAAGAAGAGCCCTCAGTCAGGTGGTTTAGCCAGGCCCATCAGGCTTGCCTGTCATTTGGGTTCCCCCTTAACCTTTGACATGAGTATCATCACATAGTTTATACACATGGTACCTGTTTCACTATGTGGATGATTGATAAAATAGCACCACATATCCTAGAGCAGTAGCCTATGTGTGGATAAGAAAATCTCACCTTCTCTTCTGGAAGATGTGAGGTAAAACATTACTTCCCTTGGATGGACTGAATAAGACATACTCTTGGATCTAATTTTGACTTTACTATGTATGAACAATTCCATTGAACTTTCAAAGTTAGGAAAAAACAAATATATAATCAATATGACAGCAATAATTGACCTGTATGCTGTTAATCTCAGTCCCAAGTGAGAAGACAGTTCACAAGCCAGAATCGCTGTCACTTTGTGGCATGGGCCTGTGAGCACAGGAATATGCCCTGCAGTCCATGGTAGCCCATCTTATGCACACCAAGATAAGTTGAGAAGCTCTGGATAAACAAGATTATGGTTTTGAGTTTAAAACATGGGATTTAAGATACATCTCTATTGTTATTTTATTTCTTTTTCTCTTTGTCCTATAGTGCCTGGATATTTGATGGCCTGATTTTCAGTGGGTCACCTGCTATGTAAAGAGCAGGGAAGACTATTAGTTAGGAGACATGCAGACACCACTTTGGTGATGTCTCCCTAAGGCATATAAAACCAAATGCCTGGTTGGAGAGAGGTATGCCATTCTAACACTGATCAAAAGCAAACTGGCATAGGTATTTCAGACAGAGCAGACTTCAGAAAAAGGAAAATTATCAGGAATAAAGAGGGGACAACAATAAAGGGGTCAGTTTTCCAAGAAGACTTAACATTTTTATTTGTTTTGTTTTATTTAAAGACCAGTGTAGTAGTACATAACAATTTTTAACATGTATGTATGTACCTAGCAACAGGAATCAAAATACATGGGACAAACTGATAGAATCACAAGGAAAAATGAACAAATCCACTTCTATAGTTGGAGACTTCAATATCTCAGTAATTGATAGATCCAGCAGGCAGGGAATCAGTAGGGATATAGGTGATCTAAACAGCATTATCACAACTAGGTGAAATTGACGTTTATAGAATACTTCATCCAACAACAGCAGTTTTCACATTCTTCTCGGGCTCACAGGGGACATTTACCAACATAGACCACATTCTGGGCCATAAAACATACCTTACCAAATTTAAAAGAAGAGAAACCATAAACGGTATCTTCTTAGACCACAATGGAATTAAACTAGAAATCAATTACTGTAAGATAGCTGGAAAATCCCCAAATATTGGAAGGTTAAATGTCACATTCTAAGTAACACATGGGTCAAAGAAGAAGACTCAAGAGAACATAAAAAATATTTAGAGTCAAGTGAAAATGAAAATATAACTTATAAAAATATGTGTGATCCAGCAAAAGCAGTGCTCAGATGGGAATGTATATATCATTAAATGCATACAGTAGGAAAGTAGAAAGATCTAAAACCAAGATTCGAAATTTCCACCTTAGGAAACTAGAGAAGGAAGATAAATTTAAGCCTCAAGCGAGCATAAGAAAAGAAATAATACAATTAGAACAGAAATCAGTGAAGTTGAAAATAGGAAAACAACAGAGAAAATCCATGAAATCAAATGCTGATTCTTTGAAAGGATTAATTGATAAGCCTTTACCAAGCTAACCAGGAAAAAACCAAATACCTCAAAAAATAAAGTATTTCTGTGTGAAGGATGGTTTTGAGATCCCCTCATATAAAAAGACCAGTTCTCTGGGCACTTTCAATTTGGTTCTCCTGAGAATTGAATCTGATGAAAGCTAGATTTGTTTTAAGGTATGATGCTATTTACTGACATGTCACCTCTCTTTATGTAGTTAATCCTAAAACCTTCCACATGTCTTGAAAGATCTTAAGATGATATACATTTTTATACTGCTTCATTGCATGTGTTTATCCTTTGATGACAAGCTCAACTATCTGCAGTGTATCACTTATCTAGATGAGAATGAAAAAAATGTTATTCCGAAAGTTCTAAATATTTCAACAGTTGATTAAGCCATTCAGCAAACATTTATTGAATGCCTCCTCTGTTCAAGGCATCATGCAAGGAATTCTGAGGGCATTACAAGGCTGGGTGGAAGGTTTGAAATGAAGGGGCAGGCTAAGGGTTGTGGGAGATCAGAGGAGGGCAGGTGGTTTCAGTCTAGAAGTGGGGATGGGGTAGAGTATTTTCATGGAAGAGACATTTTCTGAGTTACATCTTGTCCTAAACTTAAGATTTGGTTAGTTGATAGGCAAAAAGGATATCCCAGGGAGAGAAAAGGGCATCGATAGTTTGTTGGAAGGGTCCAGGAAGAGCAACCCATGTAGTTTTTACTGGAACAAGTAGATCCCATAGAAGAAAGGTGACAGGTAGCTTGGAGCAGCCTCTGGAGGGCCTGGAACCTGGGTGGGAAATTTGAACTTTGTTGATCGGCAGTGAATTACCATGGAATGTTTTCGATTATGGGGGCAGGACTAGAGTGTTAGAAGAGTCCTCTGGTGGTGGGTGCAGGATGGAATAAAGTCAGGAAGGAAGAAATAGGCCCAGGACTTGATAAGGGATAGTTTGAGCCTGAGCAAAGGTCTGTGTTAGGATGGTGGCGAAGGCAATAGGAAGGATGGGCGCACCAGCTGCTGTCAAGGGGGCCAGACGAGTCCAGTCTTGTTGGCACGGTGCAGCCCTGGTTGACTCTGCTGTAACTGGCTGGACTGTGAGCTTCTGATAAATGTATAATTGCTGGATTTAATTTCCTAGTGTGCACCTGTGTCGTCCATAAACGCTGCCATCATCTAATTGTTACAGCCTGTACTTGCCAAAACAATATTAACAAAGTGGATTCAAAGGTAAGAGGATAGCAGTTTGCTGATTAAATGTGCGTGTGTATTGTGTATGCTGTGTACCGCCGTCTCTCTCCCTCCCTCCCTCCTTTCCTCCCCCTCTTTTCCTTCTCCCCGTCCCCAAACCTCTGCTTTCCTCCCCCTGCCACCTCCCTTCCACATTCTTTGAAGCCAAGGGTTGTATTAGAATAGAAATGTCTCTCTCCCTTTTTTTAAATTATGGCATTTATATTTCTGTATTTATGTGGCATCATCCCTCCTTTGTGAGGACCCCATTAGTGGTTGGCTGGGTATAAGCTATATGGATTGGTTCTACTTATTTGGAGAGACTTTTGGCAGAGTGAAAGGAGCCCTGAACTTGGCATCTGACAGCCTGGATTTGAATGCTGAATCCAGCCTCTGTTAGCCATCTTCTCTATGAGCTGCGGCAAGGCCTACAATCTCTCTTTTCCTCAGTCTTAAAACAGGATCAATGTTTCCCTCACACAGTTTTTGTAAGTTAAACAACATAGAATTGATGTGATACATATGTTAATAACTGTAAATTATGTTTCCTAAGTAAAAAGATTGCTGGCTTTCTCCAGCCTCTTAAGAAATTTCAGGGAAGATGTCTCTCTCTCTCTCTCTCTCTCTCTCTCTCTCTCTCTCTCTCTCTGTGTGTGTGTGTGTGTGTGTGTATGTGTATAAGCTTCAACATCATTCTTGCCACTCATATTGCATTCATCTGCAATAGGCATACATTTTAAATTCTAGAGGTAAAAGCAGATGGAGTGTTGCTGACATTTAGCAGTAGATTTGCAGAGGCATTGGAAGAATGACTCTGGAACACAATGGTTCTTTATAGTACACATATAGGATTGCTAAAGAGTATACCTAGAGGTATAAACCACAGCTTTTCCAAGAAAGAGGCCATAAAAGTTTCAAGAGGAGTAATGATTGCCCTACTCCTTGTCATGCATGGATCTGTTGTTATAGCATCAAATTGTGGTATGGACTGCAGAGTACATGCCTAGTGGAATTATTTGCTGGAAACTGAGATTTAACTCAGATTGTCAGATTGCAAATGCCAGGCAAAGAAAGGCTGGAAGAGCTGAATAAGTAGTTACTTTAATGTCACTTTGGAATAAATTCCTTCTGTGGTTCCATGGCCTCTGAGTCTCTTCTTTTTATTTTTCTTCCCGTGACACAATGTCTGGAAGAACTTACAGTGATAGCAAGTATATATAGTGTATAAAAGACCCATTTAATCCTGAAGTTAAAAGGTTCTGGGAAATAGATGGGGGTGTTAGGGGATTGGCAAGGAGAGAAATATGGCCTGAATATGAAAGATGAAGTGAAAATCTTAATTTTTATTTCTCAAAATGGCAAATGATCTAATGTGTTTCCCACATTTCTGTCTTGTCCTGTTCATTAGAAAATGTGTTTAGTCTGGTTCGTAAGACCTGAGTAATTAATCAGGGCTGAGTACAGTAAAATAATATACCTAGCTCAGGTGTCATAGTGACACTTTGCATTTGATGGGCTCCTATTACAGTTTTTACAAAGGACATTGGTATGACATTTTAGCTCTTGTCCCTTTATTTCCTTTTTTACAGATTGCAGAACAGAGGTTCGGGATCAACATCCCACACAAGTTCAGCATCCACAACTACAAAGTGCCAACATTCTGCGATCACTGTGGCTCACTGCTCTGGGGAATAATGCGACAAGGACTTCAGTGTAAAAGTGAGATGCTGAGGTGCTGGGTACCCACCTCTTCATGGGAACACTATGCCCTAAGCTTTCAGAATTCTGTGGACTCAGAATCTGTCCTAGAACTGATGGTTTTAGATATGTTGTAAATCAACATCTTAGTCATTTTAAACTTACATGTTTCTTGTCAGGCATGTAAAGAGAACTTCATCTGATGCCAACATTTTCTAATCATAGGACATTAAGTCAAATGGTATATTCAGTGATCTAGCTCGCTAGCTGACAAATACAGCCTAGACACTGTATTTTAATAGGTGTTTGGAAGAGAAAAAGATGGGATCTTAGTCAGAAATGGAAGATGGTTGAGTCAGGTGAGACACTAAAAAGAAAAAAATAAATAAAAATTTCAAAGAAATGGAAGTTAGGAGGAGGTGAGGAGGTGAGATGGCCAAATGAGAAGGTTGGGTTAAGAGTAAGAAATGGCAGAATAGATCTGATGATCTCACCAGAAATCAGCAGGAATGGAGTTGTCACAGCATAAAAAGAGCTGCCCTGGGTCTTGTGAAAGAGATTGGAGACAGGGGTAGAATGAAGGAAGATAAAGCCTTGATTGTAAGCTTGCATCTCACCAGCTGTGCCCAGTGGAGTGAGAGTTTGGAGCTTTGGCCCTAGCAAAGGCTCTGAGTGGGTGAGAGCTGATCCCTGTCCTGTTAGGAGTTAGGGAGCTGTTGGCCTTGTGCCATCTTGTATGGAAATGTAATGATCTGACTGCCGTGGGGTGCACCTGAAGCCTTTCTTATCAGACACACCCCAAGTCGCCAGTTGAGGAGAACAATGGTGAGGTAGAATTGGCATGAGTATAGCCAGACAACTTCCATTGACTGCTTGGACTTACAGAGCCTGCTTCTGTCAACAAAAAGGGGCCAGTCACTTGTCTTTAAGAAGGGCACATTCTTCTATCTCTGTAGAACACTAATAATTTTTTTCTCATAAAACCAAAACAGTAGCCAGCTCATGGATAACTTGTAGGGCGTTGGTCCAGGTGCAGCTTGATCTTAGCGTGACGGTCTCACCTGGGTATGGGTTCCCAGTGGGAAATCCCTTTCTGCCTTGCATTGTTGCTGATGCGCAGAGCCATGCATGGGGCTCATCTGCATTGTCCTCTTCCCTAGTGGCCTGAGGGTAGCACACCTGCAGCAATCCGGCTCTTGTGATTTTTGCCTTTATGGTCACTTGGTGGTTTTGAAAGGCTTCTGTAGGCTCGTGTGTCTTACACCTGTCTTCCTGAGAGGGGTGGGTTTCCCATGAAGCTTAAGTCTCAGGGCTCCTCTCTCTCAAGGGCACCTTCCAAAGCCCTCTACTTGATTTGGTGTTCTTTTTCTTAAAGAAGGCCTCCTAAATTATGTAAATTCAGGCCCCACAAAACCTGGATCTGTGTGTGCTTCCAAGATGGACTGACTCCATAAAACAGGAATGTGTTGCTTGTCGCTTCAGTTTCACCTCCCATCAGCAGGGCCCATGTCAAAAAACTGTCTCAGAATTTATTCCAGCTGATAACGCCTCAGATCCTTCATTGTCCCCAGGCAGCTTCCGGTGCCTCAGGAGCTTAGCTTTCTTTGCTCGCCTCTTCAACTGCCATTTGTACTCTGACCTTCAGAAAGTTTTAAAAGTTGCCTTTCCCCACTATGAAGCAGTTAGAACCACAGGCTGCAAATGCTGAGAACCACAGGCTCACAGGATGCCCATCTCTGTGCTGTGAGGCCTGCCCAACCACAACAATACTCAGAAAGAAAGCTGCAGATAGAGGTTTTTCTTGTAGAAACACCATTTCCATCCTGTTTGAACAGTGATCTACATGTGGCATTTAAACTGCTACCTTTTATTTCACTGTTGAGAGACAGAAAAAAATACAGTTGACATGATTCTTTGTTATTTAATTGCCTGTGAATTGCCGCTACGATAAAGGTTTTAATCTTAGATCATACTAAGGCAGCAATGCCTGTTACATGTGATTTAGATGAATGGGTTTCATCAAATCATGGTGGAAAAAATGTATTTGAAATATATTATTCTTTAGTATGCTTGCCTTTCTGCTTCTGCAGAAAACAGAAATAGATAAAATGTCAGGAACTATTACTAGTGTGAGCTTAATTTTATGAGAAAATGATACTGTTCAGCCGGTATAATTCCTCTGTTATAATCTTTTAGGCTATTAAAGTTCTCTGTTGCAGCACATGTTGAATTGGTTCCTTTCTGAACATGGATTCTGTTTTCCTTTTCCCTCTAGTATGTAAAATGAATGTGCATATTCGATGTCAAGCGAACGTGGCCCCTAACTGTGGGGTAAATGCGGTGGAACTTGCCAAGACCCTGGCAGGGATGGGTCTCCAACCCGGAAATATTTCTCCAACCTCGGTGAGACTTTGCTTTTTTTCCATGTCTCGTAATTTAGAAGTTGCTCAGATGTGATGAGCCCAAATGAGAGCATGTGGCCTCATCAAAGTTCCTAATCTTAGCAAATACAATAAACAGACTTATTGCCTTTCTTTCTTTCTTTCTCTTTCTTTCTTTCTTTTTTCTTTTCTTTCTTTCTCTTTCTTTCTTTCTTCCTTTCTTTCTTTCTCTCTTTCTCCCTTTTTTTTCTCTCTCTCTCCTCTCCTTTCCTCTCCTTTCCTTTTTCCTTCCTTCCTCCCTTCCCCTTCCCCTTCCCCTTCCCTGTCTTCATTCCTTTTTGAGATGGGGTCTTCCTCTGTCACCCAGGCTGGAGTGCAGTGGCACAATTATGGTTCTCTGCAGACTCGACTGCCTAGGCTCAAGTGATCCTCCTACCTCAGTCTCCCAAGTAGGTGGGACTGCAGGTGTGCACCACTATGTCAGGGTAATTTTTTATTTTTTTTTTTGTAGAGATGGAGTCTCACTTTGTTGCGCAGGCTGGTCTCAAACTCCTGGGCTCAAGCGATCCTCTCGCTTTGGCCTCCCAAAGTGTTGGGATTGCACAGGTGTGAGCCACTGTGTCTGGCTGAAATAGCATTTTTAATAGCAATTTGTTTCACGGATAAGATTGTATATACAGTTATATGACAAGAAATAATGAGCATGAGCAACAAGTAATAAACAGAAAGCAAAAGAAGGACTTTTTTCCTTTCTTTCCTTTTTTTTTTCTTTTTTCTTTTTTCTATTTGTTTTTTGAGACAGAGTCTCGCTTTGTCACCCAGCCTGGAGTGCAGTGATATTCGCTCACTGCAACCTCCACCTCCCAGGTTCAAGCAATTCTCCTGCCTCAGCCTCCCGAGCAGCTGGAATTACAGGTGCCCACTACCGCGCCTGGCTGATTTTTGTATTTTTAGTAAGACGGAGTTTCTCCATGTTGGCCAGGCTGGTCTCAAACTTCTGATCTCAAGTGATCTGCCCACCTTGGCTTCCCAAAGTGCTGGAATTACAGGCATGAGCTGCCACGCCCAGCCTTTCTTTTCTGTTTTAAAATCAGCTTCCTGTCACTGTGGTCTGGTGAAAGCCTAAAACCCAGGATCCTGGGTTATGCTTTTGTCTGGGGACCAGGCAGGACAGGTGACCAGTAACTATGGGCGTCAGCGTCCTCACCTCTAAAGCGGTTCAACTTGAAGATCTCAGAGGCTCTGCACAGCCCTGGAGTCCAGCAGTTCTGAAGTTTTGGTTTATGGATTGTGAATTTATCATTCACATTCAGCAGGAGACAGGAGTCTCTCCCTCTGGACTCTCAGGAGTGAGTGGAGTTGTGTCAGTTGCAGTGCACATGTTTTTGTCAGCACTCTCCCTGAATGACCTCCACCTGCTGTCATCCAGTTGAGCCTTGGCTGCTTCCCAAGCCCATGTCTTACTGTTGCCTTCCTGGTCAGCGTCTAGAGATGGGAAATAGCCATGTAAGATCTGAACGGTGTAGCTTGGTGTCCAGTTCAGGAAAATTATCGACTCAACTAATTAATCTCTGGGTGCTGAGGAAGGGAAGTGCAATTACTGTGAGATTCTTGATAATCCTGAAAATGTCAGCACCAACCACCTCATTTCCTTTTTACTGAAGGACTCCTGCCTAGTAGATCAGGGACTTTCATTGACAATTTTTTTTTTTTTTTGAGACGGAGTCTGGCTCTGTCGCCCAGGCTGGAGTGCAGTGGCACAATCTCAGCTCACTGCAAGCTCCGCCTCCCTGGTTCACGCCATTCTCCTGCCTCAGCCTTCCGAGTAGCTGGGACTATAGGCACCCGCCACCACGCCCAGCTAATTTTTTGTATTTTTTTTTTTTTTAGTAGAGATGGGGGGTTTCAACGTGTTACCCAGGATGGTCTCGATCTCCTGACCTTGTCATCCTCCCGTCTCGGCCTCCCAACGTGCTGGGATTACAGGCTTGAGCCACCGCGCCTGGCCTATTGACAATTTATTGAATTGCCACTACGATAAATGTTTTAATCCTTATATTAGATCATACTAAATCAGCAATGACTGTTACATGTGATTTAGATGAATGGGTTTCATCAAATCATGGTGAAAAAATGTATTTGAAACCTATTATGTAAAAAAATGTATTTGAAATCCGGTCTGTCTGTCTTGTGGGTAGGCGGGCAGGATGCCAATATTGTGCGGGGATTGCTAATGCATGGGACAGTTATCCCTGAAGAGCAGAGATTAAAGATATCAGCCTGAACTAGGGCTTCTGAGATACAATGGGAATAAGATAAGAATAGGAATAAAGATCATGCAGCACGATCTTTAGGAATGGACAGTGCACTTGTCATTTGAATCAAGTATCCTTAATCCATGACATCCGGTGCCTGGCTGGATGTTAGACTTTTGATCTGTTGTCTAGTGGTAGCTTATCTTATAAATGTCTCAAGGTGGGCCAGCTGCAAAAGTCACCTTGCCTTTAGGTAGCAACATCCTCAGGTACTCAGTAGGATGGAACTGGAAAGCCAACTGAGGCAGGCACACTTACCTTCCATTCATTGTGTTGAAACTAGAACTCTCATCATGCTGGTGAGAGTGTAGATTGGTCAGTCTTATTGTAGACGGTAAGTTGGCTGTGTATCAGAAGTCTTCAAAATTAGCACTTTGGCCCAAGGAATTCCATTTGCAGGAAGTTATCTTAAGAAACTGAATAATGATAATGACAATACAGCTTAAGTTTATTGAATGTGCCAGGCACCAATCTAAGTGCTTTACATGCATTTGTTCATTTAGGCCTCCTAATGACTCATGTGGCAGATGCTTTAACCTTCTCTTTGTCAGAAGAGGAAACTGAGGTAGGGAGAGGCTGGGTAGGTAACTTGCTCAGGGTCTTAGGTTAGCTTGCAGAGCTGTTATTGAATCCAGGCAGCTTGCTTGAGAGCTAGACCCTTAATTACTCTGTTTTGAAGATTTGCATGAAGTGTATTCACTCCAGTGTTATTCACTGTGGTGAAAAAGGGGAGATGCCTCATCCTTCTAATGGCAGGGGAATTAATACCTTGTGAGATATCCATGAAATGGATATTGAATAGCCGTTAGAACTCATATTCTTGAAAGAAATTTAAAGGCATGAAAAATACCCAGGACAAATTTTTGAATACAAATGTATGTTATGAAACCATAATTTGATTATGTTTTTAAAAATTAACCAAGTATAAAAACGTGTGCGTGTGTGTTATTTATACATGGATATAGATATCTTTGGCAGAGGGCTGGTGAGATTTTAGGTATTTAGATTTTTATTCTTCATGCTTTTGATCATTGTTCTAATATTCACATTGGACTTTTATTTCTCCTATATAATTTAAAATATTGATTAAAAAACGTTGCTTCATTCGTGTCCTGGTGCTGAATGATGCTTGAATCTCTGAGTAGACATGAGAACTGCTCTCTGTAAAAAGTGGACACTAGGTGGCGCTCGTGGAATGGGACCTTCCCGTGGAAAGCCACCGCAGAAGGCACCCAAGGGACCACACAAGGCATTGGTGTTTCCATGCACTTCCACTTGAGCGCTAACTGTAACTCCATGGCTTAGACGTATTTTTAATTGACCTTTTACACAAAGCAGTAAGCACAGATTCAGAAGCTGATACTGAGGGAGTTTCGAGTGGCAGAACCGATCATCTGTCAAACTGAGTTGATCTTTCCCCCACGTTATACTGGGGGTGAGACTGCTCCCAGCCAATAAGGTCTTCTTCGTGCATGGGTGCTCCATGCTTCTGCTGCAATTTCTGACTTAATGTGTTCTTACTCTTTCAGAAACTCGTTTCCAGATCGACCCTAAGACGACAGGGAAAGGAGAGCAGCAAAGAAGGAAATGGGATTGGGGTTAATTCTTCCAACCGACTTGGTATCGACAACTTTGAGTTCATCCGAGTGTTGGGGAAGGGGAGTTTTGGGAAGGTGAGTCTTGGCTTTAACTGTTTGGGTTGAAGTAAGTGTGCTCTGTGTATGGGGGGTGTGTGTGTGTGTGCACGCATGCGCACATACTCACATTTCTCATGTGCCATTCTTTCTTCCTGTTGTGTGCACACACCCTAAGACCCCCAAGAGGACTCCCTCATGCTCCCTCCTTTTGCTTTGCCATAGGTGATGCTTGCAAGAGTAAAAGAAACAGGAGACCTCTATGCTGTGAAGGTGCTGAAGAAGGACGTGATTCTGCAGGATGATGATGTGGAATGCACCATGACCGAGAAAAGGATCCTGTCTCTGGCCCGCAATCACCCCTTCCTCACTCAGTTGTTCTGCTGCTTTCAGACCCCCGTAAGTATGAATCACATTCACTGCACCAACAGCCTCTTTTCTTACAGAGCTGAGACAGTAAGATACTGGAGATTTCATAAAGTTGAGTATCAGAAATTTTGGGGGATGGGCTCCCAAGGCAGGGTCATATGGAGGTATTGGTGACTTCTGCCAACCTCTGGAGGAAAAATGGAAGCTTATGAATTCACCCCTTCCCCTTGTGCTGTCCTGGGGAAGGAGCACCGTGAGGGTTGTGTGTCCCAGGATTGAAAAGGTCATCATACATAAATCTTCTGTAGGTGAAGTGAAGGTGAATGAAAGTTACAGCAGTCTAAGAACAGAGAAAATGCCATGGGCTCATTGTCTTGATGAATTTGGCTGTGACTCTGCTCCTAAATGCTGGGCTGGTTCTGACCTGGGCACAGGAGTTTAGAAGAGGGGTCTGAGAGGACCCAGAGAGGTACCTTGATTTGGAACATCCCAGGGCATTGCTTCTGGCCTTAGCAACGACCCTTTGCCTGAAACCATGGACTGGTCTTAAGAATTGAATCTGTCTGCCCTGTAATGGCGTGCGTTTAGGAATGCTTCTGGCTGCAGTTAATGGAACACTTGACCAGCGGTGGATTAAACAATAAATAGAAAGGATGAGTTTGGTTCATTAGTACAAACTTTTTACTTGTTGTTTCACATAATGAGAAGTCTGGTGGTAACAGTGCTACGGTTGGATTTGTTGCTCAGTGACATTGGACATGTCTTTCCCTTGGGGTCCCAAGGTATTTGCTGCAGCCCTAGATGCCACACCTTGGCATGATAGCATCCAAAGCAGAAAGCATAAGGGCAGGGGCTGAAGGGCTTCATGGCCAGTCCCCTTTTCTCAGGGAGGGAAGATCTTTCCTAGACTTGGGTCAACTGCCCTGTATGTCTGTTCTCACATTGCTACAAAGAACTACCTGAGACGGGGTAATTTATGAAGAAAAAATGTTTAATTGACTCACAGTTCCACAGGCCGTACAGGAGGCATGGCTGGGGAGGCCTCAAGAAACTTACAGTCATAGCGGAAGGGTGAAGGAGAAGCAAGCAGGGTTTCACGTGACAGCAGGAGAGAGAGAGAGTGAAGGGGGAAAAGCTACACACTTTCAAACAGCCAGATCTCATGAGAGCTCACTATCATGAGAAGATCAAGGGGGGAAATCTGCCTCATGATCCAATCACCTCCCACCAGGCCCTTCCCCAACATTAGAGATTCCAATTCAACATGAGATCTGGGTGGGGACACACAGCCAAACCATATCATGCCCTTAGCAAGGGAGGCTGGAAGAGCAAATATCAGGCCAAGATAAGCTGGCAGACCATGATTGGTTCACACCAACCTTGATTCAGCCCCTGGAGCAGGGCATTCTGCTTTTATTTAGAATCAGGCTCAAAATTGGGCTTTTGGTATCAATGAAGAGGGAAAATGGCCCTGGAGAAGGCACCAAGAGGGAGGGTCTGCCACAGATGTGTCAGAATCTTGCTGTCAAAAGGCATTCTGGGAGAGTGAATTCTGGGCATGTTCCTGGCCTGTGCCACCATCAAGGAAGTAGGGGATTCCACGAGAGCGGGATAGGGGCATCTGACTGGTCAGGGAGGCTGGCAATACACCTCTAGGGAAGGTAAAGCCATGCTGGGACCAAACGAGTGAATTAGAATTAGTTAGGCAGAGAATGAAGGTGAATATGTCATACAGGGTCAACAGCACACTATGGGTCTGCTGGTGAGACAGAGCATCAGGTGTGAAGGAGGCTCAGCACACACAGCATATCGAGGTTGAACAGGGGCCTTGAGAACTGAGGCAGCCGAGGTGGGCCAGGGCCAGGCCATGAAGAGCCTTGTAGGCTGTGTTAAGGGGTTTGGGTTTAGTCCTGAGAGCAATGGAAAGTCATGGAAGAAGTGGAAGCAGAGGAATGACGTATCAGGTTGTATGTTTTAATTATGAAAATCTAATTTCTTGCGATAGGTAATATAAGTATCCTCCAAATATTCATATCCTTTCTCCGAAAGAAACAAGTATTGCTCGTTTTATTTATAGCCTTTGAGAGAATTTTCTGTACATAAAAGCATATATATACAGCACATATATGCATACATGTTTATCTTTTAAAAACACAAATAATAGTATACTTTGCCCATGATTCTGTATTTTTAAAATTTAATTAATCTATTTTTTGAGACAGGGTCTCACTTTGTCACCAGGCTGGAGTGCAGTGACGGTTATGGCTCACTGCAGCCTCAAGCTCCCAGGCTAAAGCTATCCTCCCACCTCAGCCCCCTGAGAAACTGGGACTTACAGGCACATGCCACCACACCTGGCTAATTTTTGTTATTTTTTTGTAGAGATGGGGTTTTGCCATGTTTCCCAGGCTGGTCTCAAACTCCTGGGCTAAAGCAATCCACCCACCTCAGTCACTCAAAGTTCTGGGATTACAGGCGTGAGCCACTGTACCTGGCCACTTTATTTTTTTAAGACATAATATTAATAGTATATATTGGAAATTGTTTTGTATTTCTATATACCAAGCTGCCTCATTTTTAATGGCTGCATAGTACTCCATTTTAGAACATGACATAATTAATTTAACTTTTCCTCCTCTGTTGCTATGTATTGTGTTCCTAGTCTTTTATTTCAGTCATTGTTGCAGTGAGTCCCCTTGTACTTTTGTCTTTGTGTGCTTATGCTGGTGTTTCTGTATGACACATTATTAGTAGTAGTATTGCTTGGTCAAAGGGTATATGCATTTCACATTTTGATTGAGTTCAATTGCCCCCTCCCCCATTGTGGTTAAAGATAGTGAACGTTTTATTGTCCATGTACCACACATTGTTCTAAGTGCTTTATGTCTGTTATTTAATCCTTATAGTAACCCTCTGAAATAAGTTCTGTTATTATCACCCCATTTCACAGAGGAGAAAAGTTAGGTACAAAGAAGCTTAGTTCCTAAGTGGCAGAGAGCGTTTGAAGCCAGGTGGTCTGACGGCAGAGTCCAGGCAGGCTCTTCCTATTTGCTGGGCTGCGTCTCTAAATTCACACTCCCAAAGCTTGAGTGAGAAGGTGCATTTCCCCGCCTTCCCATCATGGCATGCTCTCTGTCATTTGGATCATCTCAGAGTTAGAAAAATGGTATATTTGAAGTTCCAACTTGCATTCCTCTAACTGTGAGTGAAGCTGGGCGTTTTCATACATTTCAGGGTCACTAGTATTCAAATCTGTGTTGGGAGGGCCACATGCAGCCTGGAGAATGGGTGGAGCAGAGAAGTCTGGGAGCTTGGTGACAGGACGCACTGAAGGAGATACATGGCTTGGACTCCCACGCCACCCCAGCGTTATCAAGAGAAAAAAAAATGGGGAGGCAGCTAATGGCTTCGTGGGCCTCGGCTCCCCTGCGCGCCTCTCCCTTCCCCTCTGCTCCTCATTGGTCCTCAGTGGCTCTTGATGGCCCTGGAGCCCATGCTGCTCCTGCCCCCATCCTCTGCTTTCCCTCTGCTGGATTGGTCCTTGGTTCCCCTGGAGCTCCAGTTCTCCCTGCCCCACACTGCTCCCTGGAGTAGCCTTGAAACGACTTCCTTGGCTGGGCACTTTGCCAACGTAAAGCCCCTCCCCTGCCCTCACCCCCTTGTTGGGCTCTTTTCTTGGAATAGAGGAGTGGAGTTACAGCTTGAGGCTTGAGAGGGATAGCTGGTAGCTGATACTGGTTGCCCGCCGGGGTTTCAAGCGCCAGCCTCCTGAACACCACCATGAACACCATGAGTCAAGCCGCAGAGCCAGGTGACCTCTCAGATCTTCTTCCTAGGGCCTGAGCCAAACATCACATGGTTTCCTATGACATGAGGTTAGATCATCTTCACCAGGTGGTAACCTTTGAGTCAAGCAGTCAACTGATATTTAGTGAGCTTACCTGGTCTTGCAGCAGCAATGGTTCCAAGTTACTACTGCTGAAGCAAAGAAAGAAGTATCTCATACCTAACAGGGGAATTTGATCTGTAAAAGGAAATTCTGGTGATTATAAGCAAAGATCTCATCAACAGATCATGTTATGGTAGAGTAAAATGAGGAAGTAACCTGGAACAGATTGGGAACCCAATCAATATAGCATATGCAATCAAAATGTTCCAGGAAAATGTATAAATTCTACAGTATACCAAAATTTTAGCGGCCACATGAGATTCCCAGTGTTTAGTGGGTGAAGCCTTTACTAGCATTGAAGTCTATTTTTCCTAGTGGAAGTTTTATGTTTGACCACAAGGTGGCAGTCATTACCGCAAAGTTACTTTTATTTCTCCACCAGAGAAACCAAAGGCATGGAACTGCCATTGCGGTTTAAGATGTGTGTGTTGTAGTAGATGTCTCCAAAGCAAAGGATAAAGGGAATGTACCCCTGCTTTAGGCTAAATGATAAAGAAGTAGTGGGAACCCACTTCAAAGAAGCAAGTGAGGCTGGGCGCAGGCAGCACTTTGGGAGGCCGAGGTGGGGCAATCACTTGAGCCTAAGTGTTTGAGACCAGCCTGGCCAACGTGGTGAAACCCCGTCTACTAAAAATACAAAAAGTAGCTTGGTGTGGTGGTGCATGCCTGCAATTCCACCTACTCCAGAGGCTGAGACAGGAGGATCGCTGGAACCCGGGAGGCAGAGGTTGCAGTGAGCCAAGATCGTGCCATTGCACTCCAACCTGGGTGACAGAGCACGACTTTTTCTCAAAAAAGAAAAGAAAAAAAAGCAGCAAAGGAGATTTTCTAATGCTGAGATAGAGGTATACAATTTTAGTTTTGCTGTCGTTGTTGCCTTCTTTGAGGTTTGCAAGGTATCGGACTCCACAGTACACATAGCATTTGCTCGCTGTGCATTCGTCTGTTGGAAGTCCTTATTTACTGTTGTAAAACTATCCCCATTTACTGTTGGAAAACTAACTATAAAGAACAGAAAGTGTTACTTGCTATGAGAAGTTACAGCAGAAAGATGCTTACTTTTTAGCTGCCCAGTGTTGCAGGCCCTGGCTTCTCAAGTAAGATGCTAATCAGTGTGTAATGCTGAACTGTGACAGTCTCCCCTGGAGAATTTAGGAGTGAGAGGGGGTGTTGGAGCCACTCTACCTGCAAAGCATTTCATTGTGAGGGCCTTTGTAAAAACAGCACTCTCCTCATGCAGCCCTGTGGAATCAGTCTCTCTGAAGCCCAGAGCAGGGCAGTAACTAGCCGAGGATCCCTTAGATTGTAAGTGGCAGAGACAAAGTTCAAGTTTAGGTCAGGCTGACTCTGACTCCATATGTTGTCTTATTCCGCATTTAGTTGGTTGATTCAGCCTCGGCTTAAGCACCTCCTATCTGTCTTGGCTCCCCTCCAACCTGACAATATGGAAATGGCATTGCCCTTGGGAACAGAAAACCTGAACTGTGTTTTAGCTTTGTTTTCCACCATCTAAATGGCTTGAGTCTGTCCTAAAATTCCTTTGACCCTTAAAGTTCTTATCATTAAAATGAAAACAGGATCGCTGTGAGGGTCAAATGAGAGAATGCAGAATATTTTGTACAGTGCGAAGTGCTGTTCAAAAGTGAGTCAGTTCAACTGTGGTGATGACCCCCTCCATCCTCACACCAAAGGAAAAATGTCCCAGGGCTTCCCAATGGCCAGCCCAGACACCCACATGGAGGGGACAGCAAACATTGAGAAGGTAAGTATTTTATAGGTCCTTTTGTTCTTGGCAAAAAGGAAATAGTAAGCAAATTTCAAATATTTGATAATTTATCAAGATTGCTACAAAGGTTTATGAACCCATAGATTATTTCCCCTTTTTTTTTATAATCATATACACTGCTTACAAGTATATAAATGGGCATCCTTATCTGTTTCTGATAGCACTGCAAATCCTAATAGTTTGTGACTAATTTGATAACCTGTACTAAAACTCACAAAATGTATACTCCTGGATCTGTTTTTCTGATAATCTGGACTACAAAAATAATATAAAGAATAAAATGTTATTCATAAAGATGTTTAATTTTCAGTGCTTTGTTTATATATATTTTTTTGGTCAACATCTCTCTAATCCTCCAGCCTCTGGTAACCACTATTCTATTCTGTTTCTATGAGTTTGGCTTTATTTGATTACACATATCAGTGAGATTAAGCTGCATTTGTCTTTCTGTGACTGGCTTATTTCAAATAATACAATGTCCTCCAGGTTGATCCATGTTGCAAATGACAGGATGTCTTTCTTTTTAAAAGCTGAACAGTATTCTATTGTGTATATATTCCGTTGTTTCTTTGTCCATTCATCCACTGGTGAACACTTAGGTTGATTCCATATCTTGGCTATTGTGAGTAATGCTGCAGTGAACATGAGAGTGCAGGCATCTTTTCGACATGCTGATTTCATTTTCTTTGGATGTATATCCAGTATTGGAATTGCTGGAGCATATGGTAGTTCTATTTTAATTTTTTGAGGAGCCTCCATACCGTTTTCCAAATGAGTATACTAATTTACATTCCCACCAACAGTGTACAAGGGTTCCCTTTTCTCCACATCCTCTTCAACACCTGTTATTTTTCATCTTTTCAATAATAGCTGTTCTGACAGGTATGACATAATATCTCATTGTGGTTTTAATCTGCATATCCCCAATGATTAGTGATATTGAGCATTTTTTCTATACCTGTTGGCCATTTGTGTGTGTGGTTTTGTTTTGTTTTTTTTTTTACTTTTCATTTATTTTTACTTTAAGTTCTGGGATACATGTGCTGAACTTGCAGGTTTGTTACATAGGTGTACATGTGCCATGGTGGTCTGCTGCACCTATCAACTGGTCATCCAGGTTTTAAGCCCCGAATGCATTAGGTATTTGTCCTAATGCTCTCCTTGCCCTTGCCCTCCCACCCAACAGGCTCTGGCATGTGATGTTCCCCTCCCTGTGTTCTCATTGTTCAACTTATGAGTGAGAACATGTGGTGTTTGATTTTCTGTTCCTGTGTTAGTTTGCTGAGAATGATGGTTTCCAGCTTCATCCATGTCCCTGCAAAGGACATGAGCTCATTCTTTTTTATGGCTGCATAGTATTCCATGGTGTATATGTGCTACATTTTCTTTATCCAGTCTGTCATTGATGGGCATTTGTGTTGGTTCCAAGTCTTTGGTATTGTAAATAGTGCTGCAATAAACATACATGTGCATGTGTCTTTATAGTAGAATGATTTATTAATCCTTTGGGTATATACCCAGTAATGGGATTGCTGGGTCAAATGGTATTTCTGGTTCTAGATCCTTGAGGAGTCGCCACATGGTTTTCCACAATGGTTGAACTAATTTACATTCCCACCACCTGTTGGCCATTTGTATGTCTTCTTTTGAGAAATGTCTATTCAGGTCCATTAACCATTTTAAAATTGGGTTGTTTCTTACTATTAAGTTGTTTGAGTTTCCTCTGTATTTGGATATTAACTCCTTATCCAGATATGTGTTTTACAAATATTTTCTCCCATTCCACAGGTTGTCTCTTCACTCTGTTGATTGCAGAAACTTTGCAGAAGCTTTTTAGTTTGATATAGTTCCATTTGTCTATTTTTGCTTTTGTTGCCTGTGCTTTTACGGTCATATTTTAAAAAGCCATTGCCTATGCCTGTGTCACAGATTTCTTCCCCTAAGTCATCATTTGGTAATTTTACAGTTTTAGGTCTTACATTTAAGTCTTTAGTCCATTTTTCAGTGATTTTTTTATGTGACGTGAGATGAGGGTCTGTTTTTATTCTTCTGCATGTAGATATCCAGTTTTTTCAACACCATTTATTGAAGGGACAGTCCTTTCTTTGTTGTGTGTCCTTGGGATCTTTGTTGATAATTAATTGATTGTAAAGGTGTGGATTTATTTCTGAGCTCTGTATTCTGTCCCATTGGTCTATATATCTGTTTTTATGCCAGTACCATAATGTTTTGATTACTGTAGCTTTGTAGTAGATTTTGAAATCAGGTAGTATAATGCCTCCAGCTTTGTTCTTTTTGGTCAAGATTGCTTTGATGTCGTGCATTATTTATAGTAGGAAAATATTAGAAACAACTTCAGCATTTAGCAATGGGGGTACACTTCAATAATATACTATTTGATGAGAATTTTCAGCCAGTCAAGAGATAATTTTATGTTACGTAGTTAAATTGTCAGGTACCGTCGTAAGCACCTAACATGTATTGTTTATTGCACGTGATTCCTATAACAGCCTTATAAGATAGGTGCAATTATTATCCTCATTATGTCAAATGGAAAAGTGAGACACTGAGCAGTTAAGTCATTTGCCTAAAATCTATCACAGAAAATGGTAAAAATAGGAGGTTAGAATCCAGGAAATAATACAGAGGTTATGATGATGAACAGTCTGTATCCAAGTCAGGTTCTGCCCAAGATAGTGAATTGGCAGACCCGTTCCCCTCCCCAGCCTCAAAAAAGACTGCCAGGAAATTATGCCAGTAAGCTATCAGGGACTGGATTAAGGTAGTGGAATTATGAAGGATTTTTTTCCTATTTACCAAATTTGGTAATAGGATTACATTTCTTCAACAATGGGGGTAGGAGGAATAAGCCATTATTAAGTCAGGGACCAGACCCCTGGTCTCTCAGAACCTGGGATACGGCCTAGTACATGCTGTCTCCCTGACTCATTTATGGCGAAATTCACATCACACTCCTTTTATCTGAATCAGTGAGGGTTGTGTCAGCAGCTGAGTCCCTGGCATGGATGTGCTGGAATCCAGGCCTCCCATCCCCCATCCCCGGCTCGCAGGGGCCTCCCCTTCGGTTCTCCTCCTGGAGAGAGAGGAACAAAGACTAGGGGGTGAGGGATGGAGGGGGGCTATCACAGGAAGGGGGAGCAGCAAAGTAAATATTGGTCTGAGGCTTTGTTCGGAGACCCAGTTTATGGAAGCAAAGGTTTCCATTTGGAAAACAGAAGACACTTGTGGCCAGTGCCCGAAACAGCCTCTCACTAGCAGGCCCTGGGACTGGGTGAGAGGGCTGAGCGAAGTACTCCTCATTGTTTTGGGAATGCCTTAAGTTTGAGTTTAGGATCCACCGCTTTCAGGTGGGCCACAGGACGCTCCGATGCCGGTCGCTTTTGCCTCCTCCCGCTCCTCTGCCTGCTGGGGCGTCTTTACGATGTCAGCCTGCAAGGATGGAGTTCCTGGCAGGACCATAGCTTTCCGTAAGAAACCACTTCTCAAATGGCCAACAAAGTTGAAATCCTGGTTTTTGAAGGTCAGAATATCTTGGAATCTTGTGAAATAAATGCCATCGCTGCATACATGCTGGCACAAAATGATCTCACGTGTGCTCAGTGTACCTGCAGCTTGAGTGCAAAGGAACATTCTTTCCTTTGTATTACTTTCTCCATTGTTGTTGTATTAAATATTAGCGAAGAAGTGGGAGAGGCAGAGAGCAGCCAGGCAGCAAGGTAGTCATGTGGCCCTGGAATTCATCTTTCAGAATTTTCCCAGGCAGGGAACTGCACTGTGACCTTCAGCACAAGAGCTCTGAGTTCTAATTCTGGCTTAGCTGGCCCACTTGTCTTTAAGAAGTTCCCCTGCCTTTTATTTTGAGATAAGCCTCTCCACCTAAATGTGTGTTCCTTACTTCTGGACCTGTTGGCCAACGTACCTTTAGGGAGTGCCCCTCCAGCTGGCTTCAACATGTGGGGTCGTAGCGGGGCTGCAGCCTGCCCTGTCCAGCTCTGATGCTTCCCAGCGCCTCCAGCTCCCCTTTCCCTTCCTGAGGCCTCACTGAGCATTTGGCTGAGCCCCTGCCAGCCGCTGGATGTGGGGAGGAGAAGGCATGCTCAGACCCTACAGTGGCATTACTGCTTGTGCTCTGTGTTGCTGTGACACCCAGCGCAAGGGGAAGAGGCCCTGTGACAGAGGGTTAGACAAGGAGAAGGGGAAGTATAGCCGAAAGGCTGGGAGACTTTCCCCTTTACAGGCATGGGAATTCTGAAGAAGCCTCTGTTCATGCCTTGGGGTAGTTGGTTGATTCCTGGGGACTGAATGGTGCCCACTTTGCAGGAGGGGATGAGCGAAGAAGGAAAGGGCAGTTCATGAGACCCTAGCATATGTCCTAGGTGCTCATATTCATTACCAATGTCTATGAAACTAAACTGCACATTGGCATTCCGTAAATATCCATTGAACAAAATATCTCATTTAATACCCAAAGCATCCAGGGAAGAGTATCATCCTCATTTTAAAGGCCTAGAAACTGAGATCCAGAGAAATTAAACAACTTGCCCCAGATCACACAGTAAGCCAGAGTCAGTGCATGGATTCCTGACCTGACTGTCCTGCCAAATAATATACAAGCCATTTCCATTATATCACAAATAGAAGTTTTGAGTCTCTAATATGTACAACTGAGAATACTGTCATTAGACGGGAATAGAGGCAGTTTTCCACAATAGGTGGTTTTTGGCCTTTTGGGAAATACCTAAGGATATTTCCTCTGATCTGTTTGGAACCAGGTTTCCCCCTTTCCCTGAGCAGTGGCTGCTACAAATACAATCTGGTTTGCTGCGGGTCATTTGTTGCAGTTTGCCTTTGGCTCAGATCAAAATAGAAAATGAGCCAGAACATGGTGTTTCCTGTCTCTGCATGTTCCTACCTTATTCATAGTGTTCCATCTTTTTTTTAGGTTATTAATTGTGGATTTATTTCCATAGTAAGACAGGATCTGACTTTGGGGCCAACATATGTTGGACCCGCCTCCTTCTCTGCTGAAGATTCTCTGAAGACAAAATGTGCATAGGCCTTCTCCAGGATCTGGATTTTTGGGGGATTATTTGGGACCTTTGCTTCTGTCCTCTCCGGCTACCAGGCTTTCTGACCTTCTGTAGCTAAATAGGGCCACAAAAATGAATAGGAATAAGAGAACCTGAAGTTCAAGCTGTGTCTTTGGCTCTGTCTCTTTGGACGCGACTGCCAAGATATTTGGTGTGACAAAAGGATTTGAAATAGTTGGCCTGTTTTTTTCAGTTTGAGGTTGTTCTGTTGTAACTGGTCTTGTTTTTGGTAGCCATCATTATCACTGACAACCTAGAGACTGAGTAGACCGCCACCTCCATGTCTGCTAAGATAGTATAATTTAAATCTTTGATGTAACCAGAACACAACCCAGGTCACACTTTGCCCCTGTGTCTCATGATGACTGAAAGCTTTTGGGGTGATGATTGCTTGGTTATGGTTTTCCTGGACCCAACTTGGAACCCTTAAAGCCTGCCAAGTTATAGATACTCTGGCTTCAGTAGGGCCCTGTATTGAAACACCAAGTGCCAGGACTGCTCAAAAGGTGAAAATGAGATGGGTGTTCTGCCAGGTGGTTTAGTGAAAAATCAGTCAATCCAGGATCCCACTGACTGAATGCTAGGCAAAAGAAACAGTTCTTTTATTTGTTTTCATTTTTTGCAGAGTTGGAGGTCTTGCTATGTTGCCCACACTGGTCTTGAACTCCTGACCTCAAGCAATCCTACTGCCTTGGCCTCCCAAAGTATTAGGATTACAGGCATGAGCCACCGTGCCTGGCTAGAAACAGTTTTTTAAAAACTCATTCTAATTAGGAAGAGAAGACCAATACACATGGAAGAAAAGTGTACAGTAGATAGCATGTAGTAAATATAGTCCTTATGCTACAAAAGGAAAGGTAGTTGAAAATGAACATTGGGTTCTAGGGGAAACTCTTAAGTATGTGCCAGTCTGTGCTCAGAAGTACAACCTGATTGGCTGTGAGACTAAAGCCAACTGATTGCTTTAAGCAGCCCCTCGGGTGTGGGCTGCAGATGGTTCCCTAGGAAGCTGGGTTGAGTCCTGCTGTGATGAGCTGGGACTGCCAGGTAGGACCTGAAGCGGCTGCCAAGGGGCTGCCACCCCACCCTGAAGACAAAATCATACAGTCTAAAAACCTGACTGCTTTGGATCAAAATCATACCCTGTAATATGTTCTAGTTTTTAAATAACTTGGGTTTTCCTTAATTACTTAATCTCTGCTGAGAACCCAGCTGCATCCATCTCTTCTAGGTCCGGAATTATCCACAGCATCTCATGAGCAGAAACAGCCATGTCAACATAAAGTTAGCAGACTCGTCGTGTAGAGAGTTGTGCACTGGCAGGTTAGGGGGGAAGGTGTTCATTCATTCAGCAGATATGCACTGAGTGCTTGCAAGGCATAGGGCTCGCCTTCAAGCCTTGAGGACGCAGCAGTGAGCAAAACAGAAAAGAGTCCCTGCCCTCATGAAACTGACATTCTTTGGGAAGCTTATAAGCCTGAAGCTCATGAACAGATTGTTCATCTTATAGTCTCAGCTGGTGACCCTCCATGGCAGCTGCTCCCTGTGGCAATTCCTGGATTTTCCTTTCAGACAGGCTCAGAGCCGTCATCTGCTTGAAGAGTCTGGGGGGCTTGTCTGAAGCTGCATTTGCATATCAAGTGCTCCGTTATATTTTTTGTAGGATGCAGTGAGATTACTGGGGGGAGGCGTAGCTCGAGTCCTTGGTCCTTGGTACTGTCTCTGGTTAGTGGTGGGTTCTGGGTCACTATTATAGGGGTTGGGAGGTTTAAAGCAAGAGGCAGAATGGCAAGAGTAGCAGCCCCAGTAGGCTGCATTTGCTCCCGTTGCCACTTGCACGATCTTTCTCATCCCGCTGGCAAGACTAGTCTGTTCACTGGCAGCCCCTGCATCAGGCTGTGAGGACGCCCTGTCTACCTCCCGTCTCCATCCCTGTATTAACCCATGTGCTATCAAGAGCGACTGACTCTTTCTTTACAAGGTTCTTTTTCCTTCCTTCCCCGTAAGCTAATAGTTTGGCTCAGGCTCGCCAGCAGACCCTCCCCTTTTTTGCTGGAGGGCTTTGGCATGCCCTGTCTTTTCTTTGGGGCCACCCAGGGAGTTCCTGTTTCCTTTCTGTGGGAGGCTTCCAATTCTTAGTTATAGCAAAAGAGCCTGTATTTTTTAGCTCACTCCTGCCCACTTCTGGTCTTGAATGACTTATGGCTTAGGTGTTACAAATGGGAGTCCTGGAACTCTTCCCAGAATCTCTTAATTCCATTCTTGTGGTATATGACGTTCTAAACATTAAAATGATGTAATATATAACTCCCAACCAAAACAAAAGAGGAGATCCCTGCTAGCCAAATTCTTCCCTCCTCTCCATACACGTTTTTCCGTCGCTGTGCAGTGAATCCTGGGATGTGTTTGTCAGTCAGCTTCCTTGTTCTTCTGGCTCCTCACTCCCCAGGGACCACCGAGCCACAGACTCCACGGTTTTCTCTGAGGGCATGCGAAGTGGAAACTAACCTATCCCTGCAGCCAGCCCAGACCTTCTACAATCATATCTACCAGTGGTGAAAGGCAGTTCAAGATGAGTTGGACACAATCAAGAAAAATAGGGAACAAATATGTCATAGCTCCTCTCTGTCTGCTGTCTATAGAAGGAGGCTAATAGCAGCAGATCTGGTGAGGGCCAGTGGCCCATGGACCTGCCTGCCCCAAGGCAGCAATCATGGGAGTGGGGTCAAGGAAACACTAAGGAGGTACACCTGATAGGACTTTTTAAAGAGGAGTGGCCAGGGTTCTGGCCGGTTTGAAGCCTGGAGAGAATGGAATGGCATGAGTTCAGTTTTGGGGACATTCAGTGGTAAGACTGGTTTCTGTTTTCTCTTCTGGAAGCTCATAGATACAGGATCTGCTCATTCACTTGATTTGTGCCTCTTATTTGGGCTTCAGGACACATCTCTGGCCAATCGCAATTAAAACACCATGCCCAGTTAGCCATCATCGCCACTCAGAGCTGTCTGCTTTACCGGGCTAAAAAAAATGATCTTTATCACCAGTTGTAAGTGACTTAAAAAAAAAAAGTACCCTTCCACATTGCTCAGAACTTTGCCGTCACCTTCTTGACCCTCACCAACAGGTCAGGTTGTTTTAATAATCTAGTGGCTGGTAAGCTTTCATCCTTTACAATTAAAAAAAAAATCACTGATTTGCATAATGCAGTGCCATTTGCCTACTTTGTTGGGGGTGGGGGCTGTCCTGTTCATTGTGGATGTTTAGCAGCATCCCAAAATACCAGCAGCACCTCTCCAGTTATAACAACCAAACATATCGCCAGACATTGGTTCCCAGGGGGGAAGAATCTCCCCTGGCTCCCTTACATGACTGTCAGGTGATTGTCTTTGGTATGAAAAGTCAAATGGGTTAGACGATCACTTTTCTTTTTATAGAAGCCAAAGCCAAATGTGTCAGACCTTCTTTATGAAAATATAAGCGTTATTTTTTTTCTGAGTTTGTAGAAAGGCAAAGTTCCTGTTGGGGGCTCATTACAGCTGTTGGTGCCTGCACTGACAGTGGCATTGTTAGGGATGGAGCCCCTGAGCTCGGGGGAGACAGCGGAAGCGTGCAGCGTCTGTTTAATGTGAGTGAGGGCTGGCATGCTGCTGGCAGCTCTCAACAGTGAAGCCTGCTGCTCGATAAGGCATTATTATCAGAGCCTGGGGGCATCCAGGGAGCAAAAGATTAGCTGACTGAGCATATATCTAAAATGGGTTATTTTTAAAAAGCAAGCAGTACAAATACTGCAGCTTGTCTTGTTTTAGCATTTAATAATTACACTTTCACTTTACCAGCAAGGCATTGAGTCAGTGGCATTTTATGAAAAGCATCCTCCCAAACCTGAACTTTGTGAGTCAGATTCCCATCCTGTGTGTGGTACATGTGGTTGGATTGTACAAACAGATAATCAGAGTTTTGCAAAATGTTTCCCAACCAGCATGGGAAAACGTGCTGATAGCAATATGATTGGGCTTTGAGGGAGAGCCACTTGCTGGCTTTTTTTCTTTTGTTTCCCATACATGGAAATGCCATTTCAACTTGAAATGTGGATACCTTACCAGAGGATTGCTTGAGCCCGGGAGGTTGAGGCTGCATTAGCGAACTGGGACTGCACCACTGCATTCCAGCCTGGATGACAAAGTGAGACTCCTGTCTCAATTTTTTAAAAACCCACACACAAAAAAAACAACAAAACAAAAAGTAGAACCTTAAATGCTATCTTAAGGCTGAATAGTCTCTAAATATTGAAAGTAGACCCTAGCCAAAAGAGACATTACCTGTTTCTGTAATATAATGAATGGTATTAGTGTACTTATCTTGCATTTTAAATTCAATTCTGTAAATGTTTATGGAGCATGCATTATGTGCCAGGGATGAAGACACAAGAACAAAATGTGGACCTGCCTTTTAATTGCTTACAGTCAAAGGTCATGATAACACCATGTGATGGAGAGAAGAAAGTCATGATTGATCCTCGTGGAGGTTGGAAGGACTTCCCAGAGGAGGGGCTGTGTGAGCTGTGTTTTGAAGATGAATAGGGATCTTATAGTCACAAGAGGAGGGCATAGACTCCCAGACAGAGGTAACAGCAGTGCAAAGGCACAGAGGCTTAAAATTGCAGGATGTGCCCAGGAAACCCCAAATGACTAGATGAGGCAGATTTGTAAGAAGGGAAATGGTGGTGGTTGGCGGCGGGGGTAGGGGGGTGGTGATGAAGAAGCAAAGTCATAATGGGTCTGATGTCCTTTGCTGAGGAGCTTAGACTAAACTGTTTAGGTAAAAGGAGCCAGCAAAATCTTTAAGTGAGGGAGTAACATAAGATTTGCATGTTAGAAGGCTCTCTCTGGCTGCTATGTACAGAGGGAGGCTAATGGCAGCAGATCTGGTGAGGATGCTGGGCCCGTGATCTGGGAACTTGCCTGCCCCAAGGCAGCAATCATGGGAGTGGAGTCAAGGAAACACTAAAGAAGTAGACATGATAGGACTTTTTAAGTGGGAATGGCCAGGGCTCTGGCCATTTGGAAGCCTAAAGAGAATGGAATAGCATGAGTTCGGTTTGGGGGAAATTCAGTGGTAAGATGCTTGTTTGTCAGAAACACACTTGAGATGGGAGATCAGTTTGGTGTCATCCATGTCCTCTTGGTAAGTGGAAACTATAATATAAAATCTTTCAGGCCAGGTGCAGTGGCTCACACCTGTAATCCCAGCACTTTGGGAGGCCAAGGTGAGTGGATCACCTGAGGTCAGGAGTTCGAGACCAGCCTGGCCAACATGGCAAAACCCTGTCTCTACTAAAAATACAAAAATTAGCCGGGCATGGTGGCACGCACCTGTAATCCCAGCTACTCAGGAGGTTGAGGCAGGGAGAATCGCTTGCACCCGGGAGGCAAAGGTTGCAGTGAACCAAGATCACGCCATTGCACTCCAGCCTGGGCAACAGAGCGAGACTCTGTCTTAAAAAAAAAAAAAATCAAAAATCTTTTAGTAGATGTTTATAGAGAGAGAAGAGAGGAGACTTGAAGAAGGAATTCTAAGTAAGGGTTAAGGTTGAGTGGAAAAAAGAAGAAGAATCAGAAGGAAGTGGTTTCATAGTAGGATAAATCAAGTGCTGAGATGAAGTCAGTTCACTAACAGACTCAGAGTTCTATTGGATACGGCATGAGGTTCTTGGTGTCACCATCTTAGGATCTGCTCATTTTTGGGGTTTTAAGAACCTGTCTGAACTCCACTTAGCCAACTGAAGCTTGCCTTCAAAGTTAACACAATGTGCTTTCTCCCATATAAACCTTTTAAGCTGTTTCTGATGACTGTTCCCCTTCCTGTTAGAGCTCCACCTCTTTTAATTTAGCCTCCATACCTTTAGAGTAAGGTCTGCAACTTTCTTCCTTAATTGACAGTGGAGATCAATATGTAACCCAGATTGCAAAAATGGTTTGGGAACACTGCATGTTCTCACTCATAGGTGGGAGTTGAACACATGGACACAGGGTGGGAAACATCACACACTGGGGCCTGGCAGGGGATGGGGGGCTGGGGGAGGGATAGCATTAGGAGAAATACCTAATGTAAATGACGAGTTGATGGGTACAGCAAACCAACATGGCACATATATACCTATGTAACAAACCTGCACGTTGTGCACATGTACCCTAGAACTTAAAGTATAATTTTAAAAAAATTTTTTAATAGTTTGGGAAGAAATTGTGGGCATGTCATTTGCTTGAACAGATTTTGTTCCCCAGCCAGAGGACCAGAGAAGAGTTTGTCATGGCTACAGTGGAGGAATCAAACTCAGAATAGCATGTGAAAGGCACATTCCACACAGAAACTTCGGCCCGTGCATCAGCACTGCAGACAGGGGGAGAGGAAATGAATTCTCAGCCAGTAGATTCCCAGGCATCACCTTGAGGCAGATATGGCATATTCTTGGCCATAGTCTCTACTTCTCTAACTGGGCAAAGTGTCTAATCAACTATAACCCAAAATATCTTCCCACATGGCATAAGTGTCGAATTCATACATAGATCAGAGGGAGAAATGAAATTGTGGTTGTCTTAAAAGTTTACACAGTTTAGGGATCTCCATCATGAAAAATGATCTAAATAAATGAAATGGTATTTTTACTCTTTATCCTACAAGCCCTATACAAACTAAGTCCATAAATATCCTATTTGATGCTTAAACCAAAAGCTTTATAAAGAGAATTTCACTATGTGAAATAATGACTTGAAGAAATCCTATTGTGGATGCTTTTGTTAAGTTGCTAAACCTTTTTTAAAAAGTAGATAATCATCCAAGATATCTTCTTTGTGACTCTTAAGTTTTAGTGTATTTCAAATGTGGATAGTTTTTGACTAGGAGGTTTGTTCAAACGTTCTTCTCGACCACTAGGGGGTGCTCTAAAGGTTAGTGATGTCTAAATGATTGACCAATCAATTAAAACACCGTGCCCAGTTAGCAATCATCTCCACTGAGAGATGCCTGCTTTACCAGGCTAAAAAAATGATCTTTATCATGGCATAGAGACTATAAAAGCTGTGTCCTTTTATTTTCATTAACCTAATTAGAAGTCAAGCTAATTGTAGGACTTCATAGAACTGGCATCGGGAATAGCATGCAACTGTTAAAAAAATCATGGTCTTGATGACTAATTATATCAGGAAATAATATGCAATATAAATGAAAAGAGAAGTGTATGTTTTTTACTTTTTCCTTTCTGTTTTTAAAACATGCTATAAAATGTTAAGTATAATTAGGACACAAAGGAAAAATTAAATCTAGTTAACATTACCTTGAAAACTTCTTATTTGCCCTGAAATCTCCAGTTCTTTGGAAGCTAAAAGCTTGAGACTTCTATATCTGGTTGTCAGGATTAGGGTGATTTTATTTGAATTTTCTTTATTTTCTTCTCAATTTTCTATCTATTTACTTTGTAATTACATTTGAACTATGGATATGTAATTAGTTTTATAAATAGAAAAATCAAAGCTTTATAAAGGAAAATATAGCATCAGCAGACCTGATTGTCCTACTTAACTCTTCCACAAACTGTTTTAACTATGGGCAAGGTACTTCACTTCTTTGCCCTTTGCTTCTGTAAAATGGTTGGGTGAAACGAATCTTGGCAGTTTGTTCCAGCTCTTCTAAAGTTCCATTTTAAATTTTACCAGGAGACAAAAATGGTTCCTATTATGTTCACTCTTGAAGCATTTATTAACCCTCACAATTGGCCAGGCACTGTGCTTGGTGCTATTAAAGATATCTCACTTAGTATCTGGGCTCTGCCTTCAAGGGTTTCCGGTCCCCCATGGAAAAGAAGACCAAGTGCACAGATCCATCCCAGCCCTACACAATGATACTGGAAAGCTGTATGTGGACCAGAAATGCCAAAGGAGGTTCCATCAGGAAGAGGGGACTTGTGCTCTGACTCTGCTGTACCCCTGATCATATGTTACCACTTATTTATGCTTTAAAGAACATCCTGGCCTGGATGTTTCACAGTGTGTTAAACTGCAAGGTAGATTTCCTCTTTGTTTCCCTGGTCTACTGTATATATGCCAGTAAGCCTTGTCAGGTTTCATTATGAGAGATGGCTATAATGCATCCAGATTACTAGGAAAACACTTGGTCTTTGAAAAGAGCTGTGTGTCCCTCTAGGTTTGAAATGCAAAGTCCTAAGGCTTTGTTATATTCAGGACATATTTCACCTTCCCAAAGACTAGTCTCAGCTCAGACAGGATGTATCTTGCCTGTGGGCTTGACACAGGGGTTGCTGGGTGATTGAATTAACCTCTGACATCTTCTGGGCTGTGCAAAATGATAAGTTCAAAAAAAAAATGCAGCCATTAGACTCCTTCTCATTGTTTCTTCCTTGAAGCCTTTGTAATCTTTCTTAATGTGGTTAAATTCAAGTTATTTCCAGTTCAGACATGGTGCAATCAGATTTCCTCATGCGGGTGCTTTTCCACTGTGACCTCTTTGACGTCAGTAACTGTTTCCTGTTTATTTGAACTCCCTGCTCACCCTGTAGATGACTTTGTCTGAGAAAAATAATAAAGCAACGGTACTTAGGAGAAGTTCAACACTGCTATCTGTTACGGAGATTTCCTTCTCCTTTCCCCCAGCCGTCAATAGCACTCTGCAGCTTTTCATACAGCATGAGCTTGTTATTCATGTAGAAATACTCCAAGGCAGTTCTTAGAACTTGGGTAAGTAAGAATAGATGTGGCTCCCAGCTTAACATTGCCTTAAAGCAATAGCTACATTTTTCATAACTTTTACGTGTTATGTCTATCTTTGAATTATTTCCAAAAGGTAATCTGCATCCTCACTATAATTCTGAGTATGGTGGCTATTTCCTACTGCCTTGGTTTCTGGAATGATACATCTTCAAATGCAGTCTTTAAATCATAGAGACAACAGATTTTTTCTTTAAATGGAGACAAATCTTTGCAATCTGGTTCTGAGATTGAATCAACTTTATAGAAAGGAAGAATAACTGCTATAAAAAGTCTCGCTTACAGTAATATGTTTTTAGTACATAAGGAGGGCATTTGTTTTGCAATAATAATTATTATAAAGCCCCTAAAATAGAAAATATGAATTACCAGTCAGTGTTAGAAAACTTATCAGAACTGAAACCTTTGTTAGTATGTTTTGGTTATCAAATCTAGTTTTGTAACCCCTTGCTTAGCAAGCATTTCCCAGAAAGAAAAGTCCTTACCCGGTCAAGGCCATTACCATATAGCATCGGGAAACATCCCTGTGTCCCAACAGCTGGGCTAGGACTCCTTCCACCTCCTTCGACCCTCTATACCCTTGTCCCACACTGAGGGTTGGGGGAGCTGCTGCAGTTGCTGTTTCGGCTGCTGTTTCATTCCTGTCCACTTGTGAGTGTGTGTGTACCTCCGCCAGTCTTGGAGGTCTGTGAAGGAGGCCTCGAGACCCAGTGCATGCAGCTCACTGCCACGTGTGCCACAGCCACAGCCAAGGGGCCTTCCTATGCCTCATGCATCAGGCCCTTTGGAGCCCTGGGAGCAGACGGCCATGGCGGCTGAAGCTGCAGTGGATGCACTCATGATGATGAGGATAATAATAGTTGCTAACATTTCTTGAGCATTTCACTTATGGTATGCCAGACACTATTCAAAGCCCTTAGCTTAAATCATTTAATCCTCACAAACCTGTGAGTTGGGTTGTCTTATTATCCCCATTTTGCAGAAGTGAGTTTTGTGAGAGAGAAGCTAAATACAGCACAGCAGGAGTTGCTCTTGGACCTCAAGCATCCTGGCCCAGAGCCCAGGTGTCGCCACTGCCCTGGGCTTCCTCTTAGTCATACCAGGGACTTGGGCACTGGGCACAAAATCTCCTCTTTATATAATGTAGTGGTACCAATAGCTTCTATTGATTGAGATTCTTTTCTGGGCTTGGCACTGTATGAGGCACTTGGCTTCTGGTTTAATCTTTACATGATCACTGTAGTTATAGATGTTATTATCCCAGATTTATAAATAAATAAGGAAACTTCTTACCCCTTAAAAATGGGTGTGTGTGCCATGCATGGTTGCTCACGCCTGTAATCCCAGCACTTTGGGAGGCCGAGGTAGGATTGCTTGAGCCTAGGAGTTCAAGACCAGCCTGTGCAACACAAAGATACCCAGTCTATACAAAAAATTAGCCAGATGTGGTGGCACAAACCTGTGGTCCCAGCCGCACAGGAGGCTGAGGTTGGAAGGATCACTTAAGCCCAGAAGTTCAGCGCTGCAGTGAGCCATGATCCTGCCACTGCCCTCCAGCCTGGGTGACAGAGCAAGACCCTGTCTCAAAAAGAAAAACAAAAATTGTGTGTATTTTAGCTGAAATTCTCCTGGTAGCAGAAAATTTACTTCAGGTAGTAAGAAAACTTTCTTAAGGCTATGCAAAAAAAAGAACTAAAAATAAAGATTCAGAGGTACAACGGATGTCTCATGCAACCCAAGGGCAGGAGTTGGCCAGCTCTCTCGGCTGATCTGAAACCAGAAAGACATGAGGAACCCTGGCAGTTTTGCTCTTGGCTCACTCACCCTCCCTGATCTCTTGTCTCTGCCTCACTCTATGTTTCTGCTTCATTCTTCTCCTTCACCCACCCACCTGTCCATCCACCCACCCAGTCTTTCTCCACTCTCTTATACCCAGGCATTTCCCACGTTTACACTGCAAAAGCAGTTTCCGTTTCCTAACTCATGTTTCCTCAGTTCCTGCACACAGCCTAGACTAAATTAAAAGCTTTTTACCTCAGTTTCAGTTTTCTGGAAAAGAGACTCTGAGCAGGTGCAGCTTGATCTAACTGGCTGTGCACAGATGCTGAGCGTTTACCCATGCGGCCAGGCTGGAGCATGGGTAAATGCTGAGGAAGGGATCACCATGAGCTGAGCAGATGCCTCCAAAGATGTTTGCCCCAGTGACCTTACAGGATCTTGCCCTGCCTGGTCCATGCTCGCTCTCCAGTCACTTTCCTTAGTTAGTATCATCTTGTCACTGGTACCATCCTGGCATAGCACTTTCATCCACCCGGATGTTATGTCTCTTGTTCATACAAATTGCCCATCAGCTTTAACTCCTATCGAACAGCCCTTAATGAGGGGGCCTTAGGGAATGCACCTTACTTATACTGACAGCCATTATTCGGGGGATATTTTTAGCCCCTTGGGCCTGGGGAAGGAATAGTTCTGAACTGATAGCCAGGGCAGAGAGTGGACCCAGACTGCAGCAGGTCAGTGGCATCAGAGCAAGTGACGACAGGAATTCTATTATCACCAGGCAGCAGCTCCTCTGCCTCCCACACCTGTAACTCACACCAGGTGTGGGACAAAGGGATTTCTGAGTTGCTTTCACTCCCACCGGTGTTCATCACCCCATGTTAATGACTTGTACTTGTGGTTGGCTGAATCAGGGACAAAAGAGAGGAGCAGGGACAAAGGGCTTAGCCACTTGGCTTTAGAAGTGATGTTAAACCGGTCTCCTGGCCTTGAGATTTCCTACCACACAGGTCAGGGCAGACTTCACCTGACAGAAGCCAAAAGCCTCAGGTAAAGCTGTACAGATGTGCAGGCTCAGTTTCTAGGAAAATGGACTTTAGAAAAACCAAAATGGTTCTATGCACAGGTTTAAATACAGAAACAGTCATCTTTGCCATCTCTGTCTAGAGTGGGATTTGGGAAACCCCTCTCTGCCATAGGAGTGACTCACTACAACCATAATCCATCTTCCAGTACTTCCCTAAATGCAGGATTTCCAAAAAATGCTTCACCTAGTTGCTTCACAATTGAATTTGTGAAGCATGATTTGGTGTTTGTTGAGTCATCAGTGATACTAATTCTTAAATAGCACAGACTGAGAGTAGAGCTGTAGGTGAGAGGTTATCTTTTGCCTCCTTTTAGAGCTTCAAATACAGGTCTTTGCTTTGTAAAGGGCATTCACTAAATATGAGAAGTTTTACTCCTTTGGAATTAATTTTGCTGGAGTGATTTGCTTTTGTAGCTGATGTTGTTTTATTCTATGTGGCAAGTTCCAACATTACTGGAGTCTTTTTCAAGCCAAGCACCATAGCTGCACCTGTTTTACCCCAGGCACTGGGCTTATAATTCTAGTAGAGACTGGTAGTGAGTGATCATGTTTATTAATGGCAGCAGAGACCCTGCACTTCTCATTTGTGGGTGACCTGTGAAAGCACCCCTAAGTAGCTTTTTGCTTTTTCTGCATTTCATTTTGAAAACAGCAGTACAGTTACAGCGAAGCCTCACACTCACCCACTCCAGCGCTTGACAACCTGCCTGCCTTCGCAGTCCCTCCCGTCTGCCTGACATCTTACACTTCAACTGCACAGTCTTCCTGACACCTCCCACCTCAGTCCCCACTCCAGCCTGACTTGCATACCCTCATCCTTCTAGGCTGGGGAATTGACTCCTCTCAGAAGCTTCCCCCCAAACCCCACCTGCCAAATTCCACCTCCACCTCCAGGCTGCTCAGATGCCCTGCTCGGTGTCCCCATAACACCTTCTGTACCTCTCCACTGCACTTAACACACTGTGGCGATGTGCTGTGTCTGCATGTCCATGAGCTTACTGAGAGCAGTGTGGAGTCATATTAGTTTTAGGAGACTGGGTCCTTACCCAGGCCCTGGCGTACCACGTGTGTGTTTAGTAAACATTTGTCTTTGTTCAGAACCTTAAAGGAACCAAGAAGATCTCTGCAAGCTGTAGTAGATGTCGTAAAGCCTGCGCACCAGGCTCCAAGTGGAGCTGCTGGGACCTGAACCAGAGCCAGCCGATTTTCACTGTGGATGCCATTCCAACAAGCCTGGTTACCTCAGGCAGCAGAAAGGCCATTATGGGACATGGGTGGTTACTCGTGTCCCTTAATAATGGGCAACAAGGATGCAACAATTTCTTTTTGTAGCTGCTTTCTGACTCCCATTGCCTAAACAAGGGCTCTCTCAAACAGCCTCACAACTGTGTCTTTCCCATGTCTTATCTTCCATCTTTCAGATGAAAATAAGAAAAACATGGAGGAAGCACATGTGACTTTAGTTTGCTTCTAATTGCAAGAGTAATACACACTCATCATAGAAACTTTGAAAGATACTGAAAGGTAGAAAAAAGAAATGTCACCCCGATCCCACAACAAAAAACTGACTTCTGTCACTCTATAGCCATCTTTTTTATCCTTTCTATGCATCTGTCTGCATTTTTGGCTATAACTAAAATCATCCTGCACATTCACGTTTGTGATCTTTTTTTAAATTGAAAATACCTACATGAGAGCACAAGCATTGGCAGCTTCAGCAGCAGCTATCACTTACTGCACACTTGCCCGAAGGGACCTGAGGACATACTTAATACAATTTTACTTCTGATGATGACTCCTCACCCCACCACCCACCACCTGATGATGTGTGGGTCTTCTTTCCTTTTCCTTTTTTTTTTTTTTTTTTTTTTTGAGACAGAGTCCCCCTCTGTCTCCCAGGCTGGAGTGCATGGCGCGATCTTGGCTCACTGCAACCTCTGCATCCCGGGTTCAAGTGATTCTCCTGCCTCAGCCTCCCAAGTAGCTGGAATTAGAGGTGCATGCCACCATGCCCAGCTAATTTTCTTGTACTTTTAGTAGAGACGGGGTTTCACCACGTTGCCCAGGCTGGTTTTGAACTTCTGACCTCGAGTGATCTGCCCGCCTCAGCCTCCCAAAGTGCTGGGATGACAGGCATGAGCCACCACGCCTGGCCTGGATCTTCTTTTCTAAACACTAGAGATTTTTTGTCGTTTATCTCCTTCTCTTCAAAAGTAATCTTGGAGAAATTGCTGCCAAATCTTTGCCTCTCTGCAGCAAACATTTTAAAATGGGGTGAACAGAAGTGCAGGTCAACAGAGGGTTTCCTCACAGCAAAAACATTTTGCTTGTTGATAAACATGTCTTTGTTTTTTATACCTGGTGACGTTATTTGAGGTCTTTGATAGGATGGACCAGTACTCTGCATTAAGTCGTCGTCGTGTCTCAGCTGGCCTGTGTCTCCTGCCTGCTTCAAGAGTTGCTCATAACCTGAGGGCTGTGAATTACACTCTGTGTTCCAGGTGGTGCCAGACAGGAGGTTAGAAATGAGACTCTGAATGAAAAGAAACAGGTACAGCAGAACCCATCTTTCTGGAATTCTAAAGCTTATGGTCCCTCACTGTGTAGCAGAGGTGAATCTGCCAGAGTCTGGCATTATCTGAGAATCTGCCTCCAGGGCTGTAGATGGGGCTGGGCTAAAGCAAGACTAGAGGGCAGGATTTTCTCCCCCCAGATCTGGAATTTAGCCCACAGTCTGGCTTTTAGATTTTAGGCTTTCGATGCCTACTGCCTTAAAACTCTTGCCAAGTGCGCCACTTATAGCAGCCTAAGGAATGGCCACTTCCCCACTGACCCAGTTCCAGTAGCCAGGTGTTCAGAGCAATTGGAATTCATGTGACTGCCAGTCAGATCCACGAGGAAGATGAACAGGCTGGTTAACGAAAACATGTAAGACTGACCTCCTTGCCCAGAGATGATTCAGGGTGGCTTTTTGTCTTAGTCTTCCTCAGGCCATCAGTGGCCATCCCTCCAAATGGACAGATACAGCATTGGCATAAAACCTTACTATGCAGATGCAGCTTTTTGGGATGTTTCCGGTGTGTGTATATCCTCCGCCCAACCTGTTGCTAACCTGCTAATTCTACCTTAATCCTTCCCATTTAGAAAATACAGGACAGCCATTGCTCATCAAAGCTTGTCCCACCCAATTCTGCCTCTCCCCTTGTCAGTCACCCTCAAATGAAGGCCAGGAGCTTAGGCAGATGGCTTGCTGTATTTACATAGTTTGCCTGTTGGCTTACATTGGCCAACCCGAAGAGTTGTTTTGGTGGTGGTGGTTTTTGTTTTGTGAATCTTGCCATTCCTTCTTCACTATTAAATTCTTGCTTCGCTTTTAGCAGAAAGAAGTGTTTAATAAATTCAGGGGATTTTTTTTTCTTCTAATTAAGGCGTTAGTTAAAATAGGGCATAGGAGGTCATAAGCCGTGCTTCCTTCTGATAGGGGTCTGCGTGGTTACACCAGGCTTGCAATGGGAGCTGAGCAGGAGCACGCACCCTGCTCTGCCCATTGTTCAGCTGTGAATGTGTGGAAACACCCTGTGCAAAGCCGGTGGCACTTACAACCACAAATAAAGATAGGTTCAAGGCTGGGTGTGGTAGCTCATGCCTGTAATCCCAGCACTTTGGGAGGTTGAGGTGGGAGTATTGCTTGAGCTCAGGACTCGAGACCAGCCTGGGCAATATAATGAGACCCCATCTCTACTAAAAATCAAAGCCGGGTGTGGTGGCGCACGCCTGTAGTCCCAACTACTCCAGAGGCTGAGGTAGGAGGATTGCTTGAGCCCTGGAGGTCAAGGCTGCAGTGAGCCAAGATCGTGCCACTGCACTTCAGCTTGGGTGACAGAATGAGACCCTGTCTCACCCAAAAATAATGATAGGTTCTGTGTATCTGCATCCGTTGGTAAAATACCACTTTCCTCGCAAAATAATCTGCAATCCCACAAAATGGTATCACGGGGTCCCAAGTCGATGGCACTCATCCTGTGGGCCTTAGCTCATGTTTCCCTTGCTCAGAGACGTCGCCTGACCCCCAGGCAGGTGACCAGATATCACGCTTCCTCTGCTTTTCCTTCACAGGATTTACCAGAATTTGTCAATCTGCTTGTGTCACTTTTTTTTTTTTTTTTTTTTTTGAGTAATGTGTTTCTCACACCAAACTCTGTATGGGGAGAGGCTGTGTCTGCTCTACTCTCTATGGGATCCCGGCTCCGAACTCAGCACCAGCTAATCAGGAATTTCATAAATGTCACAGGAAGGAGTGAGGAAACCCATTTATCTTAGAGGTGCTTGAAGCAAAACGTTTTACACTTAGATAAATCTTGGATCACTTTTTAAATGAGACCTACACGTTTCTTTCATGAAGCAGTCATGATTTCCATAGCACTTTATTCACACTACTTGCATAGTATTTAGTACACTGCATAGTGACTTTTAAGAGTCCACTTTTACCTGCTAGGTTGAGAGTCACTTAAGGGGGAGATGGCATCTCGCTCATTTCTACATTCCGACTCTTGACTCAATCTTTTGAAGGACTGAGTGGTATTTCCAATGTGGATGCTACTGTGAGGCTGTCATTTGGCTTCCTTTTTTTTTTTTTTTTTTTGGAAGAAGGAGTCTTACTCCTGTCGCTCAGGTGGGAGTGCCGTGGCACAATCACAGCTCATTGCAGCCTTTACTTCCCGGGCTCAGGTGATCCTCCTGCCTAATTTTTTTTTTATTTTTTTGTATAGACAACCTCTTGCTATATTGCCCAGGCTGGTCTTGAACCCCTGGGCTCAAGGGATCCACCCACATAGGCCTCCCAAATTGGTAGGATTACAGGCATGAGCCACTGCACCCGGCCTCCACTTCTGTTTGGCTGACTTGTCTAAAGGGGTGTTCTTTTTCTGTGATTGTTCTCTGCCCATTTGTGAGAACTAGAGCACCTGCTAGGTGTCCTTTACTTTGGGTAATTAACCCCACATGTTCCAGATTAAAGGCATTTACCTTTCGATTTACATTCTCTCTCCAGGTACATGACCTTTAAGGTACAGAGCTGGAACTCGAGTCAAAGGTTTCTGATGCCTTCTGTACTTTTGATTTCATGTAGCAATTCAAGGCTGTGTGAAATGAACTACAGGAGATCCAGGTGCTGCTCTGCCCAGGGGATCTAATCCCACCAGACCGGTTGCACTGCACCCTGACCCATGGTCAGGATGTTTCCTGGAATACATCCACTTGACAGTGTCCTCTCTATGCCACAGCCTTAGGCAATATGCTGCTGATGGAGCTCTAGGTTAATTGCTACACCACATTGGGCCCTCTCTTGTGTTTGTATCCAGGATCGTCTGTTTTTTGTGATGGAGTTTGTGAATGGGGGTGACTTGATGTTCCACATTCAGAAGTCTCGTCGTTTTGATGAAGCACGAGCTCGCTTCTATGCTGCAGAAATCATTTCGGCTCTCATGTTCCTCCATGATAAAGGAATCATCTATAGGTGAGTTTTGGTTGCTGCCCTGTCTTCTAATTCACTGCCTCTTCCCTCTCCTGGTATGATCCATCCTTCCACTTCTCATGATAATCAGTTGAAACCTTTTTTGGAATTAAATTCACAGAAGTTTTGTTTTGGTTTTTGTTTTTGAGACAGGGTCTCACTCCATAGCCCGGGCTGGAGTGCAGTGGCGCAATCATGGCTCACTGCAGCCGGTCCATCTGGACCTCCCAAGTAGATAGCTGGGACTACAGGCACGCACCACTACACATGGCTAATTTTTATTTTTTATTTTTTGTAGAGACAGGGGTCTTGCAATGTTGCCCAGGCTTCACAAAGGTTCCAAGGATCCATTAGGATAAATTAATAACAGTAATAAACACTGCCTGCAATCTAAAATTTGCCTCACTTTGTATTCATAAAATAGGCCCGACAGTCTCAGAAGAGACTGTTTATTCATGAATTGGTTCAGCCCCAGTTTGCTAAGGACCTGTCATAGCCAAGACCTGCAGGGTGCTAAACACACTGTTGTTCTCTTTTTTTCATTTTAACATTTGAAGTGAATCCCTTAACCATGATTCTATTCCATTTTAAGAATCTACACCTTAACTAAAGGGTGTGGCTAACCTGCTCTAAGTTACAAGAATTACAGTCATGTGGAGCATGGCTCACCAGTCAGGAGCTAGGTGAGCCACTTGTGAGCAGTGTCCTGCATGATAATATCTTCCGTGTGTAGCCCCCTCCCAAATATTTGATTCTCCATTTTGTGACACACAATCTTTTGATCATAATATACCATACTTTGAATGGACTCCGAATCTGCTTGATGTTGTTAAGTCTCAGAATTCAACAGATATCAAATGTAACTTTAGTCAGAGAGAAGGTTGGAGACAGTGAGAAGTGTAATAGTGAATGTTAGATAATTTTTATTCTCACATTTTCCTGTTTTTTTTTCTGCTGTTAGTGTCCTCACCTAATTGCACATATGCTCTTTTTTCTTTTTTATTGTTTTATTTCTTTTCTTTCTTTCTTTCTTTTTTTTTTTTTAAGACAGTGTCTTGCTATTTTGGCTAGGTCGGTCTTGAACTCCTGGCCTCAAGCAATCCTCCCACCTTGGCCTCCTAAAGTGCTAGGATTACAGGCATGAGTCACCACACCCAGCTCACATAAACTCTTTTTCTCTTGAGATGCAATTGTTGCTTTCCTTAGAGAAAAATTTTCGTATATTAGGGGCATGAATGCCAAAGTAAAGGATTTCCTGATTGAAATTTGCTATTTATTAACCTTGTTAAATGCAGTTCCTATCATAAACTCATGACAGTATTGACATCATTATTAAATTATAAGAGCTTTAAAAACAGTGAATATTCTTAAATACCGTGGGAGTCAAAATAGGAAGAGAACAAGTAGTAACTCTCTTAGAGAGAGTGCAGTAAGACTGGTGGGTGGTGCTGGAGATAAGTGGGAACGCAAGCACTGCATAGCAGGTGTGGCAGGTACCACAGAGACACTTCTCTAATTCATTCTCAGTGCAGATCCCCTAGACCTCAACTCCATACAGTGCATTTATCACAGCCTCACGGCACTGTGCAGGAGGGAAGAGGGTGCAGAACTGGGAACCAGCCTGGATAAGGACAGTGGGAGCCACCTGTTTGAAAGCAGTCTAGGATCTCTGCTCGTTCTTAGGTCACGGGGCTGCAGCAGGTTGATTAGGCAGCTTGTTTTGAGCTTTCTTGACCAGGCTGTGGGGATTAGATCACAGCATTTTTTTCCCACTCTCCACTTTCTTTCCAGTGTATGCTTTGTGGAGGTTGCTGGTATGATCTCTGATGGTGAAGGGAGTTAAGCGTCGTCCTCATGCTATCAGACTCCAGGCAGTAAATTCCATTTTTGTTCTCCTCTCCGCGGCTAATCCAGCCATCTCCACTCCGCTTGCCCCGAAGAGAGACGTTTCCACATGTAGTTTTAAAAACTACATGTAAGTAATGACTCCCCTACTTGACAGGGACTTCTGCTGCAGATCAAAATAATATTAACAACAAGACCTAACTGAACACTTGGACTGGGTGTGGTGACTCACACCTCTAATCCCAGCACCTCGGAAGGCTGAGCGGGGAGGATCGCTTGAGCCTGGAAGTTTGAGGCCAGCCGGGGCAACATAAGGAGACCCCTATCTCTACAAAAAAAAAAAAACATATACATATATGTTAAAAAATTAGCCAGCCGGGCGCGGTGGCTCACGCCTGTAATCCCAGCACTCTGGGAGGCCGAGGCGGGCGGATCACGAGGTCAGGAGATCGAGACCATCCTGGCTAACACCCTGAAACCCTGTCTCTACTAAAAATACAAAAAATTAGCCGGGCAAGGTGGCGGGTGCCTGTAGTCCCAGCTACTCGGGAGGCTGAGGCAGAAGAATAGTGTGAACCGCAGGGGGCGGAGCCTGCAGTGAGCCGAGATCGCGCCACCGCACTCCAGCCTGGGCGACAGCGAGACTCCGTCTCAAAAAAAAAAAAAAGAAAAAAATTCGGCAGGCATGGTGGCATGCACCTGTGGTCCTAGCTACTTGGGAGGCTGAGGTGGGAGAATTGCTTGAGCCCAGGAGATTGAGGCTGCAGTGAGCTGTAACTGTGCCACTGTATTCCAGCCTGGGTGACAGAGCAAGACCCTGAGTGTCAATCAATCAATAAATCAATAAAACGAGCACTTGTTACAGGACCAGCACTTCCCTTGCATTCGTCTATTGATTCTTCTAACAATATTATTGTATAACAATAATAGTGTCCACACTGTTCCGATGAATAATTAGGTCTTCCAAAGACTTCATCACCAGACTGCTAACTGGTAGTGAAGTCAGAATTCAAACCATGGTTCTAACCACTGGGCTACACTGTCTTCTCAGGAGAGACTTGAGGATTTAGAGTACCATTACAGTGTCAGCTTCTTAGTCCTTTTTGGTGATAGGACCACTTCAATTCCTGAAAATAAGGTAGAGTGGGCAAAAGCAATTCAGTCTTATCTCAAGCTTTCTTGAATCCTCAGAGGCTTTGAGTTGGGCCGAGCAGCAAGCTTCCTTTCCTTCATTGGATATTACCGCCCCTCAGTCTACTTGTCTCATTTGTCTCAAAATATGGTGGGTAGACACTGTAACTTGATGTGGTTTCTGATGAAGCAGTGCCAGCCCCCATCTTGACAAATTTTATTTCAATTCATGGTGTCTGTGGTTCAGTTCTGAGAATTGATTTTAATTTACTCTTGGACTTGAATCCCATGTTCAGGCTCTAACTGATATGGTTGACTTTGAAGGGAACACAGTTAATTAGGATAGATTCAAATGCTATTTTTATCCCTTGGATTTATTTCACAGGATAATTTAATTCCATTCAGTATACAGGCTGGGAACAGAGTCTTAAGGATAAGACTTTGAAAGCCAAGTCCTTGGAATTCACACACAGTAAAGGGCACATTTGGGTCACAGAGGGTGTGGTTTTGATACAAGAGCCCAGTGAGAAACTTGGGAGTATCAGGCAGCCTCTTTTATCATACATGTCCCAGAACGCCCTTTATCAGAGCTAAAATAATCCCCCAGAAGATGCCTCTGACCTATCCAAACAGAGCTGTTGTTTGTCTGTTTGGATTCTTTGAGGGAGGGGAGGGAGAGAGGTGTTTATTTTCCAGCAGGTTACAAAGATGATACCATATGCAAGTCACTGTTAAAGAAAGCTTCAGAAGGTAGTACCTTAGGCTCCTCTGACACAAATTTCTTCTTTAGCTGCCTGTGCCTGTGCAAGAGGACATGGGCCAGTTACGTTTGCACGCATTCCGTCTTGTGTTCTGACCCTGATTCTCAGATGTATTCACTTGTATTTTGTGGAGGAACAGAAGCCCAGTTCCTAGGAGACTCAGCAAGGGAAGGGCCTGCCTCTCTGCCTTTGGTTGGAGGGTCTGGAACCTGCCATGGCCCAGAAACCAAGAAGAGTAGGCTGGGAAGGAGGCAGTCATCAAGTCAGTTCTCCCAAGGGGAAAAAAAGAAGACTATTCATTCTTTTGTCCTGGGCTTCTTGGCCGATTGGAAGGCCAGACAGTGCTCATGAATAATTTACTCATGGTGTTGACTTTTTTCCGGAGTCAAGCCCTACAGAAAAGTAAGGGAAACAAAGGGGCATGCATCCCATTGACCAGACATCTTTCAGCATGTTTCATCAACTGTATTAAAGGGAAACTCAGCTGTCATTGACATTTCAACCCCAAACTCCTGAAGCCAGCCAGCACACATTTGATTGGCTGTTTTTGACAAAGTGTGGAATACTGTATCTGAAATATGTTGGGTGAGGAATAGTTTATAGAAGGGCACAGTTTAAATTTCACTTCCTCCTCACCATGTTACCCCTGGGCACACAGCACTTTCCAACACATGCTTTTCGACTCATGAGTCTGACTGCTTTGTGCCTTATGCAGCTGTTGGCATGCTGGGTGCACGGTAATTAGTGTTTACCCTGAAAGCTCCAAATGCTTCCCGTGGTATTTCGCCATCCCATTTTGCAGATGTGGCCCACAGAGGAAGCTTTTGCCCCACAGAGGCTCACTGCCAACTCTGACATGCCGCCTTTTACTCCCATGATTACGTGGCACATGAACTTTTCAACTTTGAGCTGCTGATTTCTCCTCAGATTGAGAGAAAAATGTCTACTTAATTTGACTCTTTTAAAAATTCAGAATTTGGGAAGAGTAGCAATCTCACTCGCAAGATTAAGCCCTGTTAAGCTAGTCTCTGAACATAGTTGGGGGATCTGTGTGAATATACCGATCACCAACATCATCTAGCTCTTGTTTCTCAAGAATCATGAGGGTCCACAGGTGCCTCGCTGACTCCAGATAACTCAGCTGGGCATAGCCTTGCTTGGCAAGTGGTCTCCTCTGTGAGCACCACTTCCTGGTCTAAGAATTCACAAGTGATCCGTTTCCAAATGAATTTGTGTGTTGGGGCCAGGCACAGTGGCCTATGCCTGTAATCCCAGCATTTTGTGAGGCCAAGGTGGGCAGATCTGTTGAGTCTAGGGGTTCAAGACCAGCGTAGGCAACATAAGGAGACCCTGTCTCTATAAAAAATACAAAAATTAGGTGGGCATGGTGTAGTGCACACCTGTGTAGTCCCAGCTACTCGGGAGGCTGAGATGGGAGGATCACTTGAGCACGGGAGGTGTAGGTTGCAGTGAGCCAAAATTGCACCACTGTACTCCAACCTGGGTGACAGAGTGAGACCCTGTCTCAAAAAAACAAAAACAAACAAAAAAAAATGGTGTCTTGGGCCAGTGATGGATTTTACATGCCTGAGTTACTGTGCACTCTCTCTCTCTCCCTGCAGTTCTTCCCCTCTGGAAAACTGTGGCAATCTCTCTCTGATTCCCACCTCCTAGGACCTCTCTTACTCCTCAGTATTTCTTATCAGCAGACTTTGAGTCCCCAGATGTCTTTCATTTGAGCCTGGAGTTTTGGGCTCTTACTGTCACCTCACCTCTATTGGAATTCAGTTCTGTATTTATATTCATTCTACTCATTCTAGTGAGGAAAATCTTTTTAGATAAAGATGAAAGTAAAATTTAACAGCTCTCTTTTCCCTTTGTCATCTGCTGGCATTATTCCTTCTGCTGCAAGAAGTAGGTCTCTTCTCTCTTGATTTGCGTACTGCAGAGACTACTACAAATTGTCATTTGTTGTTTGTATAGTCCTTGTTTATTCAGTACATGCCAGCCATGGGAATGCTCAGTATATTAGTAACTTTCACATCAGACTTTGGCTGTGAGCCCTCACCTGGGACTGATACTGGCTCTTTGAGCTTTTTAGTCATGTGCTTGTCTCTTCTCTTACTTAGCTTGTCATGCCTTGCTGTGCCATGGTGGCCTCATTCAGTGACTGCTCTTCAACTCTCACCAGAAAGTGACCACCATTCCTGACTTCCAAGATCCTTCTTCAAGGATATGATGGAGAGCTCAGAGCTTTCCAGCTTCTTAGAGTAGCTCAGCATTTCCCTCAAATGGGGTCTTCCCTTTTCCCGTAGTGAAACTCATCAGCCACTGTTCTGCACCCTTGCATGGCCTCTGGAGATCTTTTAACAAGTATTTGTTGAGCGTCACCCTTCTGCCAAGGATATGGATGTAATGGTATGAGCAAAAACAAAAATACTCGCCAGTGGAGGGTATGATCCAGTGAGGGAGAAAGATGTCAATCAAATGATTATACCAATAAAAAGTAGCAACCATGACTAGTGCTATGAAGAGGAGAAATACAATGCAGTGAATGAGAACCTAGAATAGGGTGATTCTATCCAGTTAGGGAAAGATGGAAGATTTTTATAAGGAAGTGACTCTTGGGCTGAGGTCACGGTAAAGAGGGAAGGAAGGAACATTTGAGACAGAAGAAACAGCAAACGCAGATAGATGCCCAGTAACAGGAAGGAGTGTGGCAAGGTCAGGGGTTTTTAGAGCAGGCCAGCCTGGCTGGAGTCTAGGAAGCGTATCTTACTTCACTTGGCATTTTATTATCCTACAGTGTTCAGTCAGCTGATGACTTCAAGATTTTATTAAACACTCCTTGTAAATAATTTATTTGAAGGTTAGGTAAGGCCGGTCATGTTGCCAATCCCTGGAGGAGCCATCTATTCACAGTGAGTTCTCTGTGTCCAGGTCTGTGCATTTATACTCAACAATGGGTTTATAAAATATTAGAGCCAGAGGAGACCTCAAACGTTGCTAAGGGCCAAGTTATCTTTTACAGATGAGGGACTTCAGGTGTGAAACGTCCAAAAATTGTTTCTCATAGTGGATATTCTCTTCGGATGACTCATCTGCTGTTTGCTTTCCATCTCCAGGAAAACAAAAATATGGCTAGAAAATTTTGTTTCAGTCTTCAACTTACAGCTGGCATGAAGAGCAAACCAAGACATTTTGAGGCATTCAACCCTGTTTACTCCATTGCAGTGAGAAAAATCCAGTTGAGATCAGAACATATTTCCTGAGCTGCCACCTAGTGCCGGATGTTGCATTAGGAGGTGTAGATACAAGATGAGTAGATGAGATGTCTGCCCTTTGAGGCGCTTTCTGTGGGGTGAGAGAGATAGCCATTAATAAGTCATGGCAGCTGGGTTCCAAAATTGGAGTTTTCCCAGGGTATCTTGGGAGCAGACAGAATGGCCACTTGCCCTAAGATGGATGTTCAGGCAAACTTCCTGGAGGAGGTGATGCCTGAGCTGAGTGTGAAGAGTTAAAAGCTGAACAAAGATAAGGAGGGTGTTTAGGTAGGGGAGCAAGTTTGAGCAAAGCAGAGAAGTGTGGTGAATGTGTAGTTAAAGTGGAAAATGACAGGAACTTTGGTAGCACTGGAGCCTGAAGTTGGAGGCATGGGAAGAGGGAAGGCTAGAGGAGGCTGCAGAAATGAAGTATTAAGCACTTACTGTTCTTGAGATGTTTGAATTCTGGGTCACTTAGGACTTTGCTCCATTGCCTATCACAGGAAACATAAAAATGACAGTGGCTTAAGCCAGATGGAAACATAGTGCTCTCTCACATGAAAAGCCTGGAGGTAGGTAGTCCAGCCCCGCCATGGAAGCTCCGTGGAGTCATTTGCAACCCAGATTTCTGTGCTTTCTGTTCTGCTGTAGACAGGGTCACGTCCTTGTCTAAATGGTTGCTGAAGATCTAGGAATCATCTCTCTATTCCAATTCCATGTAGTAAGAAGGGCTAGAGGGCATTCCTCCAAACTGAGTCAGCTCCCTTTAAGGGGCCTCCTGGAATTCCACACAGTACTTACCATGGAATTGGCCAGAACTTGATCATATGGCTGAGTCTAGCTCCAGTGAAAGCCAAGAAATACAGTATTACAAGTGGCCATGTTCCAGCTAAAAATCAGCATTCCATTATTAAGAAGGGAAAGAATCATTATTTGATAGAAAACTTGCAGTGTCAGACACAAATTCCATGCCAGGGAGTCTGGGCTTTATGGAGCAGGTAACCTTTGAAGAATTCTCAGCAGGTCTTATGACATGAGTGGATTTATATTTTACTTTTACGTGCGGGTGGGGGGCATGGCATGTGTGGACATACCCATGGTAAGCAGCAGCCAGGTTGCAAGGGAGAGGTTCATTTTGAGGCAGTTGCAGAGTTCCAAGTAACAAGATAATGAGGACCTGAACTAAGACAGTGATGGTAGGGCTGATGAGAAAGGCATAAGAGATAATAGCAAGTAAAGCTGATAGGACTTAGTATTTGGGTGGATTCAGGGTAAAAAAGAAACCGGAAATCATTTCCAGGTGTTTAGCTAGAAGGTTGAGTGGATGGCAGTGCCATTAGCTAGGAGAGATCATGTGCCTAGGAAGAAGTCTAGGCAAAAGAGGAAGAAGTTTTAGAAAGGTTGTATGACAGGTGCCTGAGGTATACTCCAGTGGAGATGCTCCATGGATAGGGGCATAGGAGTCTGAAGCTCAGTAAAGAGGATGGGCTGAATTAAATATTTGGAAGTCATCAGGACATAGCTATTAGTTGAGACCACGAGACTGAATGAGATCACCCAATAGGAGTCTCTTAAATGGAACAGTGTGAGTCAAGGACAGAACCCTGGGGAACCAGACTCCATTAGAAATCTGCCTAAATTTGGCTCCAGGGTTATAGAAACAATTGGTATGTTCATCATTTAGAGTAAGTATCCCCAAAGTGCCAGTGTATTAAAAATATAATTCCATAAAAGTATAGAAAAAGATCACTTACTTTAGAGTATGTGTGTGACGCTACATATATTCTTCCTACTGAAAGAATGCTGGACATGGTTTTCAGAAGCCCTGCATGCTAGACCCAGCCCTGGTCCTGGGGATGTGGGCAGGTTGCTGAATGCCCCTAGCCCTTTGGCCCATCTGTACAGTGGAGGTGCCATTGACACAGCTTCCCAGCAGGGTCCTTGTAAAACTCAAATCAGATGGAAGTGGAAATGCGAATGCTTTTTGGAACATGCCGTGTCAATATAAGAGGTTATCTTTGCATATGTGCTGTCACCTGATTTGGGTTTTCTTGGTATCCATAGGCATAGGCAGCAATTATTCTCAAGACACTGCCTGAATAACAGGTAATTCTTCATAGAAATTGGAGTTTTAGCTTGTAAAAATCAACCTTCTGAAGACCAGTCTCTATAGTAAACTCTGGTCATGCTTTTCTTTGAAACCAAATCATTTTCTCTGTATTTTCACAATATTTTGGAATTGCAAGTGATTGATATACTTACCATGAACTTACCATAAACCCTTGAGATAATTTTCTTAGGAAGTCCTAGGGCATATGTGACAGGTTGTACAACCTGAAGACTATACTCTGGCATTTTGCTTCAATTTCAACAGTTTCTAATGTTTAGGGGAAGCAGTTGACCTCATTTTGAGTTTACGCCTTCTGGTATTAAAGCAGATGTTTGATGGTTAATTTGAGAGGAGATTCAAGAACCTTTTCAGACCATTAGTGGAGTGAACATCCTGAGGGTGTAATCCCAGTAATGCAGTTTCTCAAAGGACCTAACTTTATAACAGATAGACATTTAAGTCCTGGGACACCTTGATCATTTTTCTGTACTTCATATATTAAACCAGAATGCTGATCCTGGCATACCTCCTCAGGGTTTGGCCTTTTCATCAGTGAAGGCTGTGACTATTTGGAACTAATTGATAAATGTGTTAGTGGCTTTCACCAGCTAATGAAACCAGGCCACCAGTTTTGCTCTTCTTCCCACCAAATTGACCAAGCAACCAATTGCTTCATTATAATTACAGAGAATCTTGGATTTATTTGCTGAACAAGAAAAATACAGTCATTTAATCTTTATGTATTAAATGAACACAACCATTTGTAAAAAGTAATTGAATTGTACAGTTCAACAAATGTTTATGAAAAGTCTACCCAATGCAAACCTTTGTCAGGCTCTTAGGGAGTAAAAGAAGAATAAAGACAGGTCCTGCCCTCGAGCTTGGGGTGTTTGTTCTTTCCGTTAACAAATAATTTTTTTGTTGTTGGGCACTCACTGTGTACCAGACGCTACTGTGAGCTCTGGAAAAATACAGGAAATAAAACAGACAAAACCCCCTCCTCTCAGGGAGCTTAACTTCTAGCACAAGTAGTAGGACAAAATATAGAAAGAACACAAAAGTAGGACAAAAGACAAAAATATATTGAATGTTAGGGTGATTCAGTATATGGATAAAAAACTTGGTAGGAGCAATATAAAATTCAGTAACAAAGATTTACTGTTTGACACAGAGATTTTTAAAAGCTTCTCTGATAAGGGACATTTGAGCAGATGAACAAAGACCTAAGGATGGGAGGAGGCAGCTCCATGTGAATATCTGGGAGAAGAGTGTTCTAGGCCAAGTCCTTGGAGGGAGAGTGCGCAGTGGGATCAAGGAGCAGCAGAGGGACCAGTGGGCTGGAGCAGATGAATTCGGGCGTCATGGGCGTCGAGGGCCCAAGCCTTTTTGTTTTCTTTCTGCAATACAGAATGCTAACCACATGTGTTGAGCATTTGTCCTGTAAGGATAAACTCCTCTGTTTAATTGTATCTTCTGTATGACAGTTGCACAAGGTAAGTGGCATTATCCTTATTTTGCAGACAAAGGTCAGTGACATTATCCTATATTTGAGGCTCTGGGAAGTGAAAGGACTTGTTCAAGGTCACACAGTATGTGGTGGAATCTACAATTCCACTCCATGATATCCTTTTGAATCCATGCAGGTGCTGAGTTCCCTCACCCATCAGGCCTTTCCACACGTTTCCCCCTGCTTAGAATGCTCCCCCATCTCTTTGCCAAGCTTCCAGCTACCAATTCTTGCAGTCTCATCTTAGTCATCACCTCCTCTGATAAGCCTTTCCTGGACTCCCCTACCCTCCAGATTCCATCTAGGTTAGGTGCCCCCTCTGTTCCCATGGCATCCCGTGAAACCCTTCCCTTAGTGCTTTCCATAGGCTGTGCCCCTGTGCATATGGGTTCATGAAGGCAGGGACTGTGGCTGTCCAAGCCCAGCCCCTAGGACAATGACAGGAGAGTTAGGTGTTCTTAGGTGTTCATGGAATTGACCAAGGCCTCAAATTCTACGCTTTTTTTATTTTAAGATGACAGGTCAGGGCTGAGAATATATTATGATTGCTACCATTTATTGAGCATCTACTACGAGCCAGGCTCTATTCTGAGCTCTCTGCATTAACTCACCTACTCCTCATGACAGCGCTATGATATGACACTCAGCTTGGGAAGAGCTGCCCATTGATTGTCTTATTCTGGCCCAAACCCATGATTTTCTCATAACTCAAAGCAGTCTTTTTTAAATAAATGAAAGCCTTCTGGAAAGTTTCTCTGATTGACCGAAAAGGATGTTTGCACATCTGTAGTAGTGATGCATTTATATCCTCATACATATTTATTTGGATCTGACTTCGATTCTTTCCTTAGAACAGATTCCTGGAAAGGCACACAAATTAACGACTTTTAGAGCTGGCATTGTGGATAAGAGCTGGGGCTCCTGAGTAGAATGGACCTGGGTGTTTCCAGTCTTGGTTCTGCCACTTCTCTGTTGTGGGATCTTGATCAGGTTACTTTACCTCTCTAAGCCTCAGTTTCTTCAATGATAAAATGGAAGTCCTGGAAATACTCACCTGAGGGTGGTTGTTAGAATTAAATTTGTGATGTGGAGGTGCATGTAAAGCCTTTAGCCCAGAGCCTGGTATGTAGTACATGCTCAGTGATGTTCACTTTTAAACATTCTGTTTGCTACCACTTTTGGGAAAAGCATCAAACACATGTTCCAGTGACGGGTATTGGTGCCATTTTTCTAGTTCCCCTCATAGATCTTAAGTGCACAATTGGATAAATTTTGACATATGTACACATTGTGTAATCAATACTCCAAATACTATATGGAACATTTCTGTCATCCTAGAAAGTTTTTAGTGCCCCTTTCAGTTAGTCCCCAAACACCCCCATAGGCACCCAGTGATTCTGTGTTGATATTATAGGCTGTGGATATCCACATTGAAACTATTGAGTGTCTTCAAAGTAGAATTGCTTCTCAGGAGTGTCCTTTTCAGTATAAGAGGATGGGCTCTTTAAACTGACTACATGAGTGTAATGGCAGTTATGATCAGAAGAGACTACCCAAAGAAAGACTTCATCCCATCAGTCAGTTTTACTCTCTGTAGAGAAAAGTAATTACAGGAGGATAAACACCAGCACATCAACAGTTGTTGTCTGAGGTAATATAGGTGATTTTTATTTTCTTTTTGATGGTTTTCAAATGTTCTGTATTGAACAAGTGTTGTCTTTTTATCATTAAAAAAATGCCATCCTATTTATTTATTTATTTAGAGATGGAGTCTCACTCTGTCACCCAGGCTGGAGTGCAGTGGCTTGATCTCAGCTCACTGCAGCCTCTCCTCCCGGGCTCAAGCGATTCTCCTGCCTCAGCCTCCCAAGTGCCTGGGATTGCAGACATGCGCCACCACACTCGGCTAATTTTTGTATTTTTAGTAGAGACGGGGTTTCACCATGTTGGCCAGGCTAGTCTCAAATTCCTGACCTCAAGTGATCCCCTACCTGGGCTTCACAAAGTGCTGGGATTACAGGCATGAGCCACCGCACCTGGGCAGAAATGCTATTTTAGAAGTGATCTCATGTGATACTATGTTTTTCAACATGATGTCAGAAATTGGTAACCTGCTGTTTTATCAGTTAAGTTCTGTCAAGCCCCAGCCTCACGCCGTGACCACTCCTTGTCTGTGAAACCCAGTTCTACAGAAGTCACAAAGCCATTGTCTTAGTCTGCTCAGTACTGCTTAGTCTGCTGCCATAATAAATACCACAGACTGGATTCCTTGAACAGAAATGTATTTCTCACAGCTCTGGAGACTGGGAATTCCAAGATCTGGGTGCTGGCCAATTTGGTTCCTCATGAGGGCTCTCTTCCTGGCTTTAAGGTGGCTGCCATCTTGCTGTGTTCTCATGCGGTGAGGGGATGGAGAGAGCACAGGCTTTCTGGTGTCTCTTGTTATAAGGTCACAAATTCCATCATGAGACCTCACCTTTGTGGCCTCACCTAGCCCCAATTATCTCCCAAAGGCCCTACCTCCAAATGCTATCACATTAGAGCTTAGGGCTTCAATATATGAATTCTGGCAGGACACAAAACATTCAGTCCATTACAGCCATTCATTCATACACGTGTTTGGGGTTTTCAGTTACATTAAGCAACATGTTTTGCAGCTACTTGGTTTGATAGTGCCAAATCTACCCGGAAATGATTTCAGCCCTAAGGAAAACAGCTCCTGCTACAGTGGAACACACAGTAGACAGGCACGAGAGAATAACCAAGGATTAGACCGAGGCGTTGTCATGCGTTTGGCTCATTAAGCCATGCATGTTAGGCTTGGAGCTCTATTTTGAGGTGTGTTGAGACCAAATCCTTCTCCTAGATCCCAGTACTTAAGCCTGGCAGGAAAAAAAGCTGAGTACACTGTGGTTTTAGAGTGTACCTTTTGATAAATAGTTTGCAGCATGTCCCTGAAAGGGGAATTTTTTCCTTTGTCTTGCAAATGTCAAATTGTACTTTTCTGTAAACTTTGTAAGTAGAAATGTGAAGTGGTACAAGTGCTCTGTTGCTTTTTGGTGAAAATGCTCACACATGATGAATTTCTCAGTTCAGTTGCAAAGAGAAGTTAGTGAAACCTAACAGGCAAACTACCCCACACCCTGGAGAACAGTGTCCTGGGGGTGTCTGGTTTGCTAGGTGTGTGGCTGGTGCAGCAATGGGAAGGTGGCGCTTTGACTGCCTGGCCCCTCACATCTTGCTCCTCCCTTTTCACTGCTCCTCTGGCCTCCAGAGTAGCCATGTAAGCCTGTGCTTTCACGTACAGAATTGCTGCTCTACCCTGTTCTTGGCATTTGCGTCAAAATTTACTGTGTTCCGCTGACAAAATTCTAGAATCTCAAAGCTGGAATGGAGTTCAAAGTTATATACCCTTCTTCTTTCAAAGCATGAATATCCAACATCTGCCGAGCAGTCATTTTTTTCCGTACTTAAACACCTATAAGCAAAGAGGAACTTATACTTCCTCCACTTTCAGGGATGTACGGCTTTTGGAAATTTCGCCTTTCTGTTGACTCAAACATTGTTTCCCAGTAGCTTCAGTTCACTGGTTCTGGACCACCTATAAGGGGTAGACTTAAAAAAAAAAATACAGCTCTCTTACAAGAAAGCTGTGGAGATATGTGAAGGCAGTCTGGGTCTCCCAATCTAGTTTACCTGTTAACAAAGGAAATACTATTAGCCTGATAGTCGCTCGTTCTGGCTGTTTCTTCAGGATTACTGATTTCTCAGTAATCCATAAACCATCCATGTTATTAGGCATTCTAGATACTTGGATCAATATCCGGTTGACTTGTCACGTTCTTCTCTTACGAAATCAGAACTATCTGAACTAGCAGTTGGCTAACTGAACTGAGTTATGTTATTATAGCTCATGTTACTTCTTTTGGGTAAGACTTGGTCTTTTTTTTTGAGACACGGTCTCCCTCTGTTGCCCAGGCTGGAGTGCAGCGGTGCAGCTCACTGCAGCCTAGAGCTCCTGGGCTCAAACCATCCTCCCACCTCAGCCTCCCAAGTATCTGGGACTACAAGTGTGTACCAGCACACCCAGCTAATTTTTGTAATATTTTTAGAGATGGGGTCTCGCTATGTTGCCCAGGCTGGTCTCAAACTCCTGGGCTCAAGCAACCCTCCCACTGTGGCCTCCTAAAGTGCTGGAATTACAGCTTGAACCACCATGCCCATCCTTGGTCTTTAACTGGATATTGTTGATGCTGACTATAGAGTAGCAAGCACGGTGGAAAGTTAATTGGTGTGGTGATCTCAAAAAAGGATATTTAAATTTTCCTGTTGTAAGGATCTCAGGAATTTAATTCCTGCATCCATTTGAGAGTATAGCTTCAGCCTGTATGTGCACATGAAAATAGAGAAGGTAGTCATAAATCCCAGAACTGAGGATCTCTGTGCACAGCCCACTCTGCAAAGGTGGATATTTTCCTCTCAAATCAATCTGTGACTTGCTCAAGGGTGAATTACCAAAGATGAAACATGGGCTGAGCACGGGGGTGGGATGGGGGAGACAAGAAAATCACCTTTGGGTATGTCAAAATAGAGGTACCTATGGAACTCCTTCAAATGGTCCATCTCAAAGTTGGAAATACCAGGATAATGTTTAAGACTGGCCACAGACTCAGGTTGATTGCATGGAACAGCATGAAAATGAGACAGTATTGGCTTACAGTTAAGAACGAGGCTTTGAAGTCAAACTTAGATTTAAAACTTACCCCCACAATGTACTGTAATTCTGTGATATTGTACCAACTCTTTAATTCTCTAAGCCTCCGTTTCTTAATCTACATGAGGATAACAGTACTATCCATTCCATGGAGTTACAGTGAAAATTAATTCATGTGGCTTGCTTATTCCAGTGTCTGACATCAGCAAATCCTCCATATACATTATCAGTTGTTAAGAAGAAAAGTGATCCAGGGAAGGAAATTAAACAATGAATTTACTTGAAAGACAGATTCCATAAGGAAATTGTTGAATAAATTATGGTTATACCCGTACTGTGGAATATTATGCAACAATTAAAAGAAAGAATACATTAGATCTACATATATTGACCTGGATGGTTTGTCCCTGATAGACAAATAAATGAAAAAAAGAGAGATGTGTGCTCATTTTAATCCCATTAAAAAAAAAAGCAGTAGCGAAAGCTACACCAAGAGTCTCGTACGTTTCCTCATTTGTCATGGCTACATAAGGGCTTGCATCTTGAGCTCTTTTTTGTTCATTTCATTTGTTATCCCTCAATTTCTGGCACAGGGCATGGCAATATTTCTTTTTTCTTGTCTTCATTTCTGTTTTATTTCTAGCAACTGAGCCAACATTTGTCTGCAGGAATTCATGGTGGGGAGTAAGTGATGAGAAGATGGGTGGAAACACAGTATCATTTATTGACTAAAGAGCAGTGTCACTTTAATTTAATTTTAAAATGTAAATTAATGCATATACATAAAAAGGACACTTTTAGCTGTTCTAAAATGATTACAGTGAATGCTAAATCCTCTTCATACCCTTGTCCCCAGTCTCTCAATTCCTCTTCCTCAAGACATGTCCTTATATGTCCTTCCAGAAATGGTCTATGCATATGCAAGCTCTGCATTTGAATGTCTCCTGTTGAAAAACAAATGGTGGTATATTATCTACCTGAAGAACAGAGATTTTTTCCTAAGTCTTTAGAGAGATGAAATCTAAATCCTTAAAGAAAGGTAGTAGGTAGGCAATCTTTTCTTTTCTTTTCTTTTCTTTTCTTTTTTTTTTTTTTTTTCCGAGATGGAGTCTCACTCTCACTCAGGCAGGAGTGCAATGGCATGGTCTTCACTCACTGCAACCTCCACCTCCCAGGTTCAAGTGATTCTCCTACCTCAGCCTCTTGAGTAGCTGGGACTATAGCACATGCCACCACACCCGGCTAATTTTTGTATTTTTAGTAGAGACGGGTGTCACTATGTTGGCCAGGCTGGTCGCAAACTCCTGACCTCGTGATCCGCACACCCCAGCCTTCCAAAGTGCTGGGATTACAGACATGAGCCACCATGCCCATTCAATCTTTTCTTTTATCAGAAGGGTCTATGGGTGACAGTTCAAGTCCTGGAAATAATTCTGCTATCTCTTGTTGGAGAAAGTGCTGGTTTTTTCAGATCAGGCAACAGGCTTATAAACGTTTATTGCAGTTACAAGCTACAAAGAAAGATTTCTTTCCAGCACTACTGCTCCAGGTAGAGCAGTTGCACCAGTCATTATTTATAACTGGATTAAAGAGTAGCAGCACATACTTCTACCGTGGTTATAGAGTGCCTTCTGTTGTACAGAGTGGACTGCTTATTCACCAGGGAGTTCTCAAACACCTTTCTCTATGGGCGCTGTCCCAAATAATGTCAAGAGAGAAAAAATTAAAAATGAGCTCCTGCCCTCTAAGAACAGATGGGAGCAGCCCCAAATCTTGCAAATGAAGCAAGAGGGGGTATTCAGTCTTTAATCCAAGCAGCTAGAAGCTTGCCTTTCCCAAGTTCACCGAGTGAGGATTTTAACACTCCTTTGACAAAGAAATGGGGCCGAGCAGCAGAGGAAGGCAGGTGACACTGAGTCATGGAATTCACCCTTTCGAGCCCTTCCTGGGGGATGTGTGGCTCTTGGGTTGGTTCTTGAAGGAAAGGAATGAATGTAAGAGAGGAAGGGAAGCAGGCTTTTTTTTTTTTTTTTTTTTTGACTCCTACACAGAAGGTGGAATTGAGAAAAATATACTGTGGCGGTGAAATCAACTTACAAAACTGAGGAGGAAAATTTTGACAAAAGCAAACCCAAAATCTGATTACTGTGGGGCTGTCCATTTTATTGCTGCACCAAGGAGCAGGGTAGATACTATTTTGGCCTAAAGAACACTGAAATTTTGTTTTCTCATTTGCAAATAGACAGGTTCAAACCCGTCAGAGGCCGTAACTGAGTTTCCCTGTGACTGATTTGTATGTGTGTTAGTGGTTTTTTTTTTTTTTTTCCTGTAAGAATCTGGTTGAGTAATTCAGAAGGTTAAAAAACAACCAAACAGAAATAAGTGAGAAAAGTTAACTGAGGTCTGCCACATATGCCGGGAAGGTGCCCACAGACTGGCAGAATCTGTGCAGTCTTTGTCTGTTTCTGCCTATGCAAATACTAAGCCACGCTCAACAGAGCTTGAGCGTTGTATCTGTTCAACTGCCATTTAAGAAATAGGACTCTGTTCTCAACAGCTTATTCCTTGGGGTTTCAGAATGTAAAATATGAAGTGTGTATAATCACAGGCCAGGTTCCCAGCATTTCTCGGCATTTCAGCTTTGGCAGGAGGAATGGGAAAAACTGAAGTTTTTATGTCCAGGAAGGCTGAGTGTAATCTTTGTTCTGTGGCACTGGGAAAGGAAGTGAATCTGTTACAAAGCGCTTTACCTCTGAAGCATGTCTCAGGGGCAGCTGTGCTTTGTGCCATGTATTCTGTTTTCATAAAAAGAAAGAGGTAGAGTCGAGGGCTTACCATGCAGAGTATTTTCACAGTATCTCACTTGATATATCATCCAGGGAAAGTGACCTGTGTTATACTTTGTGTTTTAAGATATAACTCTAGAATCAAAAACTTACCAGAGAAGCTCAAGATACTTTACTTTGCAAGAATTAATTCTCAAGATAAAAACTCATCAGAGTTCAAGATAAGAAGGGTTCAATTAACAACACATTTTAAATGGAAGAATTATTTAAAAAATTGTTTTAACTTTGAATGAGCTTAGATTAACTTACCTGTTGCAGAGGTAGGTCAGACCCCATGTCATCATTTGCCCAGAAAAGTCCCAGTTTGCTCCCATAATCCCCCTTCATGACCCATTTTACTCTCAGAGGCCCATTTTGTTTATTGGGTTTTTTTTTCTTGAGAGAGTCTCGCTCTGTTGCCCAGACTGGAGTGCAGTGGTGCGATCTCGGCTCACTGCAACCTCCACCTCCTGGGTTCAAGCCATTTTCCTGCTTCAGCCTCCTGAGTAGCTGGGATTACAGGTGCTCACCACCACCCCCGGCTAATTTTTGTTATTTTTAGTAGAGATGGGGTCTCACTATATTGGCCAGGCAGGTCTTGAACTCCTGAATTTAAGTCATCTACTCACCTCGGCCTCCCAAAGTGCTGGGATTACAGGCATGAGCCACCGCACCCAGCCGTCTGAGGCCCATTTTGGGCGGTACACTGCATGGTCATCATACAAAGAGGTGTCTGCATTTCTACTTTTTTTTCTTTAAGATGGTAGAACCAAACAAAAAAGGGTGTTTTTACAAATTGAGAGGGGTCCCTCTGTAGGAGGGGAATTTCTCCAGCATTTTCCTTTGATGGAGTATTCTCCTCTCGTTCAGAAATAGGAAATTTAGTAACTAAAGCATTAAGAACAGATTTATTTTTTAACATCAGTCACTACCTTAGTTTCAGAGACACACTGGGGGAAATTGCCTTTCCCTTACGCCTCTTGTTTTATGTCCTTTATATGAGATGTTAATATATTTACATGAGGTATAAATTTGTCTGTAACTTTATAGGTTTGTATTCATTTATTAATCCATCCATCCATTCATTTACTCATTCAACAAATGTTAATTGAGACCTATTTTTTGCCTGGAGATATAATAGTGACCACAATAGGCCTGCTCCCTGCCCACAGGAAGCAGGCATTCTAGTGTAAGCACACAAACAAGTAAAAGTAATTACCAATTGTGAAAGTTACATGGAAGGAAATAAGTGAGCTTTTATTTGTGGTTTTATTTCATAGAGCTGAAGGAAGTGAAGAGACAGATACCTCTCTCCCCACTTCTTTCATTGCTGAATGTCTGAAGTATTTCTTACTCCATTGGACTACTATGACAGAACACTATCGATTGGGTGGCTTGTAAACAACAGAAAATTATTTCTCAGTGCTCTAAAGGCTGGAAAGTGCAAGGTCAAGGTACCAGCAGATTTGGTGTCGGGTGAGGGCCTGTTTCTTGGTTCACGGATAGCTGCCTTCTCACTGAGACTTCACATGGTGGAAGCCGTGAGAGAGCTCTCTAGGATTTGTCTTTTCTTTTCTTTTCTTTTCTTTTTTTTTTTTTTTTTTTTTTTTTTTTTGAGGTGGAGTCTTGCTCTATCGCCCACTGCAACCTCCACCTACCGGCTTCAAGCAATTCTCCTGCCTCAGCCTCCTGAGTAGCTGGGATTACAGGCATGTGCCACCACGCCTGGCCAATTTTGTATTTTTAGTAGAGATGGGGTTTCTGCATGTTGGTCAGGCTAATCTCGAACTCCCGACCTCAGGTGATCCACCCGCCTTGGCCTGCCAAAGTGCTGGGATTAGGAGCATGAGCCACCACGCCCAGCCGGATTTCTTTTCTAAGGGCGCTAATCCCATTCACAAGGGCTTTACCTTCATGACCTAGCCACCTCCCAAAGGACCCACTTCCAAATACAGTCACATTGAAGGTTAAGTTTCAACATACCAATTTTGGGGATACATAAACATTCAGTCTATAGCAGTATTTTATCTGGGGTTTCAAACTCAAATACCTTCAGAGTAGAGGCCAATGGGGACACTCCTGTCTCATGGTTCTAACCAGAGGGGACTTGCATATCCATTCACCTAAAGCTCCGTTAAGAAAGGTGAGGAGCCCCGGGCCAGACCCACAGGAAGTGTCCCCAGGTTGCATTTGGCTCTGGTCACATATTCACTTTTTCCAGAGTCCCCAAGGTATACTTTAGTTCCACATCAATGCCTACCAGGCCTGGTTCAGTCTTACATTTCAATAGGTCCCCTTGTGGGTCTCGGAGAAAAAGAGAGCAGCATTAGAATTTTACTACCACAGTGAGTTTTTCCACTTCACTTTGGAAACATTGAGCTATTCCTACGCAGTTTGGATGACAGAAATACTGTGCTCAGTGCAATCTACTGGAAAATCTGAGTGCTTGGAAAAATGTCAGGAATACTCTCTTTTGTCATGGAATTTCTCCATATTGCGGCGGTACTTCAGTGTGAGTCAGCAGGAGGAACTTCGGTGCACCAAGCAGGCCTCACATCAGTGGGGTTGTGAGTCCCAGCTCTGATTGAAGTCAGGGGGGTGGGTAAGTGATGTCCTGGCCAGTCCAGGGATGGGGGCTATTTCTAGTGTGCAATGCTGGCCCTCCTGAACCAAATGTGAACCCCCCTGGACTCTCGCATGAGTTTCTCTGGAAAGCTCGTCTTCTCTTCTTTACCCAACCCCTCCCCCTACCACTCTTCCAGAAAGTTGCTCTTCAGAATTCCATGAAGGATGGAAGCAGCCCTGAACTAACTGCCCTGGGGCTCTTTATTCTCAGGCTACCAAGAAAAGAAAAAAATGCTAAGAAGCAGGGACCTGGCTGCCTGATCTTCCCTATGGTCACTGGCTCTTCTTGAACAGGCATGTAATGAAATAGTGTGGAACAGTAAGAAAGCTCCTACAGGCAGAGGCCATCCATGAAGCCTCTTCTCAGGCAATGGAGTCTTCAAATGGAATGACCACAGACTGTTTTCTTTGAAGGTGAATGCACATGTCTAAGCCCTAAATTGCCCTGCTAAAATCGTCTTCCCTTGGACACCAAAAGCATAGCTGACAAAAGCAAAAATAAGTGAGAGGGAGTACATCAAACTAAAAAGCTGCTGCATAGGACAGGAAACACTTGACAAAATGGAAAGGCAACCTATGGAAAGGGAGAAAATAGTTGCAGATCTGATAAGGGGTTAGTATCCAAAGCATATAAGCAACTTATACAACCCAATAGCAAAAACTAATAATAATAACCTGATTAAAATGGACAAAGGACCTGAATAGACATTTCTCCAAAGAAGATATGCACATGGCCAGTAGGTTTATGAAAAGTTGCTCAACATCACTAACCATCTGGGAAATGCAAATGAAAACCACAATGAAATATCACCTCATACGTGTTAGGATGGTTATCCAAAAACCTGAGGACAAGTGTTGGCAAGGGTGTGGAGAAAAGGGAACCCTATGCACTGTTGGTGGAAATGTAAATTGGTGCAGCCACTAAGCAAAACAATATGTAGGTTCCTCAAAAAAATTACAAATAGAACTATCATATGACCCAGCAATCCCATTCCTGGATCTATAACCAAAGGAATTGGAATCTGGATCTCAGAGATGTCTGCACTCTCATGATCATTGCAGCGTTATTCACGATAGTCAAAATATGGAAACAATCTAAATGTCCTTCTGCAGACAAATAGATAAAGAAAATTTGCTATGGAATATTATTCAGCCTTAAAAAAGAAGGAAATCCTATCATTCCGGACAGTGTGGATGGGCCTGGAGGAGATTATGCCAAATGAAATAAGGCAGACCCAGAAAGACAGATACTGCATGATCTCACTCATATATGGAATCTAAAATAGTCAAAATCATAGAAGCAGGGAGTAGAATGGTGGTTGCCAAGGGTGGTTGGGGGACAGAGAAATGGGAAGATGTTGATCAAAGGGTACAAAATTTCAGTTATGCAGGATAAACAAGCTCTGGAAATCCTACTGTACAACATAAGACCTATGATTAACAATGCTGTACTGTATACTTAAAATTTTGCTAAGAGAGTACATCTTAAGTGCTCTTATCACCAAGAAAAAAACACAAAGGAGGCAGGAGGAAACCTTTGAAGATTATGTACAGGTTTATTGCACTGACAGTAGTGATGATTTTACAGGTATACACCTCTCCAAACACATCAAGTTGCATACATTAAGTATCTACAGCTTTTTGTATGTCAGTTATTCCTTAATAAAGCAGTTATTTTTAAAAATCCTCTTCCCTTTGGTCCCCCAGCCTTTAACATGGCAATTGACATGGCAATTGACATGATAAAAGCTACTGTATTTCCTTGATTTAAAAAAACCACAGCTCACAAAATGCCCATGATTGCTGATTTGATTAAAACAACTGTACTAGCAGCTGGCAAGTGTTTTTTTAGCCACTAGTTTTAAGGAACATTCCTGTTTCAGAAGTATCAAAGGGGAGGGAGCAGCACAGATCATAGAATCAAAGTGATACAGAGATTAGAGTTGTGTTCCCCTCTAGGTAGTGATAGAGGAATTGTTTCCTCTCTAGGCACAGTGATAGAGGGTGGCTTCGTTAACAGTATTATTAAGGCCATCTTACTGACAGCAAAAGGGAAACAAGACAGAGTCCTGATAGTTGGGTAAAAGGATCAGTTAAATTTGAAAGCGCTTCCTTTTGTATGTTCTGGTCAGTCTTCTGCGGGAGGAGGATGTATAAAGTCCACTGTGTCAGAAAAGCAGTCAGTCTACCCCTCCCCAGTTTCCATCTGGGTATCTTTGTGCTCCTGGTCATTTCTTTCCCAGAAATTGGGGGATCTGGTCTCAGATAAGAGGAGTGGGTTTGGATGTCCCAATATCACATATGGTAAGGATGAAAAACATGGATAAGATGATTGAGTTTATCTTGTATATGAGGCCATGTGTTGTAAATGGTCTTTTTTTGCTAACTTTCTTGACTCTCTAGATGTATCTTGAGGAGTGAAGCATGAGGACACTGTTTTACTCAGTCACAACCTAGAGTCAAGTTTTTTTCTGTTATTTTCTCAAGACAGTGCTACCAATTAGATTGTATGCATCCCATTTGTCCTCATTTGATTCCCATCCATGTTCTCACCTTCTCCAAGGTGACTGTTATTCTGATTAATGTTCAGATTCCTGTAATGCATTGTTAGCATTGGGTGCTGGATCTGAGCCAGTCCAGGGTCTGGAGAGCTATGCAGAGATAGAAGTGGACTCTAGAAAGAGGCCCCCGAATCCTGCCATTCCCTCTCCAAGGTGCCAGAGTTTGCAGTTTCCAGGAATTGCATGTGATGCAGATTGTAAATTACGCGTAAATATGTATTTGTGTCTTAAATGACTTTTTTAGTTTGGAGAATGCCCTTCACCCTATGACTGGCATACCGCAACACACTCATTAGCCCTTTGTTGGCTGACACTTTGAAAACATGCAGCCTCAAAGACCATTGTTAAGTCATCCATGGGGTTTGTTTGACCATGAAGGAGACTTCTTCACGATTGAGTTACCAGGTTCAACAGGTCCTGGGCATCTGCTTTGTGCTGTTTACCTCTGAAGATCAAAAGATAAATCAGAATCTTTGCTCTCAGGATTTAGTCTACTGGGAATTCTAAACACACATAAATTGACGATGTAAGATATGGTACCATAAATGCTCAGAGTGAAATGCAAACAGAATACAGTGGGTGCTTAGAAAAGGCAACTATGAATGTTGGCTGGGTGTGGTGGCTCACGCCTGTAATCCCAGTACTTTGGGAGGCCAGCGTGGGCAGATCACTTGAGGTCAGGAGTTCGAAACCAGCCCTGCCAACATGGTGAGATTCTGTCTCTACTAAAAATACAAAAATAAATAAATAAAAATAAAATAAAATAAAAACTAGCCATGCATGGTGGTGGGTTCCTCTAATCCCAGCTACTTGGGAGGCTGAGGCAGGAGGATCACTTGAATCTGGGAGGCAGAGGTTGCAGTGAGCCAAGATCGTGTCACTGCCCTCCATCCTGGGTGACAAAGTGAGGCTCCATCTCAAAAAAACAAAACAAACAAAAACAAACTATGAATGCTGATGGAGAGGTTCAGTGGAGGCCTTGAGGAGATGACACTTGATTCTGATATGCAAGTTTTCCATTAACAGTGAAACAGGGAAGTCCATGCTAGGTAGACATAGCGACAGGGACAGAGGCGTGGAGGCAGAAAAGCGTCCTGTGCTAAGGAATCATGAGGACTCGGTATGATCAGAGGACCAGAGCCTGGGAAGGAGCAGGGCAGAGCTGGCAGCTGAGGTAGATGGGGGTGAGAACCTGGAAGGTTTTGAATGTTGGGCTAGGAAGTGTGGGCTTTATTTTATTTGCCTTTCAATAGAAGCCAACAGAGGTTTTTGAGGAAGAGACTAACGGGAAATAAATGCAGTGTGTTAGAGTAAGTAACAGAGGAGTAAGCCTGGAAGCCAGGAGTTCAAGTAGGAGGTCTTCTCATAGGTCAGGCAAGAAACAGTCACAGCTTGGGGCAAGCCAGTAATGGTGGGAAGAGAAAGGAAAAGAGGAGGGGGAGCGATTCACATCGAAGGGAGTCTGATGATGTGGTTGGGGGACCAAGGAGTAGGCGTTAAAGATGACTCCGAGATTTCCAGTGAAGGAGCTTTTAACTGAGTAGGGATAGCAACAGAGTACAGTTTAGTTTTTGTTTTTTTGTGTTTAAAGAAACACTTCTGGTAGTTTTGCCCATAAAGCAGTTAGAGATGCGGCCTGGCTCTCCGGAGAGAGGTGTCAGGATAGGGATTTAGACTGGGGAGCCATCTGTCTAAGGGAATACTTGAACTCACGGGACTCAACTGCAAGGTAAAGTGTCAAGCAGGGCAACTGTGCACAACTGGGCAGATTGGGCCCTGAACAACCCTAGGGAGTGCCACCGTATCCTAGTCATTGTAGATTTGTGCAATGATTGAATTTTCTGGCAGATGGCAGTCAGATGTCTTGAGAAAGGGGCACCTTTTTCTAATGTGCACAAAGGTACCATATGGTGTGGCAGGAATGCTGGAAGTAAACCCAGGCAAGAGCCAAGAACAGAACCTTAGGGAACCAGCTATCCTATAAGGGAGGGTGGAGGAGGAGGAGCCTCCGGAGGAGACACTTAGGGGTGGTGAGAGACTTAGGTAGGATTTAAGTGTTTAGTTGCCTCCAATTTGCCTGAAAATAGAGTCACCACACAGTGAACTCTCATCTTACTTTGGTTTAATGACTCAAGTAGAGCCTCTGCTCATATTATCCATCAGTTCTTCCTTTTCACATAGCCGGTGAGTTTTCCTTGGCACTAGCAAGTGGGATCATTAACTGTCTCCATTTGGTTCGGATGTAGAATTATTAAACCTGTGGTTCTGGTCTTGAGAGCCAATGCCTGGCAGGTGACTGTGGCCCAGGGTGAATACCTGCTGCAAAGCCTCCTCTAGAAGGCCCACTGCAGAGCCTGCCTGGGGAGCTCCTAGGAGGGCAAAGGGCACCCTGCCAGGCAAGTCACCTGTCACACCTGGCTCCAGCCAGCTAGGAGTCAGATTGGGGCAGCCCCCCACCCAGAACTGCCAGAGCCTCTCGGATGGCTCAAGTCCTCACCTCTGAGGGCCTGGCAGGGTGAAGAACGCTCCTTGCCTCCTGAACCATATAAGAAAGAAAAGGCATCCCCAGAGCTATAGCTTGGAGGCTTGGCTCCTTTATGGCATAAACTACAAAGGCGCACAGCCTCCCCGATGTGTGCCAATAAGATGGCATAAATGCTTCTTGTGGAAGAGAAGGCTTGTGCCCTGCCTTGGCACATGATCCTCTGCCCACACATGCTTGTCATTGCTGCTTCCTGGCGCTTGTGACCTCCTTTGCATCAGTGGAAAGTTACAGGAGGAGAGATAGCACCACCTTTCTAGTCAGGAATCTGTCACGCAACCCAGATCAAAAACTTCAAGTTCACTTCTGTGTCAACGGGATCCCGACTCTGTGGGTGGATAGAACATTGTGTGGAAAGGCTGTAAAACTCAGAGTGTAACTGCAGTTTTTATCTGAGTGGCTGGAACTCTAGCTTGTTTATTACCTAGATCAGACAGGTAAAATGTTCTACTTTCAAATAATTCATGTTTTTCAGATCTTGAATTTTGGTAAATTTTTTTCATCAGTTGATTCTGTTTCTTAATTTGAGGAATAGAGTTCCTTTTCTAATGGGAAAATATATCACTTGTCATGTCTGTGGTGCTTTCTTGTGTTCTACAAACTCTACGTGAGCATAGGCTGTCTGGCTCTGGGGATCAGAAGCACTCAGGGAGCTCTGAGGACAGGATTTCATATACTACATCCTGAAACTGGGCAGATGATCACATGACCCTTTTTTTTTTTTTTTTTTTTTTTAAAGCAGGGCTCAGAAGCAGAGAGAGAAAGAGAATTTTTCCACAGCCTCAGAGAGAAAATCCAGGAAAATCCAGGAGTAGAACTCATGAGGCTGAGGTTCTGGAACTGTGTTCCCAAACTGCCTTCTCTGGAAAAAATGCAGAGGGAACCAGCCGATTCCTAGTAAAAAATTTTTGACTTACTGACTTTCAAAAAGAAATGAGTTCCATATGATGGGAATTGCATTCTTTGATTTGGACTTAAAGGATTTTCTGAGCTTTTAAATGGTTTCCTATGTAATATTCCATCTCTTCTGGTTTGGGAGTTTTCCATGAAATGCCTTTTTAAAAAATACCCAAAGCATCAAATGAGCTTTTCAGCTTGATGAAGAACTTAAGAAATTTCATCATTCCTTTTCTTCCTGGCTGACCTTTTAATTTTACACAAGATATACAGGAGTGATTTGTCTTGTCTGGTTTGTAAGGATTTTTAATCACCAGCCACACACATTAGTCACTGGCTTTTGTACCTACAAGCCCAATTTTCTTTGTTTTGGGGGTTTTTTAAATAAGTTTGTTTGTTCATTTATTTGGAGACATGGATCCTGTTCTGTCCCCCAGGCTGGAGTGCAGTGGCATGATCATATCCTCAAACTCCTGGATTCACGTGATCCTTCCACCTCAGTCTCCCAAGTAGCTGGGACTACAGGTACACACCACCACACCCAGCTAGTTTTAAAAAAAATTTTATAGAGACAGGGTCTCACTGTGTTGCCCAAGCTGACACTTACAGTAACAGTAGGATCAGACTGAGAGCTGGAAAAGGAACAGCGCAATGGGATTGGTAGCATAAAAGATTTACCACCAGATGCAGAAAGCAGTTCTCACCATTGCTTCCTCAGTTCCTTAGCATCCACCACGCGCAGAACTTTACACTTTACACTCAAGGGGTGTATGAATAAAGGGAATGCAACCAAAGTTTAAGGTAAGAAACTCAGAGCTTGTTCAGTTCAGTTAGTACTTAATTGGCTACCCAGCCTTGTGCCAGGTACCTTGTTCTGGGGCTAGAGAGCTGAAATAAGCATGGAGAAGATCTGCAGGGAAACCAACAGATGCAATCAGTGCAAGAAATGCTGTCATTAGAAGTGTGTACCAAACACCATTGGAGCACAGGCGGAGAGACACCAAACTTGGCCTAGGAAGGGATGCAGAGGCTTTGGAGACAGAGAAGCTTCAGTTAAGAGTGAAAAAGTCAGCCCAGGAGAGAAATGAGCTCTTCCATTTATCTGTGGTGATAAATCAATGTGTTTTAATTTTTCCTTTTTCAGTCCGTTTAGGACCAATACTTTTTATAAAATGTATTAAAAGTAAATTACTAGAAAAATGAAATTTCCAAATACATATAAAACAGAAGACCACATTTTTATTATTAGATTCAGCGGACTTATATTGTCATGTAGTATGACAGTATGATAGTTTGTCATACTGTCAAATAGTTTCGAAAAACTCTGTGCCTCTACTTTTACCTCACCATGGGTCAGCGCCAGTTTGCAGATGAGCGGCAGTTTGTGGACCACACTTTGAGTAGCATTGCCCTGGGCAGAGGAGGACATATGTGAGGATATAGTGATTGACTGATGTGAGAAATGTGGAGGGAATATCATCGTGTCCCATCCCATCGTTTTACAGATGAGGAAACTGAGGCCCAGAAAGGTGACAGAGCTAAGACCAGAGTCCCTGCTTTCTAACTCGAGACAGTTCTTCTTCTTGTCCTTTGACTAACTCACCTGAACAGTCACCAGATAGCACCAGCATTCCAGCCTGCCTACCCTGCTTCACCCACGCCTACTGCCTCTGAAGAAAGGGAAGAATCTGTGTCCATCAGAACATGCCGGGGATACCAGGACACCAGCCTGCTGCCCAACCTGGCTGACCCGTCTGCTCACGGACCCTGTCTTAATGACAGAAGCCACTCCAAGAGTTCACTGTGTCCTGCAGTAGCCAGTTAAATTCATGTAAATCCTGTTTGGGCAGTCAGTGGAATTTTTAATACTCTTCTCCTTTAAAAAAAAAAAAAAAAAAAGGAACAAAGGTTTTTCTCATCTATAAGCCAAACATGAGCAGGCAGTCACCAAGCAGGGCAAATTGTTATCTCTTGGAATCAGTTTGGTTCTAGACTGGTCTTGAAGGATTGACGCCTGGTCTGGGGTGGACTTGAGAGCCACAGAGTATGCTGTCCTGGTCTTAGGTCATCCCCAAGACAGGGGACCTCTGCAGGCAATAGCAGCTTCACGTTGGCTGTAGAGGTCCCAGATGGGTCCCAGGGTCCCAGCACAAACCAGAATCCACCCAGCTCCCCCCACATCCTCCCTAATCCTTCCTCACTGCGGTCTCCTGGGAACCTGGCCAAACCCAATGGTCAGGGAGGGAGTTGCTGTTCAGATTAATAGCCATTTATTATGGGCCTGGTATTTGCAAAGCACTGTGTTAGGCACTGAAGGGAACCCCGAAATATAAAGATATAGAAACGAAGGCAATGAGTCTCCTCATGGATATTGCATTTTAGGTGGAGAAATAAGTCATATAACAGCCCAGACGGGATTTTGAAATTTGTTCTCTCTGCCTGCCTCTTTTGGTCCCCATGACCAAGGAAGGCAAACACCAGTGCAGTGGCATTGATATAAATTCTTAAATGTGAACATGGCACTTGGAGTTGATTGCTTATTTGTGAAAATACATGATAAAAATATTCATAGATTCAGACATGTCAAAAAGATTCCTTCATTTATCACAGAGTTGTTTATAACAGTGAAAAATTTAAGAAGTCTGCAGGTGGCCTTGCATGGTCTGGGTGTTATCACACCACTGAGTGTCAAACCAGCATCTGCTGTTGGGTATGGGTCCTAAGCAATAGACAGGGAGGGGGTGAAGAACAAGGACTGGCTGTACAGTTGAATTTTATTTGATTACGTTGTGAAGTACAGATACTGTTTCACTTCCTGGGAATTTTGTGTTTTATTTCTGGAGATTTGAAATTCTCCAGAATGGAAATAAAGTTCTCCAGCCACTGTGGTGGTGTGGATGGCAACAGGGTTCAGTGACTTCCCTTATCCTCGTTCAACTTATTCTACCTAGCAGAACCAGTCACCTGTGGTGAATTCAGTGGCGTTTGACAGTCTAGGATGAACCGAATGAACCTCAACTTAAACCAGCTTTTTGTCATTGTACTGACCTGGGCACTTGACACTAAACAGAGATCTTAATTCCTGTATCTTCATGCATCAGAATTTGGTCTTAGTGGAGATGTCAATAGACGACGGTGTTGTGGCTGGTTGGGTTTAACCAGTTCTGGAGGCATTTTGCTCGTTGCCCAAGGTACTGGTGCCAGACCATGTCACTGTATGACCCATCTGGCTTTGGCTCCTGGCTCTATTACCCAGAGAGCAGTTTATAAGCCAGATGTGTCACTTAATAGTAGGCATACCTGCCCAAAATGCAAAAGCTTACAGTAGTTATCTAGAATTTACGAAGCTTGTTTTTACTCTTTATCAGTGTTGATTCTTATAAAAATCATGACAGTAGGCCATGTAGATATTATCTTTCTTGTTGATGAATAAATAATAGCCAAGGGCTCTACAGCACTTAATGCATTCCAGGCGCTATGCTAAACCTAATTCACATTAAGTAACTCATCATTTCTATGAGGCAGGAACTGTTGTTATCTACATTTCTTGATGAGGAAATAAGCCCAGAGTGGTTAAGTAACTTGCCCAAGATCACACAGCTAGTAAAACTAAAACTAAACTCGGCTAATCAGGCTCTAAAGTCTGTGCCCGTAGCCTCACAATATGCTGCCCATTGAAATCAGACAGACAGATGAGATGTGGTATGACCTCCCCAAGCCACTTGGGTAGGGGAGGGAAGCAGATTGAGGGAGGCAACTGTAAAAGCATGGTTGGGAAGTTGTCCTTGGCTCATCTCTCTATATGGCACAGGGCTCCAAACTGAAATAGCCACTATTGGGTCAAGATTAGTCCAGCATTTAGGCAAGAAGAATGTTAGTCCAGTCATCTGCTACTTTTGCTAGCATGTATGGTGGTGACACTTTTTAAACTAAAAGTAACACACATAGGCTAAAAAATAAATTTTTCCTGGTTTTTGAATTCTGTTTACTTTTAAGATCTTAGGAAGTTATAATGACTCACACTTGCACATTTAATAATGACTTTTATTAAGAATGCTATGACACAAAATTAGAAACATTCTTCAGACAGTGTCTCCACGTGTAAGTACTTAAAGAAAACAACTAAATGGCTATTTGGGAAAACTGGGCCCTTTGGTTGCAAAACCAAGTGCTGGGGCCGGAGTGAGTGCTCAAGAAGTACCAGTGAGTTCTCCCAAGGGAAATTTCTTAGGGGAAAATGTGATGTCTTTTGCACATGTTACTATGATGTGAGTCCAGTATTGGTAGGAAATCAGTAAAATTCCCTGAACTTTACTGTGTGTGTTGCCGTCTTGTGTCTAGCCCGTGATTGACATTCTAGAGATAATATGAGAAATATTCCAGACCTGACCTTAGAGTTTGTAATCCAGTTGGGAGAAACAAAGCCTTTTATGCAAAACATAATTAGAGAACCAAGCAATATCATCTATAATCTAAAAGTAAAATGTGAGGTATGTTTTTAATTCCAAGAGCCTGTGAGTGGTTCTGAAGTGCAAGTGTCTTCTTGTGTTTTTCAGAGGTTTGTGTTTAGATGGCTCAGGTTTAATCTCTAATGGGGATAGCAGGGAACCAGATGAGACCTGCTGAGGTGGCCACAGTACTGATTCTAGTGGGCAGGCTGCCTCCCCTCTGATACTGTGTAAGGCATTACTAATGCTGGCAACAGTTTGCATATAGCCAATTGCCAAAAGCAGCCTGCACATCCCTCCTGAGGCTGGTCCCGTAAATTCTTCTCTTTCCTGTCGTAAAGCATTCCTCATCACCACCTCCCTTTTCACACTTTATGCAAGGCCGTGCACTGGGACAGCAAATGGCTGCAACTTTCACTGCTTGCTTTTCCCAAGTCGAAGAAAAGTTCCAACGCTGGCAAAGCAAGGACATTGCTATTTTCTGACAATCGAATGTCTTCGAGGAACTAGCTTCAGTGCTGATAGGGTCTGTGTTCCTCTAGTAAGAATAGCACTGTTTCCATTAGAGGGGACCAGGATGGGTAGACAGGCTAAGACGTCTGATTACTCTTTGCTCTGTGTATTTGTATGACAGCTCGGGTGTCTGGCTTACCTTCCTGAGGATGAGAGCCATAGCATTATCCATTTAATAACAGCCACAGTGACAGTGCTGATAATGGCTAGCATTTACCTAGCACTGTGTGCCCTAGAACATTTAATAGTTTCACTCTATGAACTCGTTTGTTGGTCTTCATGCCATGTGTCCAACATAAAGCTAGCAGGACCCATCTGTCCTTGCCCATGCTTATTCTGTGCCACAGCCACCCCTGGTTGTGATTAAGATATTAATGTTAAAGAGGGAATTGAGTTCTGATTTCTCCTCATTCAAAACCATTCTGTCATCTTCATGCACATGCCCTGCAGGCAGCCAGCCAGTAAGGGGTCCTTCATACCTATCCTGTTCCTGGCTGGTGGCTCTCAGAATCTGCCATGGCTCTTTGATCCTGTTTGTCCTCCTGCCCTTGAGTGACTGGCTATCAGAAAACCTTCATTTCCTTGTTGGATTCTGCCTCCAGGAAGCAAAGCCGACCCAGTGGTTTCTGTGGGTCAGCTGCACTTGGCTGTCTGCACTGGGGAAGAGACTTGGCTTGTTGGCTGTTTTATGCCCTTTGGACTGTCAGGTCCAAGTGTACTGTTGGCCGCAGCATCCAGTCTGTGCTATCAGAGCAAGGCGCTATGGTCAGGAGACCCTTAGCCACCAAAGGTCTGTTGTCTCCTGGTGTCTTTGCCTGAAGACTTCTGGCCTTCTTGTGTTTCATCACTAAGTGCATCTATAAGCTGACCCGCTGCCAGGTATCATGTCTGAGCATTTTGGCAAGGAGAGTCGGTGAGAGAAGTTTTCTTGGCAACCATAAAATAAAAGTACTATCAGGAGCTGCTAAATAAATTTGCACCGCTTCAGCCAGGGAATTTCAGCTCTCCTGGGTGGGATAGTGATAGGGGATGTGGAATGCAAAAAAAAAAAAGAAAAAGAAAAAGAAAAAAAATTATGAGGCTCAGCTGTCAGTTTGATGGCTCATTTATTTGATGGTCCTAAGGAGATGTATGATTGGTACACTGAGGATGTTTATCAAACTCATTTCCTCTTGTATTTGTCCAGAGAGTCAGCGAATGGGGTTTTTTGGGTATTTTTTTCTACCGTGAGACAAAGTGAGGGGAAATCTCTGAGTCCCTTTGCTCAACTTAAGTTGGTCCTGTGTATCTGCAGTGGTGATGGTGGGAACACACTGCCTACATGTCAAGGGCATCAAACACCCAGAACAGGATGAAGACCAACACCTAGTCTATGGGAATTAGTTTGTGAGTCTGTGCCCTGTTTGTTTGTTTCTTTGTTTCATTATTGTTTTTTGAGACAGGATCTTGCTCTGTTGCCCATGCTGGAGTGCAGTAGCACAATCATAGCTCAGTGTAGCCTCCAACCCCTGGGCTCAAGCAATCCTCTCACCCCAGCCTCCCAAGTAGCTGGACCTACAGGAGTGTGCCACCATACCTGGCTAAGTTTTTTAAAAAATTTTGTATAGCTGGACACAATGGCTCACACCTGCAATCCCAGCTCTTTGGAAGGCTGAGGAGGGAGGATCACTTGAGCCTAAGAGTTTGGGACCAGCCTGGGCAATATAGCAATACCCTATCTCTACAAAAAATTTAAAGATTAGCCGGGTGTGGTGATGTGTGCCTGGAGTGCCAACTACTTGGAGGCCGAGGTGAGAGGATCGCTTGGGCCCAGACGGTCGTGGCTGCAGTGAGCTATGATCACGCTGCTGCACTCCAGCCTGGGCTACAGAATGAGATTATGAATGAATGAATGAATGAATGAATGAATGAATGAATGAATGAATAAATAAAATTTTTGTAGAGACAGGGTCTCACTATGTTGCCTGGGATGGTCCCAATCTCCTAGGCTCAAGCAATCCTCCCACCCTGGCCCTGTTTTAAAGAGGGTGAAGTAACCAGATTCAAATAGGAGTCATTTTTGTCATTTCTCATCCCAGGTAGCTGCTGGGAGGAGGTATGAGGGGGTAGTGGGGAAGAGCCTCAGAAGAGCCTTGGCAACACTTTCTGGGCTGGAAATTGTTTTACTGACTTTCTTCATTATAAAATGAAGTATTTTACATTCAGCCTCATAATGATGAATGTTCACATCTTGTATACGTGGTCTTCAGCAAGATATTCCAATAGGTCAGCCTCAGGAACACCAGATTAAGTGTCTGTGAGGAGAAATGGCATAGGGACCTCATTTAATAATTAGGAATGCTGCTGCTTTTAGTAGGAAATTCATTTTCATACTTAAGTTCATTCAGACTTCAGGGACACATTGTGGGGCTATTGAAAATATAAATGCCATCCACGACAATCATAGACACTTAGTAGACATTAAGTAATTTCTGTGGTAAAAAAAAAAAAAAATGAGCTGATGGCAACAAGTTCAATTCTAAGTCTACAAATGTGCAGGTTCTCTAAGCAAACAGGATGTTTTTTTCCAACATTCCCTTGGAGCCTGGGTTCCAAAAGAAATCCTTTGCACTCTGACCAATGGGTCCTTTTCCCTGCACATCTTCCTTGGGAATTATGGCCTTAAATACTACAGAAACCAAAAAAAAAAAAAAAAGAAAGAAAGATTAAAGCTAGAATATGTAAACACATTTTAATGACTTTTTCCTGGTTAACAAAGTAATACATGATTCCTGTAGGAAATTTAGAAAATCCAAAACAGAAAATAAAAATCACCCATAAACATATCACCTGGAAATAGACTTTTATGTTTTTCCTCATCTCCTTTTTTCCTCCTGTCTTTCCTCCTTTTTCCTCCTGTCTTTCCTCCTTTTCTTTATCCCTCTCTGTCACAATTGTAACAAATTAAGAGAATATTGAAAATATAATTTTGTATCCTGTTCTTTCACTTAGAATTGTATGAGCCTATAAGTAAGTCATGAAACCCAGAAGCTGTGAAGGAAAGATTGATAACTGGACTATATCAAAACAAAACTTCAACCAGGCGATAATATTTACAACCCATAGAACCAATATAAAAAATTATTACTATCCCATAATATGAGCTTCTTAAAAAAATCAAAAAGATAAACAACTCAAGTTTTTAAATGGTTAAACCATGTGAATAGGCAAGAAAAAATTCAAATGGCCATTAAACATATATTCTTCTTAAAGCTTAATCTCATTAATAGTCAAGAAATGAAGTTGAAACAATGAGCTCATTTTTCACTGGCGGTTTGGCAAGAATTAGAAGGATGATTCCATCTAGCCTGAACAAGGAAGCCAAAACATTGACACTTTCATGTGCTACTGGTGGGAATATAAATTGATGCAACCCTTTTGGAAAACAGTTTCTCTACATCTGTTTAAATTTAAAATATTTATGCCCTTTGATATGGCATTTCTACTTCTAAAAAAATGTATCCTAAATAAACACTCCCACAAGTGTGCAAATCATGTTCATTACTCCATTGTTTGAAGTTGCAAAAAATTTAAAACAACCCAAATGTTTATGTAGAGGAACTGGTTAAATTGTGGTAGATTTTTACAGTGGAATTGTATGCAACCATTATAGAGAATGAGCCAGAGGCATAGGAGATATAAATATGTCCAAGACAATTGTTGAGAAAAGTATTTTACTGTATAATATTGTGTTAGTGTAGCATTGAGAAGAAAAGTTTGAAAGACTGAACCCATCATCATTTTCTCTATACCTTTTTCAGGAATGATCAATTTTATATAATGAAAATATTACTTTTATAATCAAAAAAACATTTTCAGATAACATTTAAAAATTCTATTATAAACATTTCCTTACATTTTTAGTCCTTCATAAAAATTTGGCAGCTTTCATAAGATTCTGTCATAGAAATACCATTATTTATTTAGCCATTCCACGGTTGATACATAATTTAGCTTTTTTTCAAATTATATATGATGCAGCAACCAATATCTTTGTAAAATAAGATTCTTAATTTTACACTCACAAGAGTATCATATCACATAGCAGAGATTGAGAATTTAACCTGAAAATAATCCATTGGGTGATTCTGAATGTACAAGATTGATGTTTTTCTAATCTTTTTATTTTATTTTATTAATTTTTTTTTTTTAAGATAGAGTTTCACTCTGTTGCCCAGGCTGGAGTGCAATGGTGTGATCATGGCTCACTGCAGCCTTGACCTCCCAGGCTCAAGTGATCTTCCCGCTTCGGCCTCCCAAAGGGCTGGGATTCAGGCGTAAGCCACTGTGCCCGGCCTTAATCTTTTTAAAGCTTACCTGGACTATAGGTGGCCCATATGGAGGCAAAAGATTTGGGCCCCACTCTCTAGGCACACAGCTCTGCTACCCTACTCTAAGTATAATTTGTCACTAGTTTTTGTAGTCTCAGTGTAAAAAAGAGCAGAGATCTTGGCCTCAGGAGATCCTCTTCCCAAGGCTCAGTCCCAGGCTCTCTCCTTATTTCATTCCTTCTCCTGAGGTGAACTCATCCACACCCAGGTAATGACTCTCAAATTTATAGCTCCGAACCAGCCTTCCCTTTGACATCTAGCCATGTGTATTCAGCTGCTTAAATATCTCCACCTGTATGTCTAAAAAAAGTAGCTCAATCTGTCCAAAATAAATTCTGTGATCCAGAACCTGCTGATGCCTCCTTCCCTTTATCCTTTACATCCTTCCATTGCTAAATCCCATTGCTTTCCCCCAGTAGTTCTTGACACATCTAGTTCTCTTTACCTTACCACCCTCCCTATACCAGGCCACCATCATTTATCTCCTGGATACTCTAGTAGCTTCCCAAATGATCTCCTCATGTTCATTCTCAACTCCTCTGATATGGAGTCCTGTAAAATCGAAAATCTAATGCCATCCCTCTCCTGAGTCAGAGTTTTCCATGGTTTATTGGGCTAAAGACTGAAATCCTCACTGGCCCCTGCCTCATCTGGTCCCTGCTCTCTCCTGTCTCCATGCTCTCTTCTCTCGCCACCCAGGACTCCAACCACACTAGTCTTCATTTCTTGACTGAACCCCCTCACCTCTGTTCCTTCCTTCTGAAATTCTCCTTACCCTCACTTTCCCTTCTTTCTGTCTCTTCACTTGGTTAATAATCTTCACAGCTCAGTTCAAATGTCACTTTCCTGGGAAATCTTCCCCCAGTGCTAGGTCAGGCCATCCCTTGATCTATTCCCATGTTTTCTCCTCATTGCACTCATCACAGTTGATAATTGTAAATTTAGTTGTGTGGTGATCTGTCTGCTTCTCCCACCAGACATTAACCCCCTTGTGGGTAGAGATGGTGCCCCCTTTGCTTACTATTGTATCCCAACATCCTGGCATATGGCCAGGCTCATGGACAATACTAAAGAATGGTTGGGTGGGTGAAGGGATGGATATCTCGTGTCAGGTGATGCATGAATGGCACTACTGTCTAACTCACGATGAAACCAAATGTTATGCTTTTGCTAATTCAGTGACTTTTCAAAAGTCTTTTGCCCATTTAATACAATCCATCTTGCTTTGAAAAAACTTTAAGTATAAACCCAGGCACTCAAAACACAAGCCAGTCCTAAGTAGTTTTATTCTAAAATTAAGACCATAACCCACATTCACTCACTTGGCAGATGCCCCCTTTTCACACTTACCTACATGCTAGTTCCTCCTCCTCAGTGGAAGGCAGCAAATGATCTGCACATTTGACCACTTGAGAGATTTGCTGTGCACTCCCCTATGCCTGTATCCTCAAGGACTCTGTAAAATCCATTGAACTCTATGCACAAGCTAAGAAAAAAACCTTGCTTTGCAGTATTTCGATTATGCATTTCATAGTAATATGCATAAAACATCCCTCTATCATAGTGCCATCTTAGAATATTTATTGATTCCCTCAGGTGGTTCTTGTTTCAATTAAAGTCCTTTTGGGAAACAATCTATCCGGGGGATTGGCCGGTGACACTGCTACATAGAAGGGATTGGGCCTGGTGTAGTAAGTCACAAGCCCAGGCCTTGGAGGTGAGCAGAAGTAAATCTGAATCCTGATTTTACCCCTGTCTAGCTATATAATCTTGGGGTAGAGCCTACTTCATAGAGTTATTTTGAGGATAAAATAAGAATATAGATAAAGCACTTAGCATTTGATGAACATTCAGTATATGTTAACCACTGAAGACACTGTTATTCTTGTTATTCACAAAAGCTTTTTTCCAGGTTTTCTAGACAGACCCACAGACTCACCACCCCCAAATGAGCAACAGACAAATGGCAGTATGCTGACAATCATAAATTGACTGTGTATTTTATGATAATGGGTATCAAAGTTGTACTCTATTAAAGAATTATTATCTTTGAGATTCAGATATTAAAATGTGTATAGATGAAATAGCTCATATCCTGGATTTGTTTCAAAATAATCTGATAAAAGATGGATCAGGGAGGGAGGGAGTCGATGTAGCGAGGGAGCATGTTTGGACGTGCATTGGCAGGTGCCGAGGCTGTGTGATCAGTATGGGAGTTGTGTCATTCTCCCTACTTTTGTCTGTTTTGAAATTTCCCATAATAAAAGTTGAAAAATATGTTAAAAATAGTTCATATAAATAGCCTCCTAGATTCATTCTTGTTCAAGGAGCCAGCTCTCAACTCGCTTTCCTTTATTTCTTTTGGAAGAGTAACTGACTCTAGTGATCTAAGCAGTAAGACTCATGTCAATCTGTTTTATTACTCTCAGGATAGCTTATGGTGGAAACAAAATAAATCCAATTTCTGAATCTCCTTTGTCTTCAATCACTTGGGAATTCTCTCTGAAACTACTGTGGGCATTTTAAGTAACCCTGATTACCCAGCAAGAACAATGTAGCTTTCAGACAAGCACAGAGGATAGAATAACTCTTTCTACCCTTCTATGCTTGCATGACAAAAGCTGTAGCTATTAAATACCGGTGCTCAATGAGCTAATGAATGGCAAGCCGGTAACTGTGGTTTTGGCATTTTAGTATTTGAGCCTCTGCCCTGTATGAACTTGTAATCTTCATTGTGTAGCCTTGTTAAGTTCAGCTGCTGAGTTACATGTTGGCATAGGAAGCTGAGGTACTCCTAAGCCAAAAACTGACCTCTGCATATTTCAAACTAAAGTCAGGAGGCTTAGGGTGACTTCTTTTGCTTTAAAAAAAATAAAGGCATGATTTCCCTTTAGAGTGGAAGCTGACCATGACTGTAAATGGCTCTATAATCTTTGGCTTTGTTTGAGTCACCCTCTCCATGTTCTGCTCTTCCGTTTGGATGCAAGCCAACATGAGGATAAGTGTTCTGCTTGGTCCTCGTTGTTTAATAATTGACCCTTCAAAACCACTTTCTTTCTCCAGCTTCATCAAAGAGAAGAATTTAAATTTTGATTTCAGGTTTCTTCTTTTCCCTCTTGAGTCTATCTTTAAGGGGTAAAACATGTGGCTTTTTATAAGTTTAAGTACTTTGGAGCAAAGTTTATGGAGTGTCCTTCCATCCCCTAAAAATAAGATAGGCTCTGAGTTGGCCAGGGCAGTCCCATTGGGGTCCATCTGAAATGCTTCTGTTTATCCCTTTGGTCAGCACCTCCTGCCAGGACCATGCTGGAGCTGCTAAGAAGGAAGACAGGTGCACAGACAGAGCCTTCTGGAATACAGTGCGGGGTATGCTATCATAGAAGTATAAACTGGGCACCCTAGGAGCAGAGTTGATATTGCTATGACTGTCTGGGGACATCAGGACAGACTTCATAGAGCAGGTATGAGATACTTGGGCTGAGGGCAGCACTGGTAGCCTGGAATTACATTATGCTCTTAATTGAACCCTCTTGGGATCCCAGTTTGAGCGATCTGTCTTATTAAATAGCACTTGGTATGAGAACAGCCATGGCGTTTCCTTTACAGCTCATACAGTTCTGAGAATGCCTAAAATTAGATTGAAATCAGGATTAAGGTGTCTAACCTGCCTTTGTGGCCTCGGGCATCCTGTGACCAGGATGAGTCACATCCCTGTCTTGCCCACTTGCGTCTTCTGAGAGCTGCGTCCCAAGACTTCCCCATGCAGAGCTGATTGTAATAGTTGACTGACAAAACTGATGGCCCAGCACTTTCTCTCCCTGCGCGATTCCTGCTGCCCATGACAGCAGCTGAGTAATAAGCAGTCAGACCTCTTACCTGGGACATTAGTCACAAGCTCTTAAGCAACTGCGGGTCAACGCTTGAGACCGTTTTGGATTTCTGTTAGCACTTGTTTCTGTTGCCCAAGAAGATCCTTTCCAAGACTTCAGCAGGCATACTGGCTTCGGGAAAATTCAGAAACTCAGTGACCTTGTTTGGAAATGTGAGTGATAGTGTTCTGGGCTCAGGTCCACACAGGCCTGGCTTGTCAGGCTAGGACACAGTGTCGATAAAGCTGGGCTCATGGGCTTTGTCCCCCCGGCCGTGCTCTCTCCTGGGGCTGCAGACTAGTGTGTCTAACCTCAGCCAGGCGCCTCTCTACTGTGTGCCCGCAGTCCCAGAGGAGCCAGGCACCCAGGCCTTATAGTGCCTCCCAAGTCAGAAAACACTTGTGGAAGAACTGAGAGTGGTGGCCTCCTTCACTGGGCAGGACCACGATCATCCTCACCCCTGCTCCCGTCCTGCGCTGCTACGATTGCAACCTTTTGTAGGTTAAACTGGCTGTGCTCATATTGTATTTATGTGGTGGGGCCAGGGGAGGAAGCAGCTTCCACAAATCAGCCCACTGAAAACAGTCACTTATATGGGACATGGGATTCTGCGTGGAGAAGGGCTGATTTGGAGCCAGGACTGGGTTTGGGTTAGAGACACAGAAAGCTTGCTTCGCTGAAGTGGGTGCACAGGTACTCAGCATGCCTTTGCCTTATGCCCCTGACACCCGGGGAGGCTGCTACTAAGAGCAGAGAAGTCTGTTCTATGTTCCATTGATCTGTGCCATGAAAGCTTTGCTGCTTTAACCACACTTATTGGGGATTCCTGGAATACCAGACTTGGTTTCCATTCCTGGGCATTTTCTAGTGGCCATTTTCTGTAAGACCTGTATGGCCAGGCTGTATCAACTCACAGGACAGCGTGTGGAAACCAGTCATGCCAGTTCTGTCATCACCTACCTCCTCCAAGCCAGCAACGTGATCCAGGCTGGACAGAGACCAACCTTTTGCCTTGGGCCATGCAGGCCAACAGACCTTGATTCTCACACTGAGGCAAGAAAATAGAACCTCGAGTGCCCTGACACAACCCACAGTGAATATGGCACTCCAGAAAGAGCAGTCAGCTGCAGCCACTGAGGAGACGCCACAGCGAGGGGGGCTCCAGGCGGCCCAAGGCCATGGCAGCCTCCCACAATGGCAGTTAACCACAAAGCTCCAGGCCACCTAGCATCCCCCCCGTGACCTGCAGCCTCCTTGTCACTGATCAGCCTATGTGGGTTGCCTCTGAGCATATTGTTCCTTTAAAAACCAAAGTGTAAATGTCTCACCCAAAAGGCCAAGCTGTTGCTCTGTCCAGTCTAGACTGTGCCTGTGAGGCTAGCAATGCCACCCTCCCTCTGTAACAGTGCCCTGGGGTATGGGTGGCAACAGGACAACCAGGTGCTTGTGCTGGGAAGCGGGTTTTTTTAAGAGAGCACTGCCTTTTATTTACAGACAGCTTTATCAGTACATGGCCATGTTCCTGCCGACCTTGAGGACTCTTTACCAAACAATCCTGCTGCTGAATATTCACTTCCTTCCACATGAATTTGCTCTTAGGGATTGGAGGAGGGGTGGAAATGCTTTCAACCAGTCTCCATAATCTAGGCTTCTTGTGCACCTGGGGTACCCACAAACAAACCCTGTTCTCACTCTGGTTTTCCTTTTCCTGATTAACATCCCCACAAACCTACTGGATTTAAGACAAACCCAGAAGTCATCATTTCTGCTGCTTCTCTCTATCCGTCTATCTCTAAGTGATTATCAAGCCTTATTACTGATTTTGCTTTCACCGAAGCCCTGCTTCCTTTCCCCTGACTAACTCCTTATTTTCCATTCCATTCATCACTGTCCTGGTTCAGGTCTTAACATCTCTTCCCTGGACGGTTTCAGCCTCCCCCAACTGATCTTTTCTTGTCCAGCCAGGAATCTGTTACTCCCTTAATGAGGGAGCATCAATGAGTTCCTTTTGCCTAATATGTAAAAATCAAAATTCCTTCGTGTGACATTCAGGACCCTTCATGGTTTGAAGGACTTAACTTTCCTCTGTAGCCCTGAGATTTTTCATGGCCCCAGCACTCCTCTGTCCTGTGCTGCCCGCCCCTCAGCCTCCTCCACCATACCCAGGGTTCTCTGAGTCCACCTGCACAGCCATACTGCTGGGCTTGCTGCCGTGTCCCTGCCCCATCCGCCTGTCCATGGCGGCCTTCTCACTCCCCTTCTCTGCCTGGGAGACTCTGACTCATGCTATCAGACCCAGCTCAATTTCTGCTTCTGCTGTGAGGCTGTCTCTCTCTCCTCCCACTAGAAGGAATTGTTCTCTCTTATGTTTCTCTCGTAGCACTTGGTTCATACCTTCATCGTGCCACTAGGATGATACAGCAATTGGTGTGTTCCCCCTCCCCACCCCTCCTGGTCTATCCTGTCCATGTGTGTGTGTGTGTCTGTCTGTATATGAAATATATATCTATTTGTTTTACACACACACACACACACACACACACACACAAAGTATTTCTTTCTTCTCTTTTCATTTTAGAGACAGGGTCTCACCCTGTCGCCCAGGCTGGAGTTCAGTGATGCACTCTCAGCTCACTGCAGCCTCAACCTCCTGGGCTCAAGTAATCCTCCCACCTCAGCCTCCCAAGTATGTGGGACTACAGGTGCATGCCACCATGCCCAACTAATTTTTGTATTTTTCGTAGGTTGGGATGTTGCCCATGTTGTCCAGGCTAGTTTCAAACTCCTGAACTCAAGCAATCTGCCTGCCTCAGCCTCCCAAAGTGTTGGGATTACAGGCACCCAGCCGACAAGTATTTCTTAAGTACATTATGCCAGGCATAATGGCGCCAGGCATAATGGTGAACCGCATAAACACAATCCCCGCCGTCATGGAGCTTCTAGCCTAGCAAATATTTGTCTCCCATTACACTGTGAGTTCCTTGCAGATGAAGATCAGCTGTACTCCTAGTGCCTGTCACCACCCCGGGCACACAGTGGCCACCTCCCCTATGGGTGTTCATTCTGACTCCGATGGGTAGAGATGGGTGCTAGAGTGGAGGATGGGGTATAGGCTGAGTATGAGGTAAGTGGAAAGCCTAGAAAAGCCACATTCTGCCCTCCGTTTTTACAGGACAGCCTACATTTTCCTGTGGTCAGCCCATTCTTAATGGGCGCATCATCTTGGAGCCATGAGGCAAGTTCTGAGACTTGATCTAAATGTGTCATCCAGATAGCACAGAGAAGTTTGTTCCTTTTGACGTGTGTACAGGAAGCTCATGCGGCCGCATGTGGCCGCACGTGTGTGTGTGTGTGTGTGTGTGTGTGTGTGTGCCCATTCTGAGAGGTGGATGGTTTGGGGTCTGGCTGCCCTATCTCGTGCTGCTCTTTGTATCTTTCAGAGATCTGAAACTGGACAATGTCCTGTTGGACCACGAGGGTCACTGTAAACTGGCAGACTTCGGAATGTGCAAGGAGGGGATTTGCAATGGTGTCACCACGGCCACATTCTGTGGCACGCCAGACTATATCGCTCCAGAGGTGAGTGCAGCTGCTTGATGCAGCTCTGAAATCTGAGCTCTCCAGTAACTCTGACCAGAAATGCCACTGGCTGCTTTTATGCACTGCAGCTTTGGAGGCAGCATTGAAAGGTGTCTAGAGCCGACACCTCTAGACTCATTTATGGCTCATTGGGTGAATGATGGCTGAAAATGGCCTAAGTCCCTCTAATAAGAATTTGAGTTAAAAAAGAAAATCATGCTGCTATAAAGACACATGCACACGTATGTTTATTGCGGCATTATTCACAATAGCAAAGACTTGGAACCAACCCAAATGTCCAACAATGATAGACTGGATTAAGAAAATGTGGCACATATACACCATGGAATACTATGCAGCCATGAAAAATGGTGAGTTCATGTCCTTTGTAGGGACATGGATGAAATTGGAAATCATCATTCTCAGTAAACTATCGCAAGAACAAAAAACCAAACACCGCATATTCTCACTCATAGGTGGGAATTGAACGATGAGATCACATGGACACAGGAAGGGGAATATCACACTCTGGGGACTGTGGTGGGGTGGGGGGAGGGGGGAGGGATAGCATTGGGAGATATACCTAATGCTAGATGACGAGTTAGTGGGTGCAGCGCACCAGCATGGCACATGTATACATATGTAACTAACCTGCACAATGTGCGCATGTACCCTAAAACTTAAAGTATAATAAAAAAAAATATATATATATATGTAAACTTTGCAGTTGCTTTGGGCTTTAGCCCTAAATGAAGACAAAGTGTACGCCATTCATGGCTATTTATTTTCCTTTTTGTCTCTACTTAGTGATTTAATTTCAGCGTCATTTAGCAGAACTAAAGAAAGGCTCTTGAATCCTTGAATCCTTCCCGTATGAGTGAGTGAACCCAGTCCCCTTTTTTTTCCAGACTGATATATTTCCAGAACCCTTTCTGTTTGGGATCTGCACGAGCCCATCACAGTGGCCCAATCAGGCCATAAATATTTGCTCACCTAGATGAGAAGGCACCTCTGAGTTGACCACAGGGAAAACAGACCACTCTGTAGAAATGGAATGAAATACGCTTGCTAGCACAGGAGACTTTTTTAAAAAAACTTTGATATTTCCTAATGCATCAATTTCCCTAGTTATGAAGAACACATTTGTTAATCTGATGTATGAACCACCTTCTCACGCTGCCCCCTTTGCACAGATCCTCCAGGAAATGCTGTACGGGCCTGCAGTAGACTGGTGGGCAATGGGCGTGTTGCTCTATGAGATGCTCTGTGGTCACGCGCCTTTTGAGGCAGAGAACGAAGATGACCTCTTTGAGGCCATACTGAATGATGAGGTGGTCTACCCTACCTGGCTCCATGAAGATGCCACAGGGATCCTAAAATCTGTAAGTTTGGCTTACCCAGCTAGCTTCTGATGTATTGCAAACCAGCTTGTTTCATGTGCTGCTTGAGTCTTTTCAGTACTTCCCACCAGTAAACCACTAGCTCTAACTAAAATTTGTATTGTTCTAATCTAAAGAATCAAAGAACCAGAGTTCTGTCAGGCTGTTACCCTCTCTTATGCAATAGACCCTCTCTTATGCAGTAGTTATTTTGGGGTCAATTTCAATAGCCCTTGATAACTTTGTTTGCCAAATAGCAAGTATTTCTAGCACTTCGTAACTTTAGTTGAGGGCAGGTGATGTTTCCCCTTCATACAGTCAGGCCACACCAGAGTTTTGGGTCAAGTAAATGCCATTCCCAGCCTGTTATTATATCAATTGTGTTTCTGTTGGCATCTTCAAGTTGCAGGATGAAGCGGTCGGGTCTTTCTCTTAGGGCTGGGAGAGGAGAAGGAAGGTTTTCCAAACCTCTGCAGATCTATTTTGCCTCCATGTTATTCTTATGAAAGCCGGGTGCCACGCCCAGGCTGCAGGTGCAATGTTGTAATGGATCATGTTGAGAAAGTCTTTTCTGTGTGTGCATTTAAGGCACTGTGCTGGATGCCTTTGAATTGAGGATAAACATGTACTGGACGCCTTTATGTTGAAAATAAAGTACATGTAATTTGGGTCAGTTCTGTAACCACATTAGTTGAGCTCCAAAATCATGTATTTTCACCTACTATATGCAGAGGGGTTGTAAAGGCAAATAAAAGATCAGTTTTTCAAGAAGGGATAAATCAGAACAATCTATATTCTGTTGGATAGTATCTATGGCATAAGAATTACTATCCTTAAGTTATATCCTTTCAGTAATTTGAGACAAAAGCAAAATGTGGGAAATATTTGCTATCTTGTTGAAAGACTTGTTTCTCTTTAGAAACTTCTAGCCCTATAATCAGTGCCATTTCAGGGACATTTTTTATGTGGGTCACTGTGTACTGGGGCTGAAGGCTTGATTGTCCCTGAGAATTCTCTACATCGCTAAAAGAGAAATAATCACAGAAATCCTTCTGAGGCAAATATTACCAAAGTGAATCATAACACATAGCTCAATCCTCAAGCTGAGGTGTCAGTACCCTCCTGAAACTGAGAAAGCACTAATTTCACAGAAATAAAAGCACAGTACTTTGGGATTCTACCAAATATCTCCTATCTAACATGTTTTTGTAAGAACAGTTCATTTGTTATATTAGTAGAAATTTTAGAGGAAACCATAAATATGGCTTTTATAATTTTATGGAAAAAAAAAGTCACAGAGAAGGGCCTGTCTTCGTGGATTTGTGCCATGAAGTTTCTTAACTTCCTGAAGGGAAATGTACTCACCTAGGTTGGCTGCAGCCAATTTTGATAACATAAACCATGATAACACAGCCTCATCGTGCTGCAGACGGAGGCGTACTTTGCATGATCACTTTCCTACTTCCATGGCCCAGCACCTGGCTTTTTGTAAAAAAGCATGCCAGCCTTCTGTGGCCTGCAACAGCCACCTTCATCATACTAATGGTTTTCCATGCTCCACATATTTAGTCCAATTACTGTAGCTGATTTAGTAGTTTTAATATTTAGATGAAGGACCCCACAGTTCATAATTCAAATTAAAATACTGGTTCAAGCCATAAAAAAAATGCCTGTTATCAGCATTGGTGTATAAAGGTCACTAGGCTTGGTACCATGAAGGGTAGGAAATAAAAGTCAGTCTATGCCTCAATAAATTTTTATATTCTCTAATATAAACACTGGATTAGCAATCCAGATCAGTGTTTCTCTGATAGATACCCTATGCCTTTTGAATCTAGGTCTAGTAGAAATCTTAAGAGGCCACATCACCATTTGAGTTGGACATTCCTAATTTTTTGTCTTTACATTTTTAGAAGTCCTCAACCTCATTCTCGTGTTTCAGAGTCCTCTTGAGAGAATGCTTTCCAACTAAATCTGAAACTAGGTATCATCCCCTTAGCCTAGAACCTAGGACAAGTACTAAGCAAGGTTAAGATTCCTATGGAATTTTTAAGACTTGTTTCTTTTTAACCGGGTGAGCTCAGTTACTTCAAGCTATATCTTTTATGTAAATATGGATATTTTTGGTAACGAGCAGATACACTGTCCAGTAATAGCCTCATGGTCTTTCCTCCAAGAGGAAACAGCCTCTGGTGCCTAAGGAGAATCGCATCCAGTGGAGACTGAGTTGTTCTCTCTCCTTGCAGGTTCACTTTTGGGAAGCTACAAGTCCCTTCACTTCTCTTTATTTCAGCTCCTTTCTCATGCCAGCTGCTCCACTGATGGAGGCAGCAGCTGCGATTGTTACATATCATGCGTCTAGCACTCATTTTCCTAAATAACACTCGACGCTCTCTCTGGGTATCTTCCACATAGGAAGGAGCAGGGGCTCTGGGCTCACAGTGCCGGGCCTGCCTCCCAGTCCTGTTACCTTCTGGCTGAGTGGCCTTGGTGAGCCTCTGTGCCTCTCTGAATCTCAGTGTCCTTGCTTGTAAAATAGAGGTAATAAAATCCATACCATAGGGTGATTGTCCAGATTATATGAAATAATATAGGTAAACTTCCCGGGCACATAATAAGCATTCTGTTTTTTCCTCCTTCAAGGCATGTACCTTCAATGTAATTTTCTTAAAAACACTTAAATGTTGTCAGATAAAATTACTAAAAAAAAAAAAATCACTAAGAGGATTTCTGGGATTTTTTTTTTTTTTTTGTGCATTTTACTCTCCATGCCTAAAAACAAGAAGCTTAAATGGTATAGATGAAAACATTCAGCTAGTCTTTGCAGGGGACTGAGACATTTAAATAGAAATGTGATCAAAGAGAAAAAAGAAATGTTCAGAGCACTCAAGACTTGAGGAGACACACTGAGGAGGGAAAGGCATCAGAATTGGGTTGGTTAAGAACCTGCCTCCAGAGCAGAGCTGCCTGGGGGCAGATCTTGGCTCTTTGACTAATAGGCTGTGTGACCTTGGGCAAATGGCATAATTCTTGCATGCCTTAGTTTCCTCTCCATTTCCTTGGGCAAATGGCCTAATTCTTCCATGCCTCAGCAGGTGGGGTGTACAACCCACAGGGCTACTGCGTGGTTGGCATGAGATAACATGTGTGGGTGCCTGAAGCAGTGCTTGGCACAGGGTACGTGCCCAGGAAGTGTCCTGCACTATTACTGCTGAGAGCTGCATGCATGAAATGATTTTTTTACACTCTGCCCTTATCTCTGAAAAAGTATTTGTCATATTAGGAGGAGGGTTCGAGATAGCAAGGTGTGCTATGCCAACCACTCAGGCTGCTTTCTGGCTCTAATTGCAACTTGATTTAATTAGGCCAATATAGTTATTTTACTACCAGAAGAAAACTTAGAGATTGTCCCTTCCAACCCCCTCGTTTTATAGATGAGGAAACCATGAGGTACTGAGAAATTGTGACTCATCAAAGGCCATTTAACACATTACTTAAATCAATTGGGGCCTTTGTGCACTGCTGATGAGGATGTAAAATGGTGTGGATAATGGTATGGTGGGAGGTTCTTCAGAAAATTAAGCAGAATTACCATATGATCTAGCACTTCTACTTCTGGATATTTACCCAAAAGAATTGAAAGTGGGAACTCTAATAGATATTTGTACACCCATGTCCATAGCAGCATTACGTACAATAGCCCGAAGGTGGAAGCAACCCATGTGTCCATCAACAGATGAATAGATAAGTAAGATGTGGTACGTGCACTCTGAACAAGCATTCATTTGGCTGCACAGGGCCAGATCAAGGTATACTGTGTTCTTTACCAATATTGACTTGACGCCTTTTTCCAGAATTTTGTGTCCACCTAAGATCAGGCTTTCTGGGAGCTTGGTGACTTCAAGAGTTCCTCATGTGAATAGTTGAATCCATTGGATGGTGTTTTGCATAGTTCTAAAAACAGTAGGGAAATCATGAGTGCTAAGTTTTGAACTGTAATTATTTGTCTTTGCCCTTAATTTTATAGAGCTTTGTGATCATTAGAGGCATAAACACAGAATTGTAGAGCTGGAAATAGTTTAAAAATATTTTGTCCACATTTCCTCATCTGTAGATGAGGAAACGGGCCCAGAGAGATGAAGGGACTTTACATGTTAGAATGGAAAGAACACACCCTAGACCTCATGTGACTTCTGCCACTGATTTTCAGTCTATAAAGGTGTGATAATAACACCTATAGTGCCCGCTTCAAATAAGGCAGTATACATGAAAGTGTTTTCCAAGTGGAATGCACGATACAAGAGTAAGTGATTAGTATTGCTAACTTGTGAGTAGTAATTTCACAACACACTTAGAGATGTCATTATCCTCATCTTCTCCTTGAACAGTTCAGCAACATCATCAAGGTTATTAAGTGCTTAATTTTACACAAGGCTGTGGTAGGCTTTTATTCCTAAGGAAATTGTATTTTTGTTTTTCCAGGAGCTTTTAAATCTTGACCAAAGACATATAGGTGGGGTGTAAATAGCCAAATAGATATTGATCTGTTTATTTATATAATAGGCTTATATCAATGCATATGTGCATAGCAGGCATGGGTTCTGCAATACTCAGGTTCTGTGCGAGGTGCCAGGAATTCAGTGATGAGTGAGGCAAACATGATCCTGCTCTTGTGGAATTTACAGTCCAGTTGGGGTGGGGAGGGAGAAAGAAATTTTAAAGAGAAATTAAACATTAACTATATACTTACAATTTAATGAGAAAAAAATAAAATCCAAGGTTCTTTGAAAGCATTTATTTAACAGGCAGATCTAACATGACCTGGGCCACCAAAGGAGGCCATCTGGAGGAGATGACATTTAATAAAGGCTGAAGAGAAATGAGGCTTGAAAGTGTGCAGAGGTCTTGAGAAAGGAGCAGTCCATTTGAGTAGCTCAATGGCAGGCGGGTTGGAGTGTGATGAGCAAAGGGGTGGGGCAGTGAGAGCTTCAGGTGAGGAGGCTGAGGGAACAGTGAGAGCCCAAAGGACATCCTAGGTCACGCGAAGGAGTCTACACTTTATCTGAAGTGCCAACGTAAGTCTTTGAAGAATTCCAAGCAAGCATGAGTGATGCAATCACTACTTCATGTGTAAAAGATCACCCTGGCTATTGTATAAGGAGTGGACCAACAGACTGGAGTATTTGCTGATTAAGTGACTTCTAGGATTTCTTTCAAATTAATCCAGGAGTTGTGGGGAGAAACAGATGAAACAATATTGGGCATGTGTCAGTAACCATCAAGGCTGAGTGATGAGTACATGAGGGTCTGTGTTACTGTCGTCTAAAATTTCCACATGGAAAAGTTGTTAAAACCACCATATAAATGAATATCTTTTATAAACAAGCTCAGCGTGTGTGTATGAAGAAACATTTCTAGCCTGTATAGAAAAAGTGATCTCCATCTTCACAAATGAAGGGAAATGGTTTACAATACAAATATACAGAAAGAGCTAATGATGTGAGCCACATACAAGCTCCCCTGTGGATCCTGGCCACATCTCTTAAATCCAGTCTCGGGTTCCTGGCCTGGGAGTCTATGTCACCCTCATGATTTTTTGCCACAGACAAAATTAACCAGTGGTTTTAGCACAACTCATTTCTTCAGCATACCTGAAGAGTATCTATGCCTTCTCAAGAAGTGTCCTTCAACCTCCAGGGTAGTAATGAAGGGTACCCCAAAGAAGCATTTTTAACAGAAAAGAGACCAGAGAAGGAGAGAATCCTCACTGTTGGACTTTGCCCCATGCTGCCTCCTTGGGACCCTGGGAGATCCTTTCCCGGCCTGCTGGATCTGCCCTTTCCCCCTGAGAGGCAGGAAGAGCTGAGATCTCCAAGCCAGACCTTCACAGTGCCTCTCTCTACAGTCTTAGTGTGGGAGGGGCATCTTTCCATGGCTTCCTGAGATGGAGATTTATTTAAGAAGGAAAGCTTGTTGAATTCCCTCTTACCTTTTTAAATGAAAGGTATTATTATTATTCTATATCTGGGGAAACTGGTCAGACACCTGTTTATGTTACATGCCATAGAGTTACAGATGTTAAAGACCTCAGGGCTTCATCTGGCGTGATGTCAGCGAGGGCCTACATTCAGGGTTGGGGAGGGTGTGTACTGTCCAGCATTCCTCTAAAAGTGTGTGACTGGCAAGGCAGGCTCCAGCATCTTCTGACCACTAATCTAATATTACTGTCCCCACAGGCCCTCCCTGTCATCACCTTTACCACTGCCCTCTCCACCCGCAACACCCCCGAGGTTGTGGACTTGTGAGTTCTTTGTGTATAGCTGTTCAAACATTTCCTATAGACGTGGGTAGTGGACAAAGGACTTGCTTGTGAGAACTTTTCCCATGGAGTGCAGAATCAGTGGGTGCGGGGGTAGCTTGAGCACACTTAGTTTTTAGCCCAGGATTTCTACTTGAAAAGAATTCCCCAAATCATTAACCAGTAATCGCACATCTAAAAGTAACTTTATATGCACCCAAATAGGCACACTGGGAAGACTATTTTTCTTGCTTCCCCTTCTGTCTTTCTCATCTTTGCTTCAAATGTTTCTGCTCAATACTTAACGTGTGCTTGCCTCAAAAGCAGCCTGACCTGCGACTCGCAGAGAATGGAGTATTCACACTGGCAGGATCCTCAGAAATTAACACAAAAAAGGCATATGACGATGACACACACATTTGTGTAAAGAAAAAATAAAAGGCATTCCAGCTGTTATTTCTTAATTTTTTTTAACTTGGTTTGGGAATATATACTACCTGTTTTCTGGTGTCAACATGCCATCAGGTTTCTTAGGCTGACTAAATCATCCCAAAATGCTGATAATGATGAGACAAAAGAAAGTCTATCATTTTTTTAGGGCTTCTGAGGTTCCACTGAGTTTTGCCCTCATCTAGGTCCAGAAGGGCTTAGGGAAGTCCCAGGCGAGTCAGCAGAGCTCAGGAAGCTGAAGCCTTGTCTCAGAGGTTAGTGCTCCTTTGCTGAATCATCTCCAGCAAGAAATCACGTGACTCAGGGTCTACTCAGGTGAAGTCGGCACCCTTGTCTTTGAGCTCACACAGGTGGCTGAGCTAAATAAGTGCTGAAAGGAGCTGGGTGCACTCTCCTGAGTCACCTTTGTTGACTCTGGAAGCACTGTAAACTTGGCATCAGAAGGAGATTATAAAGTGCTTTTGTTCCTAAGCTTTATAAAGTGTGTGTGTATGCATGTGGGTTTCTCTGTCATCCAGCCTCTCAGATTTCATCATCCGAGCATTGTCTGCAGGAATCCTGTTTGCCTGTACGCACAAAGGAGGGAGAACCACAGTTAATTCGGGGATCCTCTTTTAGCCCTGAGTGTGTCCCACATCTGTCACCAGGCAGTGAATTCCAGGAGCATTGACTGTCTTCCTGTTCATTTCCCTACTCCCCTCCTGGGAGAGGCTGGAATGTTCAAGGAAGCCAGCAAAGGTGGTCAGCCAGGAGAAGGCTGGGGAAGAGGAGGGAAAAATGGGACCCGAGTAACGCAGAGGATCCAACCCCAGATCATTAGGGCTGGTTTTTCAAACACTGTTAGGGGAAATCCAAAGAAAGTTATCAAAAGATCCTTGAGTAAGAGGAGTGGTTAACATGCAACCTGGCAGACTGTTGCCAGGACTGGAATACCTGTCTGAGGAAAGGAAGGTGCCCCACAGGCCTCTTACCAAAACCCCTAGTGAGGTTAACACCCTTCAGAAAAGGAACCGTTTGCTCACAGATCAAGGCCAGTGTCTGCAGAAAACAGAAAAACACTGCTCTTCCCAGAGATTTTGTATTTGGGTCTTTTTAAGTCATATAATTTTACTAAAGTTCTTGATCTCTACTTCTTTTTCCCTCATTAAATTGTAAGTTTCCTAAGGTTGGAAGTCCTTACATTTTGATAGCAGTGTAAAGGATTTTTTAAAATGTATTTTTAATAGAGTACTCATGCTGCATGTCTCATTTATCTCCATCCCTGCCAGGAAGATAAAGATGTCAAAGCTTTTGTAAAATGACCACGGAAACTTTTCCTGTGTGGAGATTTGCTAACCGGTGTCTGTGGGTCAGAAAAGCTTTTTGTTTCGAGTTAGAAAAACTCTTGTCAACAAAAGTATTTGACTTTGTTGTTTTTTGTTTGTTTGTCCTTGCCAACTATCAAAGGTCAGTAATTTGGGGCAGTTGATCATTAGATTTGGTTTGGATGCCAAAGATAATGCGCATCCAGGATAAAGAAGGGTACTGGCCTTGATTTCATCAGAGGAGGATAAAGGACATTGTATAGTCCCCACTAGAGAATCTTTGTTCAGCACTCACTTCTCTTCAGTAGCTACATTTGGGGAATCATACCTGGAAAAAAGTAGTTCGTATAGCTTGGGCATGTAGGGTAGCAGCAGCTTTTTCTTAACACTTGGAAGTCATTGGAGAGCATTGAAATCCGCCCCATCAGTCAGAGCTGCTTGAGACTGGTTTGTCAGGAATAGAAGCATGTTGTCTAACAACGGGCATTGGCACAACTGCATGACCTTGGGTTTCCATCTCCGAGACTTGCCTCTAACCTTTACCTACGGTTAATCAACATTGTCCCATGACCAGAAAGAAGATACAAGGAAGCAATAATGATTATAAAACCCAGGAAAGGCAGGGTGTTGGGAGCCTTGGAAAGGAATTGAGTATGTGCTTATGAAGGGCTGCTGGATTCCAGTCACAGACAGCATGGAAAACACAGCCAGCAAACCCACCACGGATTTGAGCACTGCCCCTGCCCGCTAGAGGAACAGTATAGGGCATTTAGTGTACTGAGTTTCATCGAGAGAAAATAAAGTACACTGTGTAGTGTGTCTCTGGAGATATCGCACAGAATATTCTGATGCTGGTCAGTTACAACCTGCCAGGTAAGGCACTGACCCACCGGCATTCTCAAATATACCCACATGCCCACTTCCTCCATCACTGGCTCAGGGAGATCAGCTTGAGCAAGTTTATTTCACTTTATTTTTAATAAAGAAAAGCCCATTTCAGACTCAAGGAAAACAAAGCATCTGTAGCTGAGGGAAGGACAATCTTCAAAATGCCAGCTTTTTTTTTTTCCTCCCAGAGTTTTTAGTGATAAATGCAAAAATAGAAGAAAGAAAAGAGTCCCTTGATATGGGCACAGACTGTGGAGGCCACTGGTGTGGCCACCCACCCACCTGACGCCGGACAGGCCAGTCCGGCTCTGCTTCACGTGTTTTCAATGACACAATGCTGTTCCTGCCAGGGAGCACTCTCATCACTTAATGGTACTGAGTATTACAACCACATTACGTGTTTTAGTTTTTCTTATGATGTATTTAGATATGCTGCCTTTAACTTCCACTCCCTGAACTTATTTCTCCCTGAAATTATTTCTCATCTAATCCCTCTTCTGGCCGACAGCTCTTTGAGTATTTGAAAATTTTAAGTGTCCTTCTATCTTTTCCAGCAAAAAGACCCTCAGTAGTTTGAAATAAAACCAGGTGTCAGGCTGAAGGATGCCTCGGATTTTTTCCAGCCCTATTACTTTTCTTTCCCTTCACTTACCACCTGCACTGTATGTACTTCTCAGCCCTTCTCCTTCCATAGAATCAGAGGAAAAAGAATGTCACATGAGCCAGCAAAGAAGTACAACACAAGGAAACACACAGAGTGCGTGAATTCTCATCAGATGAAGTCCTGAGTGTCATTTATTAGGTGAAAGTAAAGTAAACTGTGTAATGATTCTCCTCACCTGTCGGTCCAAGTATCTTAACCCAGAATCCAAATAAGAAGATTGGTAGCCTCAAGGGGAAGTCTAGCGTAGGGACTGAGAGCAAAGGCCTGAGTTCAAATCCTGACTGTAGCACTCCCAAACTGTGTGACAGGTTACAGATGGGTCTGTTTCTCAGTTTCCTAATCTTTAAATTAGGAATAATAACCACAGTTGCTTTAAGGATTATATCCAATGAATTTGGAACACTTAATGCCTATGCAACAAAGGAGTATGCAGCATACATATATGGTAGTAATGGCTACCACTTCTTAAGCTGTAACTTGTATCAAACGGTATCATTCTCTACTCTCTCCACTCCTGCAGCTTCCCCCTTCTCAAACCAGTCTGGATACCTGGCAGGGTGGTCCATTGCCATGAGTGTGCAGGTAACTAGTTCCAGCCCTCCCCAGCAAATTCCATCCAGATCCAATCTTAGCAGGATAGAGCACCTCTCCTTCTCTTGGCTCGTCCAGTATTCCATAGCAGCACCATTCGGTATAAGAACCTAGACTTGGGAAGATTACAGTTTGTTTCCCCAGAGAGATTCAGGAAGTCTGTTGTCTGTCCTTTCCACCCTACCAAGCCCCATCCCACCCCCAGTGGACTGTCATCAGCCCCATCTTGCATTTAAATGTCTGTCACTGCCTTCTCCTATGGAAAAGTGACTTATCAATGCCAGGTCCAAGCCTGGTGTCTCTCCCATACTGTGCAGCCACATCCCTGCATGACCACTGCCCTGAGCTGGAGGGTGCTGCTAGCACGGGGTGTCTCCAGATCTCCCCAACAGCTGGCAGGAGGGGTATAAAAGGAGAAGGTTGGTCTTCATAACTGGGTCAGAATCTGCGTGTGCCAGCAGCATCCTTCAGACAGACACGCGCCTGCAACACGCATGCGTGGTGTGCTTCTCGTCAGCCCCAGGTGGCCATTAGGGTCTATGGTCATGGCGAGGTTGGGCGTCATGGCTGTGAACCGCACTCTATTCTGTGTCCTGTGCTCTTTCTCTGCCCTTTCTCCCCAGGACCCTCTCTAGAGCCATTAAATGCCTTTTCCCCATTTAGGATCATCGCTCTGGAATATTGGCAGGAAGGTTCTGTGGCATAGTTTCCTTGCCTTCTAACTTGCCAGCATTAGCTGCTAACTCTCTCTCTGCCCTTTGTTTAAGGTCTGAAATTGAATGAATGGAGAAGGTCATTTTGTTTGCCCAACAGCCACATCCAACCATTAGGCAGAAAATACAGTGTTCTCTGGCTCCTGGAAGAAAATCTTATTAGACTAATTGCTTTATTTATATAACTTGTCCTCTTCCTATGAAATCAGACAGATTTTGAAAGAGGAAAAAAATACTTGTGGCCATTACTTATATTTTAGTGAGTAAAGTACATTTGGGCCCAGTTATTTCAAGACTCATAATGACACAGCGTTAAACTCTATAATCTGGAACATCCAACAACTCAAAACTGAAGCTGCCTCCTGTGTGCCCACAAGATGTGATAAGCACCATACCTGACACCAGATTTGCAAAGAAGCTGCTCCACTGCACCCATCTTGCTGCATTTAGTTTCTCTGTCCTATTGTTAATGCAGATATAGTTGCACATTAAAACCTATTGTTTGTAGGCCGGGCGTGGTGGCTCACACCTGTAATCCCAGCACTTTGGGAGGCCGAGGCAGGCGGATCACTTGAGGTCAGGAGTTCAAAACCAGGCTGGCCAACATGGTGAAACCCCGTCTCTACTAAAAATACAAAAATTAGTCGGGCGTGGTGGTGCACACCTGTAATCCCAGCTACTCGGGAGGCTGAGGAAGGAGAATTGCTTGAACCTGGGAGGGGGAGGTTGCAGTGAGCCAAAATTGTGCACCATTGCACTCCAGCCTAGACAGCAAGAGCGAGACTCCATATCAAAAAAAAACAAAACAAACAAAAAACTATTGTTTGTATTCTCGTTTTAAGATTGTCTTAGAAAAGGTTTTCTGTCAGGAAAAAAAAAAAAAAAGTTTTCCAAATAGGGTTTGGTGGTATGTGCCTATAATCCCAGCTACTCAGGAGGCTGAGGCAGGAGGATCACTTGAGCTTAAGAGTTTGAGACCAGCCTGAACAACATAGGAAGATCTTATCTCAGAAATTAAAAAAAAGCAAGAAAAAGGAACATTATTTTCCAAAGACCATTCCTCCCACTGCACTACTGGAGCCTAGGACAGTGAAGGCAGAAAGAGATCTTGTTCTCTCTTACCTGGCTGTAGAGGAACAGGGAGAGCCAGATGAGCCTCAGGGTCAAGGCTGACCTCAGAGTGTAGTCTCTCAGCAGCTTTCTATCTGTGCCCCTGCCTTTTAGTAGAACAGGATGGACTTACAAGTTTGGCATTTGGGTCCCATTAGGGACATAAGCAAATAATGGAAGTATTCTGCAAAAGAATTATGCTGCCACTGTTCACAGCGGTGGGAACAGAGTGTTTAGGGACAGTCTATTCGAGCCTAGGACGGCAACAAGATGTTCACTAATACTATCATTTCTTGAGGGCTTTCTTTATGCCAGGCGCTTTACGTTAATTCTCTCATTGACTCATCATAACTTTTTAAAATATAGGAAAATCTTCATGTTAGAGTTGAGAAATCTAAGGCTCAGAGAAGTTAAGAAATTTGTCCACAGTCACACAGTAACTCAGTGGTGAAAGAATGATACAAACACAAGCAGTGACACTGCAGAGCCTGACCAGCCCTCCATGTCAGAGAAGCTGTTAGTTCTTTCAGCCTTCCCTGGCTTGCAGGAGGCCTCCCAGGACATTCCTATACAAACTTGGCCCAAATCCTTTACATGTCCCCTTAGAACTAGCGTCAGGAGGGAGCATGCCTGCTTGCTTTCCCCTGCAGCCACACCTCCTCTGTAGTCTGGGAAAAAAACTGTTAAGTGTCTCATTCTCGGGGCCAGGTGTGCCTCTGATTCCTTGAGTATCCTCTAGTTCAGTTCCACTGTAATGAGGGCCACAGCAGGAAGGGGAACATAAAATGAGTCCCTGAGTTCTTGACCCTTCTCTTTCCCCTGCTCTCCAGTCAGTTTGAGACTTACACTTGGGGTAGAATCCAGATTTTCCACCCTGGTCCCCTCACTCACTCTGTGCAGCTTATAAAGTGCTTTTCTTGGCCCTAGAAAACATTCTGCTTCCTTTAGTAAATGTGTGCAGAATATTTCATGAAGTCACATTATTTTCCTCTTTGGCCGACTTTCCCTCTTGGATCACAGTCAGGGAGAAAGTCAGCTGAGGTGAGGCAACTTTTCAGTGTGACCTTAAATGTGGATGAAAGTGATGGCCCCGAGGAGCACAATTGTTAACTTACTGGCATTTGGGTCCCATTAGGGACATAAGCAAATAATGAAAGTTTTCTGCAAAAGGATTATGCTGTCACCATTCACAGCAGTAGGAACAGAGAGTTTAGGGAAAGGCCTGTGCCCAGCCTAGGATGGCAAGCTATCCACCTCCAACTCCACACCATCTGCACCAACGTGAACTGTGAAAGATTTCAGGCCTGGGACTAATGTTAAATGTTCCCTTAACTCCTCATCTCCACATCACTGGACGGGGGTAGTGGTAGAAGGGCCACCCCACCACCACCACAACACACAAAGCTTCTACCCCCTTAGTATCACCCCGGACCCTCCTTCTCCCGGTCCTGGTTTCTGTTTCATGGTATTCATCCTCCTCTGGCCTCTTCATGGCATCCTCCAGCTGCCACTCTGGCTGCTTCTCACCCTACACCAGGGGTCAGGAGCCATGAAAGTCCGTGAGTGATACCAGCCAGGTGGGAGGTGATAGGGAGTGGTGGGGCATGTGACTGACTGGGCATCTGGTGCCCCATGAAAAGCAGAAGCCCCTGCTCAACTCCAGGCCGTTTCTATGAGAGGAGTGCAGGCCCAGTGTTCCCGAGTATCTCATTTTCCACGAGAAGTTGGAAAACCTGACTTTTCATGTGATGTGACATTTCCTAGCGTTTAAATATTTGAGAAGTAATTAAAATTATTTCAAAACACACTAGGTAGGCCAAATAAAATGTGTCTGAGACCTAGGGCTGGTATCAGTTCTAGTCTGTCTCTGTCACTTTCCACAATCTAACCTGCCCTCCCAGCTTCAGTGGTTACTCAAATTTCAATGTCTCTGAGCGTTAGATGGCCAGCCCTGGCCTGCACCCCAGATTTACCCTAGAATTCATCTGCATGTGGGTGCCCACACACCTCCAATGCAAAGCGGAGCCCATCAGCCTCCCAGATTTGGCAGACTGTAGGATCTCAGTAAGTGTGAGCTATTTTTGTCTTTGTTCCACTAACAAAAATACTACTACTACTAACACTGCTACTAATACTCATGCTACAAAGAATAATCTCTTGCCCCTCTTTTGTTCCATTTCTGTTACTCAACACCACTGCCCCATCAGGCAGCCAGGGAGGACCCTGTGATCTTGGACTCTTCACTCCCATTCCCGGCAGTTAGTGGATTGTGTTTATTCTTCCACGGCCCTCTAGAATGTGCTTCCAACTCTTCCTTCCAATTAACTAGAAACTCTCCTAGTTGCTGAACTTGTCATGTGTTCTCAGCTATTGTCTCAGCCTCTAACTGCTCACCACCAGGCGCTACCTCTGCATTTAAGATTTATTCATCACGCTGTGGCTAGTGTCATCCCCTAAATTGCCGTGCAGCTCTCATCACTCACCTCGGATGGATCCCACCGGCTGCCCCCGCAGTTCCTCAGCCATCCCTGCATGCCAGCTGTACCAGGCACTTGTATGCCTCTGCATTTGTGCTGGCTGTGTCCTCAGGCGCATTTTCTTCCTTCATGCCTACTATGTTAATTCTGTTCGTCCTCATCTCTGGTCAAATGCCACCTCTTCCACGAGGCTGTCACTTGCCTTCCCACCACCAGCCCCAGTGTTATTTGCCCCGTGCCTCTTCCAAGCTCTCACAGCACTTGATCTAAGTCTCTTTTCATTTCATCCGGCTGTGTATTATGAAGTTTGCTTGATTCTTCCCCCTTCTCTTGATTAGCTCCTGGATGAAGAGACACTGTCTTTGTCATCTGCGTATCCCCAAGAAACCCCTAGTGTGCTGCCTTACATGTAGTAGACACCTTGAAAACCTTTGTCAATTGAATCAAAGTTTGTTTGTGTGTGTGTGTGTTTTGTTTTTTCTTTTGGTTTGTTTTTTTTGTAAGTTGAGGATGGCTGCATCTAAAGGGCTCAGGCCAAGGTATTAAAAACAAAACTGCTTGGTTATTCAAAAGGATTTATCAGAACCCCAAGAGGCTAAGTATCAAGCTAGTGAAAGGGTTATTCTGCCTGTCCCCAATTCCAAGGGTGCAGTTTTTAGAGGACGGACGGTCGTGTTTGGTCTACTTGTCGTCAGGCAAGGCCTCTTCCACAGTGCCCCATGGAAGCTTGGGTTCAGTGCCAGGGGCAGGGAGGAATGGGCAAGCCTCTTGGACACTGGGGCTTCAGCCACCCTGGCATATAGAGTCCTGCACTGTTTGTCTTGCCCAGAAGAACAGGCTGTACCCACCCATTCACAAGATGTCCTCTCTCACATCATTGGCAGGCCTGGGAATTTCCCACAGGCCATCTGGGTGTGTTCTGCCGTCCTGTCTCCCAAGTTTTTTGCAGCATTGTTTCTTGTTAATTAGCTCTTAGAATAGCAACTGCTCTTCCATCAGGAATTGTATCCCGTTGACTTTCCTAAGGCAAGAATCTACTCATTTCTTTTTTGTAAGCATTTTCTCCCTTCCTGCCTGCATTGCACAGGCTTACTTAGTGAGAGCCCAAGCAGTGTGAACTAACTCCTAGCTCTTACAGAACTGAGTTACTTATAATATGCATCTCCTGAATCCTGGGTGACCACTGTAAGTGCCTGAAGTGGCAGCTGCTCTGACTGGGCCTGTGCAGCTCTGAATGCTGCATTTACTTTTGGGTCCTGCCTCCAACCCAGAACCACCTGTGGCCTTTAATTCCTGTTACTAGGAGAGAGGAGAAGCGATTAAACCCTGTCAGTATATTCATTTATTAGCTGCCCTTTGAAGCTTTTTTGAAAGCATTTTACAAGGTATATCCCGTCAGGTTGCTTAGGAACTTTTGCAGCCTCCTTCTTCAACATTATCATTTTCATTTGAATCAACACTGGCAGCTTGACACCTCTGGACACCTGGCATGGCAGTGGGAGGTACCTCCAAACACTGTCTTTCCGTGTCTGCACCTTCAACAAGATTTTCTCTGTAAATTCAGCTCCAAAACAATTTTTATAAACACAGCATTACTTTTGTGTTGTTCACAAATCAGATTTGGAAAGAGGTGCTTGGGGACTGTCATGAGTCTATTTAAAGATAACCTGATTTAAATAAAAACAAAAACAAAACTTTTTATCCAAGGCAATTTTCTTTCAATATGGGAAATTAAATTAGCTTCAGTGTCTTTGAAATTGAGAACCACACTCCGGCCATGAAAAGTGAATTATCCTGTACTAATCCTTGCTCAGGAAGTGATCAAAACACCTTTCCTGGCTATTTTGTGAAAGCAGATTTAGCCCAGCATATTTTGATAGGAGCCCAGCACTAAGGAAGTTTCCCAACTGATGGAAATACAGAGAATCTCTATGCACACATCGCTTAGCTGTGTGGCAGCGCTCGTTTTAGTTTTTGGTCTATGGAGCAATGGAATCTCAGTCATTGAACCTACTTCGAAACAGCAGTGGTGGGGGGAACATCTTGAAGAAAAGCCTTTCATCTAGAGCTATGATATCTTCGCTGCATAAAGAAAAGTGGCCAACTTTGTTTTTTCTAGAGCCAGGACACAGACCTTTTCAGTATGTCACCTTTGCTGCTTCTTCACACAGATCTTCAAAAATAACGACTCTCTCTCCTCTCTGTGGTCTCGTCAGAGAGCAGGAATCCTGGCCAGCTGGTCAGGTCACTCAGAAAAATGGCACAGCTGTTTCTGAAAGTAGCCCCATTCATAAGATGTCTGCTGCCCACAACTGCAGTGTTGGGGAAAGGCACACTGTTATAAAGAGCTTCTTTTCTTTAAAGAGGAAAGAAAAATACATGGTGTTTACAGAAAAGAAAACTGGACCCTCCTGCTTTCTTTTAGTGGCCATGTCTGAAATGGAAGTGGGAAAAGCCATAAATCCACACAGGCAATCGCGCCTTTAAGGCATGATTCATACTGACTGTGCTGCCTGTGATGGAAAACCCAGCTAGTTAAGCAAGACCTGCCAGAAAGTCTCGCACAGCTCCTCTGCCATGGCTGATGCCTGCTGTCTTGTGACGTGCTGGTTGTATGTGAATGAATGATTGACACTTTCTCTCTCTCTCACTCAGTTCATGACCAAGAACCCCACCATGCGCTTGGGCAGCCTGACTCAGGGAGGCGAGCACGCCATCTTGAGACATCCTTTTTTTAAGGAAATCGACTGGGCCCAGCTGAACCATCGCCAAATAGAACCGCCTTTCAGACCCAGAATCGTAAGTGTCCCAGGCTGTCACAGAGACATTCCTTTCTTCAGATGTCACAGCATTCCACCAAAGTCCGTAGAAGAGCTGGATGGCCCCTGTGGGTGACAGACCAGAAATTCAGCTGGATACTGCACAGGGCAGCCTCCCCTGGGGGGAATCTGGGCTCCTTGTCCATGGGACAACAATGTCTTCATGTGCCCACATTAATTCTTACCAAGTTTCACCCCTCGTTTACCCAATCTCCAACTTCTCTCAACCTAAATTAAAATCTTGTAGGGTATAAGAGGCCTGAAACTTTCCAGGTTTCCCCAAAAGAGTTTGGCTAATTGAGAAAGTCATTGTTCTGGCCAATTTCCTCATGCTCCTTGGGGCACTTTTTGTGCCTTTTCTAAGCCCCTGAGAAAGCAGAGTGGGTAGGAGATGTTGCTCACTTCACTGAGCCTGGCCTCTTGGCTTGGAGAGCCTGGGTCTGTAATAGCTGCTGCAGTGCAGAGCCCAGGCCAGGCCAGGCTTCTTTGACCAAAGAAATACTGGGATCTCCAGGGGCTCCTCTCCAAGCTCTGCAGCTGAGGCTGGTGGCCTTCCTGAGCGTGGTCCCGCTTGTGGTCTGAGAGCTGAGCTCGTGCTCATCTGTGGGTCAAGAGCTCCACAGGAGGAAGGCAGAGAAGCAAGGCTAGCGATAGATCAAGAGTGATGGGGAGACCTGGCGTGGTGGCTCATGCCTATAATCCCAGCACTTTGGGAGGCCGAGGCAGATGGATCACTTGAGGTCAGGAGTTTGAGACTAGCCTGGCCAACATGGCAAAACCCCATCTCTACTAAAAATACAAAAAAAAAAAGCCTGGTGTGGTGATGCACACCTCTAATCCCTGCTACTCAGGAGGCTGAAGTAGAAGGATTGCTTGAACCTAGGAGGTGGAGATTGCAGTGAGCCGAGATTGCGTCATGCGCTCCAGCCTGGGCAACTGAGTTAGACTTTGTCTCAAAAAAAAAAAAAAAAAAGTGATAGAGAAATATCATTGATTAAGGTAAGAGCAGTGAGATGTGTGATACTCACTTAGAAATGATCTTTGCAGCGTTTGTTTATACAGATATAAAATACTCAACTTTTAAAAACATACAGTGCACTTAATCACTAACAGCCTACTAGGCTGTTGGACACCAGGCACCCAGAGGTAAAGCCGTTCCTTCAATGGTCAGCCCCCTGCCAGCGCCCCTGGGATTAGGGAGAGCATGGCCTTCAGAGGCTGGAGCCTGTAGTCCTAACTGCACAGCTGGTCCAGCAGGGCGTAACGCATCTACCTAGAGAGTAAAATGACCAACAGTTGTTCCCTAAGCTCAGCACTTGCAAGAAATCTTTTGGGAAGATCTCTTCAAATGTCTAGAACTCTGCGCAAACAATAGGTAGGACAAGTGTGAACCTACCCAACCTCTGTTGACAAATACAGCTGCACACCCCTCAGCGAGGCCTGCTGTGAAATGCCACCTTGGTGAAATGAGAATAAAGGGTGAGTGAGCCAGCTGCTTTTGGATGACCAAATTAATTCTTAGCCTCCCATTAAGACAGGCCTGCTCAGCAAGATTTTCATGGGATTAGTGAATTGGTGGTTGCCAAATGCCATAATAATGCACCATGCAGTAGACTTGCTGTAAAGCACAGTTTCATCATAACAATAACTGTAAATAATGCTACTGAACAAGCTACAGAGCACTCCTCTGAACTCACTGGAATGGGCTATATCCCATGCAAGATGAGTAAGCCTCAAGCGCAAAAATCTCACCCTTGTTTCCCTTTTTTTTTTGGCAGAAATCCCGAGAAGATGTCAGTAATTTTGACCCTGACTTCATAAAGGAAGAGCCAGTTTTAACTCCAATTGATGAGGGACATCTTCCAATGATTAACCAGGATGAGTTTAGAAACTTTTCCTATGTGTCTCCAGAATTGCAACCATAGCCTTATGGGGAGTGAGAGAGAGGGCACGAGAACCCAAAGGGAATAGAGATTCTCCAGGAATTTCCTCTATGGGACCTTCCCAGCATCAGCCTTAGAACAAGAACCTTACCTTCAAGGAGCAAGTGAAGAACTCTGTGAAGGATGGAACTTTCAGATATCAACTATTTAGAGTCCAGAGGGAGCCATGGCACTAGAAATAGTTGATAATGAAATGAGATTTTATGAAGTATACCGCTCCACCTATGAGCGTCTGTCTCTGTGGGCTTGGGATGTTAACAGGAGCCAAAAGGAGGGAAAGTGTGAAGAATAAAGTAGATCTGAGAAATTCTGAGCCAATCAGGCTTCTTAATTCAAGAGACAAACCAAGACGTTCTGTCAACTGTGCTGTGCTCTTCTTTAAGCCAATGAACCCCAATTCCTGGCAGTCTACAAGAAGTCTCTTAATGCTAATGAAGAATTTAAAGGTCTTTTTAAGGAAATGAAGGGCTTTCCAAATAGAATGATTTACTCTGAAGAAACAAACAATGGTATCTCTGAAACTCACAACCTAAAGCCCAATCTTGAAAATATGTTGTGCACCAAGACGACTGCTTCAGCTTCTTCTCTTATCCTTACTTTCTTTAATAGATATTTATTAAACTGTCCAGTGAAAAGGTGCCACAATGCCCAGTATTGTAAACAACAGGTTTGCATTCATGAAGCTTTCATTCATTCTGGAGTCTACTAATTTACCTGAATGGTGTTTGCATTCTGTGAAATGCCTCTCCACGTTGCATATGTCACACTTTTGTCTGCACATAACTCTTTTTTCACAAGAAGGGTCACTGCCACAACAGCACAGTCAGCGGGTGAATTACAGGTGCCTGCTGCCTGCCTACCTGGGTAATCTGATCTTGTCTGTATCGCCGTGTGCTCATCACTGAAGAATTGCAGGCCACTCATGTCAGTGACCAGATTTGTGGCTTATAAACATTAGCAGTTTATTTATGTTTTAAGATGCAAAGATGTGTGTTTGATATTCACTTTAATAATTAGAAATGGATCTTGTAAACAGGGCATATATCAAAGATGACCTTATAATATGTACCCGAATATACAGTTCAAGAATTTTGTCTGACTGGAAATAAATGCATTTTGTAGCAAAAGGAAGTGTTTTGACTAGAATGATTTGTCTCCTTCCCACTAAGACAGTAGATTTCCAATCAAAATAAAACCTTGAGCAGAATGGGTAGAACTCAACTCACAGAAAATTCCTGAGAGGAGAGGTTGATGTAAGTTCTTCTGTGATTCTCTGAAGTAGATGTGGCCTGTCTCTTACTGACCAAAACTTCTGTCCTGAATGAGGGTGATGACTGCTAAGCATAGCTGTAACAGACCAACCCTCAAGATCTCAGGGGCTAGACACCATAAATGTTTATTTCTCATTCACATAAAGTAGCATGTAAGTTCAACAATCTTCCTCCATCTTATAACTACACTATCTGGAAAATGTAGCTTTCCAAAGTCTCCAGAGCAAGGAAGAGACATGGAGGGGGCGCCGGCTGCCTGCCTGCCTCTCCTAGGAGGGACACACCTCACCTCTTCTCACAATGACTGGCTAAAACATGGCTTCCCTCTAACTACAGACGGGATAGGGGAATTATAGAGCAGCTGAGGAGTAGCTGGCTAGTACTGACAGTCTCTTCTCTGTCATAGGTTCTTTTTTTTGCATTCCAATGCGAACACTTACTTTTGAATGAATAGAGTAGCTAGGAACTTCCCTTTCCATTTGTGTAGCACTTACCACTCATAGTCATCACTCTCACCCACATCATGCCACTAGATCTTCATGACGTGCCCACTATTCCCACTGATGATAGTGTGAGTACTGCAGTACATACTACAAATGGCAAGAGAGGCTCAGAGAAGTTGAGTTCATTGGTTTCCCAAAGGGTTCAGGCTTGGTAAAGAGTAGATCCAGCTCTAGGGTCTAAATCTTTGATGCTGTAGTCTGGGAAAGGGAAGGATCATTCTGACTTTGGGACTTTTTTGGCCTTCATAGCTCCTCCACTTTGGGTCTTCTATTGCTCTGTGGGATTGATTAACTTTTTGTTATGGTTCACTCCACTCTGGTAAACAACCACGAAAAATAAAGCATGCCTCCTGTTTCATTCACAAAACTCATTATCATAGCCACGCAGAGCCAAAACACTGTCTTTGGTAAGTCTGTGATCACTCAGCAGCTTCCTTCTTCACAATTGCTTCTCAAGCCCACTACCTGGGTTCCCCAGTTTGGGTTGAGTCCATTCTTTTGAGGCTATTTATTCCATGCCTATCAGGTTATTCAATAGCTAATGTTTATATCTGAGAAGAGAGAAGATACACAGGATATTTACCTAAAGCTCAAATGAGTCTTCAATTCCTGGTTACAATTCTACTTCACATCTTTCTTCAGTTCTGCTAGACCTGGCATCCCCTTCCAAGGGATCACAAGGCTGTCTTGCCCACACTTCCTGAAGAAGGCTGGCACAGAGCAGGTAGCGAGCCATTCAGGCAACTGGGCCAGAGTCCACTGGGGCTGCTGGGTTCCCTCAGCACAGTGGGCAGCATGGAGGTCAAGACGAGGTCACATTGGGACCTTTCACTCCCTCAGGTCCATCTTAAGACATCGTCAGGCCTTATCATCCCACTGTCCTTCCCAGCCAGTCCTCATCCCACACCCATTTGCTCCTGCTCTCCCAAGCTATTCCACGGTGACCTAACTGAATTAGACACATGGCCTTGAGTGTTTGAAAGGACAATAACTTCAAGCCTTTGCTTTGGGATGTGGGTCAGCCTTTGACTGCCAAAGTTGCTTTCACTTAATGGCTAACATGTTGCATGTTTATTACATGTGAAGCCCTGTTCTAAATACTTTAAGTGTATTTACTTATTCAATACCCCCCATGAGGTGGGTACTCTCAGTTTCATTGTACAGATGGGGGAAAGTGAAGTACAAGAGATTAAGTCACTTGTCTAAATTCACACAACTAAAGCAGTGGGGTTAGGATTTGGATCAAGCAGTTTAACTCCAGAGTCCCTACTTTTAGCTCAGTTCAGTGAGGTTCTTCTATGAAAGCGAATTCTATTTTTCCACCTTTGTGGGGTTGGCAGGAAGCACCAAGATAAACTGCCAGCTGGGCAGGACAGTATTAGCCCTCCCCTGGGTAGAACAATTTATCAGCAGTGGGACTGCATGATTTGCATATCAAGGGGCTGGAGCTGCTAACCCCAGTTCTTGGAACTGGGGCAGGCCAGGGTGATGCAATCAGGACTTCAACCTCCCTGAATAGGGGAAGAGGAAGTAGTCTGGTTCTCTCTGAATCCCGTGAGCCCCATCTGAACCCCTGGGGTAACTTCTGAGCCTTGGTGGAGTTTCCAGCCCTTTCTCCCCTCGTAGAGGAGCCACTTCATGTTTTAGTAACTCTTCATCACCCACCCCGCCAGCTCATGCAGCAGCGTCAGGAAGAAGGTGCGCAGCCTGGAACCTACCTTGGCAGCTGCATGTTTACAGCTATGAAGCTGAGCTGGTGTAACATGTTAGCAAAGAAAAGAGCAAAAATAGACCAGGCACGGTGGCTCACGCCTGTAATCTCAGTACTTTGGGAGGCCGAGGTAGGTGGATAACTTGAGATCAGGAGCTCAAGACCAGCCTGGCCAACATGGTGAAACCCCGTCTCTACTAAAAAATTACAAAAGTTAGCCGGGCGTGGTGGTGGGCGCCTGTAATCCCAGCTACTCAGGAGGCTGAGGCAGGAGAATAGTTTCAACCCTGGAGGTGGAGGCTGCAATGAGCTGAGATCACGCCACTGCACTCCAGCCTGGGCGACAGAGGGAGACCCTGTCTCAAAACAAAACAAAAAAAAGCAAAGCAAAAATAAAAGCATCCCATTTGTCATTTATTGATCTTAATTGAATCCTGACCTCAGATGATCTGCCCGCCTCGGCCTCCCAAAGTGCTGGAATTACAGGCATGAGCCACCACACCCCGGATCTTAATTGGGTACACATTGCCTTGAAAATATTCCAGCCACGGATTTGACCATTTCACATGCCAACATGATAAAGCTGTTCATTATTCCCAGGTTTGGTCATCCTGGTTGCTTAATCTAGCAATGTTGACTTAAAATGACTAGACAGCCCACAGTGATTGCCCCCGGCTCAGGGTCACACTGGGCCCTGTAACTTCTCATTTTACATCATCCAAGGATAAGACTCCAGTACAACTGTAGTAGATGTTTGTGATGAAAATGAGCCCTTTGCTGAGATGTTCCTCTGAATTGAGTTGCAAGTTGGCCAAAGCTGGCCAGAGTGCAGCTGTAAAGGGAGCTTTGTAGTCTCCTTTTGTTCCTTTGTTGAATTGTAACCAAAGCTAAGGGAGCTACCCTGGGCTTTATCCCGTCCCCACCTCTTCACCTCCACTGCCCTGCCAACTGTTCTTTCCCTCCTCCTGCTTCCTGGCTCTTTACTCCCCTACCGAGTACGTCGGTTCTGCACTCTCTCTCCCTGCACCACTTGATTCTTAGAGCCAAACTGTTATATAGCCAGTTTTCCAACCATCAAGATGGCATAAAATTTTGATTTGCATATTTATTTTATAGGCTCTTTTAGAGCCCAGAAATGGCAGTCACCTTTCCCATGTGTTTCTGCGTCTTTGGCATCACCCTGTGTCAGCAGCACTGAGTGCCTAGGTGAGCCACCCTACCCTATGCTGCCCGTGCAGTCTAGGGGGCAAGATGTCACATGGGTAAGAGCCCTGGCTGGTAAGAGTAGTGGGCAGCCCTGGGGGCTGAATCCACACTTACTGAATGTTCTTGAGAAAAGCTAGTTCTTTCTCCAATTTCAACTTTCTCATTTGTGAAATGGGAGTGAGCATAGCGCCTGCCTGCCTTCTGTTAATACTGCAGGGATTAACTGTGATACATTGTCAAGCGTTTGCCACAGGGCTGGGACACAGAAATGCTCAATCGATGTTGGCTATTATTATCGTCAGCTCTCCCACAGAGGGCTAAGGGAAGGTTGCTTGTGATGTCCATCTGAAAATGGACAGAGAGGGACACTCGTGCTCTCCATGATGCCCATCCCTTTGGATGCCGATGCCATGCCACTCCAATTTGGAGGGATTTCACTTTTCTAACTGGCTGCAGAACCTCCTCAGGAGACCTTATTCTTTTCCTAGGATGTTTTGAGTCCATCCTGCCCCAACTGACATACAGGTTCAGCCTTAAGTTTGATATTCTGCTGCTCTCCTTTGAGGCCAAGAAATATCCACAATTTTCCCAAATGGCTTTTCTTACCAGTCTCAGGAATTATTTTGTCCTTCCAGATCTAACACAAAGGTACATTTTATTCACTTCTGACTGAATAACACAGGGACCACACCCAGCATCAGTACCTGCCGGGCACCCCCAGTTACTCACCATGCCTGTGCGCCAGTTCAGAGAAGAAAGGACATGTGTCAAGATGTTCAGTAGGGTCTGGCATGCCTAAGAATTTGAAGCCAATAGTAGAACCAAGAACCAAAGGCATTTTCTTCCTAATTTAAGGTATCTGTGAAGAAGTTTCTAGTAAAACAAGAGTCTCCATAGTCCTGTGTATTCTTAATGGAAAAGGCCTCAGCACTCCTATCCCCTTGCAACAGCCCTTCCAGATCACCCAGGTCTGCCTTTCTTATGCCACGAAGGCAGTTCTTACCCCACAGAGGCATCATTCTTCCAAGGCCTTAGGCCACAGTTAGAAGAATTTAGGCTAGACAAAGTGAAGATTGTGTAGGCACCGAGTGTGGTCAGACATGCAAGTGGATTGCAGAGGGTGAGACAGGAATCTTCTTTGGATACATTTCAAATTAGAAACCAGGATAGTCTAGTAGTCATTTGACCTGAAAGAGCCAGAAATAACTTAGATGACCTCTCGAGTTCTTGTAGCCTTGTACTCATGGCTAAAAGTGAACAGAGGGATATGGTCAGTTGGTCTCCCCTGATAGACGCCAACCCACACTACTCCCACCATATAGAAAACCTCTGTCACTCGAATTTTCTCCCTGTCCATCTCTGTACAACCTGCATGCCCTAGCACACCTATGTGCCTTCTCTGCATGCTCTCTCAATCCCAGGATTCCCTTCAGGCTCACATAGATCACTTGTCCCTCAAGTCACATACTTGACAATATCTTATACCTGATTGCCTTTCATAGTTCTCATGCTCATTCATACGTGGAAAACAGGAAAACTTTACAAAGTTAAAATCAGCACAAGAAGTTCACAAGAAATATAAGCCCCCTTCTGACAATAGAGCATTTGTGGATGAAAGAGAAAGCAGGATTCCTCAACTCTGTTCTTTTTTTTTTTCTCAAGGAGAATGATTTTTGAGATGAAACAAGTACAATACTCACTGATAAAAATGAATCGTAGCCCAAAGTAAATAAAGGGATTATACGAAGCATTCAATGAGAATAGGCAGAATTGCAGAACAATTATTGAAGCAGTAATTTATGAGCACTGGAAGTGGTGTTGATCATTAGGGCTGTGCAGGGGTTTATAAAGAACAGGTCTTCTAAGTCGAATCTCATTTTCTTCTTTGATGGTTCCTGGACTGGTTGATCAAGGATAGGTGAACATTTTTGCATAGCTGAACTTCAGCGACATACATGACAAAGTCTCGCCCCATTTCCTTATGGCCAAGCTGGATTCAAGACACAATGGTACTGAAAATGTGGGGATTAATAGGTTAGTGTCAGTCTGGAATAGTGGTTCTGCCACCTTGCGTAACCCCTGCTCCCCTTGGATTAACAGACAAATTTCAAGTCTTAATCCTATTTGAGATTTCATACCGTCAACATTATGACTAAACACAAAAATTAAACAGTGGGACAAAGGGCTACTTTGTTTTCAAGCTATTCATGCCCTCCCAGAAGACTGTGATATAGAAAAGCACATGAGTTTAGAGAGTCAGACATTCACTAAACTAATATTTATTGAGCATCTATTATATTTCAGGCATATTGTGGTTGCTGGAAAAACTAGAGTGAAAAAGACACCAAAGATCCCTGCCTTCGTGGAATTTACATTCTAATCAAGACATGTTATATTGTTTACCCAAATTAACCCAATGGTAAGGCAGCCCTGTGGTCGGTCTGTCTTCATAACTGTATCCATGGCACCTGGCATATTGTAGGTGCTTAAGACATATATGGTGTTGAATGATAAAATCAGAGCTGGGTGTCAGACACACACTTTTTGACTCCAAAGATAACACTCTTTCATAGCTGTATGCCAGAACAAATGGAAGAAATAAACTGTACTTGGGTCTGAAAAAGCTCATTATATCAGGATGAGATGGAGGCAATAGGTCTTGACAGCATGAGTAAAAATTAGGCAGAGGCAAAGAGAATACATTCAATATATTTATTCATCTGACAAATATTTGGATTTATCAGAACCTTTTCCAAGTGATAGGGCCAGAACAATGAGCAAGGAAGTCATAGTCTCTACCATTCTGGAGCTTAGAATCTAGTGAATATACAACAGGGTGCTGTGGCTGCCAAAAAAATATAAAATGCAATCTTAGCCTCCAGGGTTATGAGTGTGATGCCTCAGATGTGGGGAAGGATGAGCTCCACTGAGCTTTGCCGTGGTTAGGCTGTGCCTAGAAAACTGAACTCAGCTCTAGATACCACCACAGAGAGATACAAACCTGGATCATGTTCAGAGGAGAGTGAACTGAGTGATGAAGGGAGCAGAAACATGGAGCTCAGCAAGTGAGGAGGTAACGGGTGAGCCTCTGGAGCAAAGGCAAGTGGACAGCATAACCACCTTCAAATATGTGAAAAGCTAATGTGATGGTTATTATTTTTGCTTCCCAACTATTTCTAGCTCCCTGCCTCCTGAGCACAGACAGGTGAGGTCGTATGAATAATTCTAGCCAACAAGTCCAGAGCAGAATGGTATATACTACTTGCAAGCCAGAACATTTCAGTGCTGGTGAGACACTCTTTTTCTTCCAGTGAACGGCAATGATGAGAGGTGGTGGCTGGGCTCTGACAGCCTGGGTCCCTGAGTGATTAACATGAATAGGACCCCTAGCTTACCCTCAATGGACATTTTGAATGAGCAAGAAATACTAGTTGCTGTTATGGTTTTTATTACTGCTGTTTCATGGCGCTGAGATTACGATCGGTGTTTGTCCCTGCAGCATAACCTAGCCTATCCTGACTGATAGGCGTGCCATGTGTGGAGGGACCAGTCTGACAACATATGGCTCCCAGGGTTAGAACTAGGAGCACCTCAGGCTGTAGCAGGAGTCATAGAATGTGTTATGGCATAGCATAAAAATGAACTTTTCCACCAAGGTCCCTAAATATGTAATAGACTTCCTTTGGAGGGAAGATCACTGGACATCTTCAGTCTACAACCCTCGTTGGGGATGATGGACCTGGACCGGAGGGCTCTCCCAACCCTGAGAGGCTGGCGTACCACAGTGTGGAATGGGCTTAGCAAGCACACTATTATTGTGGCGTTTGCCCTAGGGGGCCCACTGGGGCAGGCCTGAGTTGGCTTACCATCATGTTTCCACTGGCCACATGCCAGGCCCCTGCTGCTTTCACTGTACCACACAGTCATGAATCTGTGCATAGCATTTCTGGGGGCTCAGCAGGGTGTACAAAAGGCATAGCAGCTCAGATGGCAATGAGATCAAACGAACGGCAAGGGCTCTCTCGGCCCACTCTTATGCAGAATGATAAGTAGTCCTTTGGGGCTCATGCTTGCATCATTAGCAACCTGGAGGCATTAGGAAACCTCTGAAGTTCACCCCTACTGATTTGTCCCTCATTATCCTTATTCTGCCCTCTAGGAACTAGAGCTGAGCACCTTTCCTAACAGTGCTGAATGCCAGTGTAAAGATCTGCTCTGGGGAGGTGTGTGTTCAGAGAAAGCCCCGGTAGGGGGATGAAGGAAAACATGTTTTTAGCATCAAAGACCGGGTTTGAGCACGTGCCCCCTTTTCCAATGGTTGGCTGGAGTTGGATCACACTGGCTCATGAGAGCTGATTGTGCACATCTCTTTCAAGTTAGTGCTCGGAGAGCTCACAGTGGTAGCTTAAAATTGGTTATTGTGGGAATATTTACACCATGGACATTGGTAAGTGTTAAAAGTCAGGCCTTTTTTTTTTTTTTTTTTTTTTGAGACTGGATCTCACTCTGTTGCCCAGGCTGGAGTGCAGTGGTGTGAGCCTAGCTCAATGTAGCCTCAAAGGCCTGGATTTCCTGGACTCAAGTGATCCTCCCACCTCAGCCTCCTGAGTAGCTGGAACTACAGGCTCCTGCACCATGCCCAGCTAATTTTTTTTTTTTTTTTTTTTTTTTTTTTTTGCTTTTGTAGAGATAAGCTATTGCTGTCAACTCAGGCTGGTCTTGAACTCTCTTAGCCTCAAGCGATCCTTCTTACCTGGGCCTCCCAAAGTGCTGGGATTACAGGCATGAGCCACTGCATCCGGCCAGGACTTTTATTAGTTTTATTATTTAGACAGCTTTCCAGCACAACCTTGCAAATAGGGAAATAGTGAGAAAATCATGGTCTTTGGAACCAGGCAGGACCAGGGTCACCCTGACTCTGCTCAGCTGTTGTCATTGAAGGGGGTGTGGAGATACTGAAACTTCCGTGAACCTTAGTTTCCTTGTCTGTAAAATTAAGAAACCTTAGTTTCCTTGTCTGTAAATTAATAACTAAAACCAAAATATTAACTACCTCAAAGGGTAGTGTGAGGATCAAATGCGATAATGTCCACAGATTGCTAACTAAATTAAGCTCCTTCCTTTGGGGCACATAGAGAACAACTTCCAGGGAGAAAAACAAAACACCCCTGAATTGCAGCTTTTTTGCTTTTAGCTGTGGAAAACATTCCCAGAAGCTTCGCAGCCTCGCATCCTCGTACCCCATTGGCCAGTTTAGCGTCACATGACCATCCCTAACACCAATCACTTGGCAAGGGAAAAATGACAGCCAAGCCACAGCTCCTGAGGGAGCCCTGGAGCCCCTGTTGGCGTTAGTGGGATTTTTAACGCCCCCTAGATGGTTCCAATGCGCAGTCAGAATACCGAACCAATGGCTGAGAGTCTAAGTCTCGGACAAAACCTTAGCCCCCGGGGGCTGGAGAGAGGTTCATTCTCTCCTGAAGGACAAGGATAGAGAACCAAGTCAGGGTTCCGGGAGTGTGGGATCGGGGAGGAGGAAGGATCGCTGTTTATCAGGTAATCAAAAGTGCAGACTCACTCTCCATTCCCAGCTACTGGACAATCGTGGGGCAAAGAGCTCAGTGGGAAAAATCAAAGGCATTAAAAATGGTTATTCTTAGAGATAAGGTGTATAACTATTGGAAAACAGAAATAAAGTCTTGAATTAAGCTTTGAGAAATGGTTCTATAATAGTAGGTGGGAGGGAGAGAGTTAAAAAAGCATTTGCAACTTATCTGAGAGGGTAAGACATGGCCAGTGATACTTAACTGAAGAGGACTGTTTGCCCTGTCAGTTCTGAAGCTCCTGTTACAGCACTGAGTTAAGCCCTGTGAACACAACATGTGTTTATTTATTGTAGACAAACCCTGCCACAAAGCCACAGGCACAGCACACTTCTCTGTTAGGTCTGTATCTCTTAGAATATTAGGACCCTAACTGGGATTCTAGCAACTTACTTCCTGAGGCTCAGAGCTGCCTCCTGGATTCAGAGAGCCTGTCAACAGCGTCTGCTGAGTATATAACGTGGACTGTGAGAAATATGGACTTGGAATCAGGAGACATGGATTTGAAACTTGACGCATTCATCCTGGGCCGGCTGTTAAACGCTCCCAATCCTTGTTCTCTTCCTCTATTAAATGACAATACTAATAACGATACCCACCTCATAAGATTGTGATGAAGATAAAAAAGGATAAGTTGGCTGGGTGCATTGGCTCACACTCCTAATCTCAGCACTTTGGGAGGCCCAGGGAGAAAATCACGTTAGGCCAAGAATTTGACATCAGTCTAGTCAACAGAGCGAAACCTCATCTCTTCAGAAAACAGAAAAATTGGTCAGTTATGGTAGTGTGTGCCTGTAGTACTAGCTGCTCAGGAGGCTGAGGTGGGAGAATCACTTAAGCCCAGGATTTTGAGGCTGCAGTGAGCTATGATAGCACCACAGCACTCCAGCCTGGGTGACAGGGCAAGGCTGTTTCTTTAAAAAAAAAAAAAGAGAGAGAGACAGAGAATAACTTGTGAACTCTTAATTCTTAATACAAATTACATTTGGTTGAGAGATCAGTATATCCGTATTTCCCCATCTAAAGTTCCCATAGCCATCAGTCAAGGGAGGGAGGAGAAGAAGCACTTTCCAGTTCATCCTGGAGGGGGTGGAGTTCAGACACTGCTTCTAAGAGCAGTCCCCCATCTCTTCACTCACCCTGCTTTATTCCCCAGCCACCCTCACCCTCATTTGATTCCATTTGCCCGGAAGGGATGAGGAAAGTGGAACCAAGGATTTTTATTGTTTGTGTTTCCCACCACTGTCTGTCTCAGAGGCAGAACCTGAGAAGTCTGGAATTTCTCCCTGGTCCTCTCTGCACAGCCCCCAGTGCCACCCGTAAAGATGTCCATTCCAAGTGAAAGCCACTGCACTTCAAAAGCAGCAGAGGTGGGTTCTCCTTCATGTTCCCTGTATGTGAGGGAGAGAACCAAACACCAGGGTCAAACAGAGGCACTTCCAAACCTGTGCCTTATTTCTGGGGAAAAAAAAAAAAAAAGTGAGACTGATTCAGTCTGGGACATGGTAGCTTTCTGTCTCAGAAAGCTGGGCAGGACCAGAGAAAGTGGCTTTGTGAAACGCAGGGACAAAGCTAGCTCAGGGCTCTGCTCTTTCTCAGCAGACCATTAGGGGAATCAGGGCAGGCCTTCCCCTCCCAGCTGACTTGGAGCCACACAGTGGCTTCCATGTGACTCCATGGCCAGTGCGACAAATGCATGGCCTTGGCTGAGGAAGCACAGGGGCTGTGGGGATGACTGGATCCCAGGTCCCAGGAGAGATAGCGAGACATGTTGGAAACACTGTGTCTGGAATCTTGTGCTTGACTGCTCAGGAATGCGTGGTCTGGGTAACTTTCTGGTTTGACTTACAGGAAGGTCTGATGGGGGCAGAGCGGGAATGTTGTAACAGCCCTAGATCACCTTGGAAAAATACTGTTTGCCTGCCAGCCCGGAACTGCCATTCCAGGAAGCAGCTGCTGGTGAATCAGCAGCCTCCTCTTTCCTTGTGGCTCCAGGAAGCACATGAAGGGCCTCCCCCACCTCCTCTCCAGGGAGGGAAATGCCCACTAGCCATATACAGGCTCTTCTGGAAGGGACAGAGGTGGGGACTCCATGGCAGACTCTCCATTCCGCCCCACCCCCCACCCCGCAACACACAAAGGGAGTTGGAAAAGGGATGAGAGACCCCTAAGCCTCAGACTCAGGCTTTTGATGTAGAAAATCATACATGGTTTCTAAGTCTCTTGTCTGGAGTTCACAACAATAAAGCTAGGTAGAAATCTCTACACACTGCTTGGCATGGGTTACATTTGCCTCAACATAATGTCTGTCTCTTACCTGCAGATCCAGCCTGGGGCTGAGAAACTCACAGGAGGTTGTCGGTTGGCTCTGGTCAAGCGGCTGTTTGGGCATGAGTGCCATTTGTACTCAAGGTCAAGGGGCAGCCTTAGTAGGTCAGCTGGAAGAGTCTTGGGAAAAGGTAGGGGGACCGTAATGCCAGCTGTCCATTCCCTCCACGGGCCCTGTGGTGCCTCCACCTGGGTGGAGAGTCCCTGCTTTCTGCCTTTCCATTGGCCAATCTCTGGCCTCCTCCTGAGGTTGCTGCTGTCCCTGGAACAGCTTTGGGCTAGTGGACACAGCAGTTATGCCTCAATTTCCCTATAGCTACATGGAGCCAATTAAACAGTGGACGGATTTGGAGAGGTGGATCATTTCAGATTCGCTCCTGGATTTTCACCCCCACTTAAGAGAGAGCTAAGTCTCCTTCTTTCTTCTCTCTCTCTTTTGCTCTTTTTCTCCTTGTGTGTGTCTGACTCACCTCTGTGCGGTTACATTTAAACACCAGTTTAGATCTCAATGACCCACATTCAGCCTTAGTGACTATGAAAGCAAGGCCATGCTCACTGATGACTCAGGAGAACTGGGGCCTTGAAAGATGAGCTGAGTCAATGAATGTGAGCTGTGGAGTTTTTACCACTCCCCCTCTCCCAATCCTTTTGTAATGTACCCACTCCCTTAGCTTTCTGAGTGTCAGTGTCCTTGGCCTTCCAGGGCTTGTGTGAGTACATGGAGGAATCAAGGGAGAGGTGGGTGAGATGGCCACAACCACCCTCCGCGACTCTTCATCCTTGAGCCTTTAGGACAGGTGCCCCCAGGCTCCATGGGAGGCAGGCAGCTGTGCCGGCTGCAGCGATGTGAACGGGGAAGCCGAGAGGAGGGTGTTGGGACAGGAGCCAGCTCTAAGTAACCTCCTACAGGTGATGGTTTTGGCTTCACCTGTTGGCCAGAGCCCTCCAGCAGAGAGGGGGAATTTATATGCTACTGTGAAACTTCTAGATACACCCGAAGTCAGGGTAGATGAAGGTAGAGGGAAGAGAAGGACCTCCCAAGGACCAGCCCCTGGAGTTCATTTCCTGCCCTTAGAAACAATGTCACCCTCATTTCTCTCCTTTCTCTACCTGCCTTTGCTCGGTTTCCATTCACTGCCTCTGTTACTTTTGGTTGTTTATGGTTAAGTCCAGTGGTTCTTATCAGCCATACTTGGAAACTTGTTAGAAGTACAAATTCTCAGACCCCATCCCAGGCCTACTGAATCAGCAACCTGGGGTGGGGCCAGCAGATCTGTGTTTTAACTAGCCCACCAGCTGATTCTAACATCTGCTCAAGTCTGAGAACCCCTGGTCTCACCTCTCTCTCCAGTTAGGCTACAGCCTCCTAGAAAGTACTGACTTGAGAGGGCTTAGTGTAGTCCTGGGCACCCAAGGACTCAGCTCTGCACAGAAACTGTACCGGGAAAGTAGAAAGAAGATTCAAGGAGGCAGTCTGGTCATGATCAGAGTTTGAACCCAAAGGTTAGGCCCTGGGTTCCAGTTGGGTGACCTTGGCCAAGTCACTTACTTTTCAGACTCTCTGGTTCCTCCTCAGTAAAGTAGATGGAAGAACTGGGTCTCTGGGGTTTGGGTAGTTCTCATGTCTAGAAATCTGGATCTGGCCAGGGCCTGGCTCATGATTCCCCTCCTGCATGTGCTGACTCTGCCCAGCCCCAGTGGAAGAGTCAGCATGCAGGGGAGGAATAACGAGGCAGGCCCTGTGCTTCTCCTGGTCCTCAGGCAGTTATTGTTTGTGAATGTGTGATATGGAGAGGTAGAGAGAGATCTGAATCTAGAAATGAATTAGAAACATATTAGGAGAAGCCAGAGCCTTCAACAGAAATGAAGCCCGTCCTTTGAGTGCCTGTCCCTGGCAAGTTGAAGGTGGAGTCCCTCTGTCAGGAGCTCAGTTGAACTGGGAGAGGGAGCGCTGAGCTGCCAGGTGTCACAATAGTCAATTAAGGCAACAAGCCCAAAACAAAAGAGTCAAGCTTTCAGTCATGTCCTGCAATGGTATAAGCAAGTATCTGAAACCAGAGAAAGCGTGGACTCTCCCTGTTCCATTTCCCCCATGGAACACACAGGGGCCCAGGGTCAAGTAGATCAGCAGGAATGTCGGGTTGGGGTGGTCTCACTGCTGACAGAGCCCTGAACAAAAGGCTCTGGAAGTTTTATGGACTCTGGGGCCGAGAGCAAGGGAGGGGGAAGGCTAGGAGTGGAAGTACTAGATTCTGAGTCATTGTGGGGAAAAGCGGCTTCAAGATTTCTCTCCCTTCCCTGCCCCACCCAAAGAAGGCCTCAGCAGAGGCGCCTAAAGAACACCTCTCCCCAAGGCTTCTGATAAACCCAGGAATGAAGGCTCAGGGGCTAGGAATGCAAATATGTGATGACTACGACCAGCCAGAGAGACCTGAGACCTTGAGAGCTCCCTCCAGAGACTGCCACGCATGGGCTGTGCCCCAAGTCTGGGGTAGGGGTCAGCTTTCCCCAAGTTTGTGGTCAGGCCTGAAAAATCACACACAAGTTTTTCACCAGGAGGCCCAGGGAGATACTATGTGGCCTCTTCTCCCACCTACCTCTTCTGAGCCACGCTTTCCAGCTGTCAGGCAAGTATCAGGGCACCTACCTCTGCACAGAAGGGCAGTGACTTTCTCCAGGTGGAAATCGCTTTTCATCCAAATGTCTAGGCTCAAATCTCTTGGTTCCTGCATTTTAAGTTATGGGTATCTCTGGGAAATAATTGAGAGGACTAAGTACAAACACCCATCAAGCCTTCACATTATTGGCATGTATAAGATTCTGTTAGGTCAAGTGGCATCCTCCTTACCCTTTTTCTGAGGATGACCATGTGTTAATTGCTACAGACCAGAACTGTCTTCCTGAAAGTTGTCCAGGGCTGTGGGAAAAAAGTTGAATATTTCAGTGCAAGTTCTATTGACACTAAAGCTAACACTGAATCACTCACTTATCCCAGCCTATGCTATTTTTTTTTTTTTTTTTTTGACAGGGTCTTACCCTGTCACCCAGGGTGGTTGGAGTGGCATGATCTTGGCTCACTGCAACCTCTGCCTCCTGGGTTCAAGAGATTCTCCCACCTTAGCCTCCTGAGTAGCTGGGACTACAGGCACATGCCACCACATCTGGCTAATTTTTGTATTTTGGTAGAGACAGGGTTTTGCCATGTTGGCCAGGCTGGTCTTGAACTCCTAACCTCAAGTGATCCACCACCTCAACCTCCCAAAGTGCTGGATTACAGGCAGGAGCCACTGCGCCTGGCCTAGCCTATACTGTTTTCTTTATATTATATACTTATATGTCCTGTCTTTTCTATCAGATTGTAAGCTTCCTGAGGACAAAGATGATGCCTTACATGTCTATATGGCACCCAGAGTATTTTGCTCTCAAATACATACTGCTCAGATAAGCTTTCAGGATATAGAACTTCAGATACCCACAAAACCATCTCTTCTAGTGTTGTCTGGAAATAAGTCTTGTGTTTATTCACTTTTACGTATAACTGTATCTCATCTTTCCAGGAAGATTGGAAACATATTCATGTTTAAGGCATCACAGTAGCTGACTCATCATTAGCTGTCAACAAATAAATACTTCACAATTAGATTTCTGGGAACAGTCTTCACCAAGAGACAGAAAGTTAACTGGAACTAAAATTTTAATCCCCTCAAACTCCAAGGAGACCTGTTTTCCAGGCATGATCCAACAGAACCGCTGCTTTTTAGAGTACCTTGGAGAGGCTATTTCTGAGGACAGCAAGCTAACAGGATCACCCCCCACCACCCTTTGCTTCAATTTGCCCTAGTACTCAGACTTAATTGGTGGGGACATGGGCATGTGTATAAAGCACGTGGAGATTATTTGTTATAATTCATCAGGGCTACCATTTGAAATTGGCCAGCACAATCATCCCTACTTGACCATAGTAATCAAGATGTGGCTGAGAAAGAAGGAGTGTTTGTTTCAACAAGCCAGAGAGCTGGTCTTCTGCTTTCTAAATGGACAATTTATAAAATTTAGATAGAGAGGCATCTTCCACTCTAGGCATGTACAACCCACCCCGCCATCCCAGTACATTCTTCTCTTTCCTTACATTTACCCATCCCTCCTGCCCCTCCTGCTTTCTTGAAGGTGAGTGAGCAGGTCCCAGGCTTACAGCTCAGTTGGACTGCGGTTGCCCTGTCTTCTCTGGTGATTTCTCTGTCTTATGGTCAGGAGCCAGACTCTGAGTCTGTTCAACTATGTAGAGGAAAGGTCACTAGAGAAATTCCACTTCAGCATTCCTCTAGGGATCAGAGATTCTGACTGCTCAACAAAATTACCTGGAGGAGAATTTTAATAATATGGCTTCCTGGAACTTACCCTGAAACATTCTGATTCAGTCAGTCTGGGGTGAAGATCAATTGGCTATATTTTTCTAAATCTTTATAGATGATTCTGATGCACTGGCAAGTTTGGACATTGGATAAATTCTAAGCTCTTTGAGATCAGGAAACAGATGAATCTCCCATTCTGTATCCCACAATGACTAACTCAGCACCTGGCACACAGCAACACTTTAGAAATTGTTATTGAGTCAATGAACAAATGGATGGTTGAAAATAGGGTGATGGATTGGGAGTACAGTCAACCTAGCATCTTTTAAAATAATTTTTAAATTGACAAATAATAATTGTACACACTCATGGGGGTACACAGTGATGTTTTGATATGTATTGTGTACAATAAATCAGGGTAATTGGCATATCCATTATCTCAAACATTTATCATTTCTTTGTGTTGGAAAATTCAATATCCTTGTTCTAGCTATTTGAAATTATATATTGTTAACTATAATCATCCCACAGTGGTATAGAACAGTACAGCTTATTCTTCCTATCTAGCTATAATTGTGTTTACTTTAACAAATCTCTCCCTATTCATCCCTCCCAGCCTCCAGTGTCCTCTGTTCTACTGTTTACTTCTATGAGATCAACTGTTTTTTTTAGCTTTCACATAGAAGAACATACAGTGTTTAACTTTGCCTTCCTGGTTATTTCCTTCAACATAATGTCTCTCCATTCTACCCACGTTGCTGCACATGATAAGATTTTAGTCTTTTTTATGGCTGAGTTGTATTCCATCGTTAAATACACACACACACACACACACACACACACACACACACACACCATATTTTCTTTATCCATTCTTTTTTTTTTCTGGACACCTGGTCAACCTAGCATTTTACCTAAAGGCTAGGCAAGGGCCAATGGAGGCAGAAGGCCAAACCAGTCACAGTGGGGCCAGGGATAGGAATAAGGCAGCAGCGTGGGGGTGGAAATAGAAGAAAACTTAGGTAATTTGATCCCCAAGTGGGAGAACATGACCCCTGTCCTTGAAAATGCTGCTACTTTCAGCGGTGCTGCCGCTTGCTGCCCCTGTGCTGGGACTGACAGGCCTTGCGCTCTCCAGTCCCACTAAGAAAGCAAATTGGATTGGTCACTTCCCTGTTTAAACCTTCCAAGGCCCTGCATTGTTCTCAGGATGAAGTCAATTCTCCTTTCTCTGGCTGAGTCCTGGCTCCTCCTCAGCCCATCACTGCTACTTGCCCTCATCTCTCTGTGCCCACCGGCCACCCTGCCTTCCTGCAGATCCTACCGCCTGCGGTGTTCTTTCACCAGCCTGTCCTCTCTGCCTGCAATGCTCATTCCCTGCCCCCATGTTCCCTAGCAAACTCTCCTGCGACCGTTAAATTACAGCCTAAAAACATCCGCTTCTCTTTTCCCCTGGGGGCTGCCAGTTCCCTGGGGTAGAGTTCAGTCTGTTGTGTCCAAAGCCTAGCCAGTAGATGCTCCCATGTTTGTTGAATGAACAGAAGTTGGGACGGGAAACCAACAGACGCTCAGGACTGGGGTTTGTTTTTGTTCCTGTAAAACTGGATTGGTTCTGCAGAGGCACAAACAAGCCCGTTGATTTAGATCTATCGAGGAATTGGGGTAGGGGCAGGGGTGGCAGTTTTGCTAAGAAGAAAAGCAGGTGAAAGTGGGAGATTCCAAAAGAGACCAGAGAGAAGGCAGTGTGTCCTGCCCAATCTGCCGCTAGGGTCAGAGACCAGCTCCCTAGTCACACTCGGCCAAGGCAGGCTGCCGGGCTGACTCCAACTCTAAACAAAGCCAGGCAGCCGCCCAGGTGGGTGAAGGCTGCAGATTGCGCTCAGGCGTGACGCCGGGGTGCAGGTGGGAGCGACGCCCGGGTGCGTGGGTGCAGCGCTCGCCCGCCCGCGGTTAGGCGCACCGCGGGAACCGGTCAGGTGCGCCGTGTGGGGCGGGGCGGAGGCAGGGCGTGCGCCCCCAGGCTGGTGCCTGGGGCAGAGGATTCGCCTGCTTGACGCGCTGATGCCTTGATTTGGTCTGACAAGTGGAGGCTGCTTTGAGAAGCGGCCTGTATTTTTGACATTCAGGAAGCTAGAAATAACCAGCTGGGCTCCTGGCGCTCTGGCCGCAAATGTCTTGCGCTTTCCAGGCAACTGCCAGATTGAAGGGGCTTTTCCCCAATGTAGACCTGTGCTCTGTGTGCTAGGAGGCCGAGGTTCCAGTCCAGGCTCGGCTTCTGACTCCCTACTTTAGGAGGAATCACTGAATTGACTGCAGCTCGGCTTCTGCTCTGTAAAATGGGGCTGTTGCTAGCTGAGCCTCTTCTGCCTCTGGTAGAAAATGATTCCAAGTGGCTGCCCTGTCCACCCTAATCCCATGGCCCGAACTTGATGTCTGCTGCTTCTAGAAGCCTAGTGCTCCAAATATCTGCTCTGGGAGGGACTTGCAGATGATCCTGATTGGAAATGAGGCTGATTAACCTTTTGTGTATCATTGACTCTAGGACAATCTGTTGAAACCTAGGGGCTCTTACCCTAGACAAATTAACACACCAGCCAGATACAGCTTACAAGGGCAGAGAGTTGCTGGTTTGAACCACAGACCCCTGGTTTAACATCTGTAATCTAGTCAACCCCTCCTCTTTCTTGAAGGCTGAACCAAACACGAAGGGTTTTCCCCACCTTCCAATCCTCATACATGCAGACACCCCCTTTTCCTGCTTTCTCCTTCAGTCATCTTCCTCACCATCCCCCATGCTTGGGCACTCTCAGGAGGGAAATTGTCCTATAAATATCTGTAAAAGGCATGGTATGTCCTGTAGCAGAGAAAGCAAAAAATAAAAATATAATTCCTCCACCCCTGGCATGGCACGTGCAGAGCTCTGCCTGATCCTTCTCTCCCACAAGCCTCGGGGGTGGGTAAACAAAAGTGAGAGGTGAAGCTGCTGCAGCGAAGTACCCCTTCAAAATCTTCAGTACCCTTCAGAGCCAGCGCTGTCATCACTATCACATAAACTGTACAACTCCAACGTCAACCAGCAGCCGCCTGGCTGGCAGCAGGAAGAGCCAATGCAATTTTGCACAGTGGCTTGCTTGCCCAAGGTATTGCCTGGCAAATGGGCTTCTTGTGCAATGGGGAACCACAGGGAGGGGCCTCTTAAATGTACCTCAAAGAAACAGCTCTAACAATGGATGATTCAACAGGCTAGTAATTGGCGCTCACTCTTACCACATTGTTTTGATAAAACGACATAGCCCAACTGGGGATATGAAGGCAGTAAGTAGAAAAGCTAACCTCTTGCTACTCAAATTGTGGCTGAGAACCAGCGACATCCCATCACCAGAAGCTTTATAGAAAAGCCAGGCTCTGTCCCAGACCTATTGAAAGGAGATCTGCATTTTAACATGATTGCGAGAGGATCCACATCTTAAAGTTTCAGAGGCCTAATCCAAAGTCTTCTGATAATGATCATTAGAGTCCCAGCCACCCCCGACTTCCCCCTGGGAAAACCACAACAAATAGAACAAATTCCTCCAAGCTCTGCTCATAAGAAGAACCCACAACCCACAGACACCCCCTCACTCAACTAGAGACCTCACCCACCTGTTTGCAGAGTCACCCACCTTGGGCTACTTCTTTTCTACTATTTAATCTTCTGGGAAAACAGAGGTCTTCTATTTGGAGATAAAAATGACAAAGGAGAACCTCCTGAACAGCATCCAGTTTGCTTTTAGCTTTAGCCATCTCTCTGACCTCAGTGCTGCTGGACTCAGTTCCAAGATCTAACTGTCAAATGCTTTAGGGGAAACGGGAAGAGAAGTCCCTGGAGTAACCCATGTGCGCAGCCTGGCACTGTTTTCACTTGCCTTTGGAAATGAAGGTGCAGAAACCATGGGAGGTAAGGAGGGCACAGACTAGTGACTTCCAGTGTGGGACAGAGGGGAAAAGATGGAAGAGAAGTGCAGAAAACCACTCGGGAAAAGACAGGCTGGAGTGATGCCTGCTGAGACAGGGCCCTGATCTCCCAGGACTTCCCTTTCTGCCTGTTCTGTAGAAATGTCTCGGGTTTTGTGGTTTAGGAAAAGAGATGCTTAGCAAGCTTGTAGAAAATGTAATGTGGGCACTTTGTTGCTGTCCTGGCTTTTAAAGGACTCTGAAGCAGATCAGCTTCAAGGTATTGGCTATTCTGTTTGCAGCCTTAGAAAGACATCCTTGATGTTTTATTGTTCTGCCTTTGCTAAGAGCTGGAAACTCTCCCTGGGGAAATGGCTCACCTTGAAAGAGATGCTATCGTAGCTGAAAATGTTTTAGCTTCACTTCCAATCTCTGGTTCCTTGTGGGAAGTAACTGCTGCTGTGGTATATATGCCCTGTGCCTTTTATTTTTACCATCTTTACCTCGGTGGACACAGCTGGTTGAAACTCAGTAAAACTTATGCTTCCATGGAGATTGATTCAGACAACAGGAAAAATAAGTGTAGAAAAAAACTGCACAGTACAAGGGCTAGATTCAGGTTGTAGAACAAAGTGATTATTACTTAGAATCCTGGATTAGCAAGAGAATAAGAAAGATGCTGAGATTACCTAGTGTTATCACCATCCACGTGAAACGTAGAATAAAACTTTTTCCCCACCACATAGATATTGGGCAGTTTATTATAGATGCTACAAAGGGATTTATTATATTTTTCCCAAAATGGTTAATTAGAGGCATCCCAAATTACAACTCCTTTAGCATAACTCCCAGCTCCATGCAGCCTACTTACTAAGGACCCAGCTACTGACAGCTCAGCTCTTTGCCAATCCAACTTTTTTTCCCCATATGCTCAAACTTTTCTTCTCCAAGAAGACTTCCTGAATGATCCCAATTCATAGGGATCTCATCCTTAATGCAGGGGAAATTCACTGTTCTGGAGTAGTCTACCATACCATCACGCTCTTCTTTTTGTGTAATCCTGGATTTCTTCTCCAGTTGTTTTATTCTTGCCTGTCTACACAGATAGATCAGTAGCCTTCAATAGTCTGCATCTCCTGTTATCTTGCAGCCTCCTACTATAAACAGTAGGTGCTTTACTTATGCCAGTTGGGTTGACCTAGACAGTAGTCTCTAAGTAGCAGTCCTTGGCTCATCCTTCTGAAACCAACGAGCTCTTAGGCAGGCTGAGAAAGGGTTAGGACTGTTCACTCTGGGACATCCTTGGCTCTGTATGAGTGTTGTTTTTAAAAGCAGGGATTTTGTCTCCAGTGCATTGAAGAGATAAAACCCCATTGTCAGCATATTTCTTCAGGATCTTTCTGTGTTAGATCTCACTGCCAAGCCAGAGTCCCCACACACAGACTCTCACTTTTCCCCCATCAATAGGCTGAAGTGAGGCAAGTAGTAGAATGTGCTCAAATCATGGCCTATTCTTAATAAAAGAAACAAGGACAGCTTGGGGCTGGCTCGTCTCTTCTCAAATTCTCCTAGTGTTCTGAACCAAATGTATGAAACGAATAGATTTGTTTTATTCGCAGGTATTAATGCTTCTCCGAAAGCAGTTGTTTGGGTGGCTGGAATATCAGTAGTCATTGACCAATAAGGCTTGCAGGTGTGAATCAGAGCAGTATTCTGGACTTCCAGAGTAGAGCTGCCATCTACTACTCTACATCACCTTCATCCTTACAGAATCACTGAGACCATTCATTCATTCACAAGCAGTTGTGTCTGCTACATGCCAGGCACTTGTAGTAGGCATTAGAGATACAATGGCAAGTGAAACAGACACTGCATGTAATCTACTGAGAGAGACTGGGAATTAATTCAATAAGTAAAAGTAAGTATATAATTATCAATTGTGATAAAGGCCCTGAAGCAAAAGAATAGGATGTTCTACAAGAATATTACAAGAGCTTTATCTGATCTAACGTGTATGGGGAGGGGAAGCCTCAGGGAACGCTTCTTAGGGGAAGTGACATTTGAGCTGAGCGTTGAAAGAAGAATAAAAATTAAAAAGTACAGAGGGGGCCAGGTGCAGTGGCTCACACCTGTAATCTTAGCACTTTGGGAGGCCGAGGCAGATGGATCACTTGAGGTCAAGAGTTCGAAACCATCCTGGCCAACATGGTGAAACATCATGTCTACTAAAAATACAGAAAAATTAGCTGGGTGTGGTGGCAGGGTGCCTGTAATCCCAGCTACTTGGGAGGCTGAGGCAGGAGAACTGCTTGAACCCAGGAGGCGGAGGTTTCGGTGAGCCAAGATCGCACCACTGCACTCCAGCCTAGGCGACAGAGTGAGACTCTGTCTCAAAAAAAAAAAAAAAAAAAAGTGAAGAGGGGTTAGAGAGTGCCCAGGATACAAAGAGTTAGTTCATTGGAGGAACTGGAGTAAAGTCCTTGTGGCTGGATTAAAGGGGACGAGGAAAACCAAGATATAAAGAGGTAGGCAGGGGCTGGATCACATGTGCACACAGTTTTGAAGACTTTGGCTTTTATTTTGGAACAGTGGAAGGCTGTTTTAAGCAGAGGATGAGAACATTAAATTTATGTGTCCAGAAGATTGCTCTGATGAGACAAGCGGTGAACAAAAACATCATTACTCAGGTCTCATCCAACTCTTCCATTGTATATTCTAATAAACCACCCAAGTTCTGCTTTCAGAGCTCTGAGCCAAAGTGAGTTATACCTCCCCAGGCCCACTGAAAATCCCAGAGAGCTTACTGAATGGCGTGGGGGCCCTGGTAAAACTCACCGTTCAGGCATTTGAATCTGGGCCACTCTATTACTATCAGCATTTTGCCTCCACTCCCAAGGAAGAAATCCTTAAAATTATAACCTTTGGGTCCCCATGCCCAGGCAGGCTGACTTCTCTTGGATCACAATAATCATGGTTTTGACTATGAATTGCCGATCCCAAGTTAAATGATTAACCCAAGGTCAATGAGCTAGTCAGCTGCCAAACCAAGGACAGATTTTCAGTTCCCTGAACTCAAGGCAGATGCACTTCTCAGGAATGCTGTCAGAGGCTTAGAAAAAGAAAGTGTTCCATGTTCCCAAAATATGTAAACTTATTCTTTGATATTCATGTTTATTCTATGACTCAGAAGTTCCCACGATCATTTTCTGGGGTGATCAGAAACTCTCTTTGAGGGGGAAATGATTCCTTACTTGAAAAGCGTTTTTAGCCAAGTTGCTTCTTTCGTAGCGGTGAGCATCCTTTGAGGATGATGCTGGCTTTCTTGTGGGCTGCTCCACCTTGCTATTTCCTGAAGCTACTGGAGCAGTTGAAACAGGCATATGAATAACCCCTGGGTTGCCAAAAAGACACCTCAATCCTTAACAGGTTTTGATCTGAAAAGGAGAGGTTTGTTCACTTGATTTGCTTTACGAATTTTGCAACATTGGCAGGTTGTGCCTGGGCCTTTCCCAGCCCTCTCTGCAGAAATGAGAACCAGGATTACTCATCCTTCTGTATTTTAAAGGAATTCCAGGAGTGCTCAGACAAGCTGCTGAAAAAAAACTGGTGTTATTTGACAGCTTCTGAGCATGGATGTTTCAGGCCCCGCTAATGCCATGAAAATAGAAATGGCCCTTGTGCCAGAGGTAGCATTCTACTTCCATCAGGTGAGGTGGCAAGGCACACAGGGTTTTTGGGGTGGCTCCCCAGAAGAGAGGCAGCTGGAAAAATCGGACCTACATGCCCAGCTTTGTCCTTGCAGGCAGAGCTCCTCCTTCAACCCACTTCTCATTCTATGAGCTGATCTGTCCTGACAGCTGCCAAATTAGTCCTCTCATTCCTGGAGCTCGCTTTGGCACTCTCACGAATGTTTCTTTCAAAGTCCACTCTTCATTTAAAACGTTGCTCAGCCTTACGTCAGGGGTGAAATAAACGGCCTTAAAATTTTTCATAAAAAAGCGCAGTTTCAACCAGCAAATAGGTTCCAGAGATTGTGTAAATTATGGTGCTAGAACTTACCCACCAAATTCAAATCTGTATTTGGATATAAATGTTCTATAAACAGTTCTGAAGAACACACACGTCAGAAGCAATTCCGTGATACCTGTTACCATCTTTCTGTAATTTTTCAAATTTTTTTATCTTAAAATGACAAATAATCATTGTATATATTTATAGCATACAATGTGATGTTTGGATCCATGTATATATTATGAAATGATCATATCAGGCTCTTAACATATCCATCACCTCACATACTTATCAGTTCCTTGTGGTGAAAACATTCAAATCCATTCTTTTAGCAATTTTGAAGTATACATTATTATTAATTATAGTCACCTTGCTGTGCAATTTCCTTTCTGGCCCATGCACCATTGGAGTATCTTTTCTGTTTTATTCCTCCAAATTGGACCAGTCCCTCTGTTTGGGTCTAAGGCCATGTTGGCCAAAAAGCAGAATCTGAATCCAGTCTAGAGTCTGATGGGAATAAAACGATGTGCTCCTCCCTCAGTTACTGACTGATCATCCCATCTGTCACCAACTGATGCGGTGGCTCTGGACAAACCACCTGACTGCTCTGTCCTCACTTTCTTTGTTTGCAGGAAAAGGATAATACTACTCTTATGCACTCACAGAGTTCTGGTGAAACATTTTTAATGTGCAGTACGTGGGTGAACTTTGCAAAGTTTAAAAATAGTATAGAAGTATAATCATGTTATTATGTGAAATAGTGTTCTCCAACCCATTCTCTCTATTCTCCCTGGAAGACAAACAAACAAAAGTAGTGCCAAACTAAGCATTTGTGATGGGAGGCCTAATTTACATCTCGTCCAGAGCGGAGAAAGCTGGCACTATTGTGAGATCCATCCACGGGTCCCTCAGAATACATACACTCTGCATCTCTGCCTTGTGTTTGCTTCCTTGCACTGTCTCCATGGCCCGTACCTCAGGTTGGGGTTAGGGGAGAAGTCAGTACCAATTCCTGGAGGCATAGTCTGTTGAATATTCACATAAATTCCACCAAACATTTTGGCCTGGCTGCCAATTTTTGGAGAGCTTGAAAAACAGTTTTGTGTGTGCACTGACTCTCACAGTGTCTTTCTTACAGTGAAAATTACTGGGGACAGAAACCAGTCCCTGCCATTCTTTTTTAATGATGCAGTGATTTCCAGACAATGAGTAAATGCTTCTAAGGGCAAAGGGCTGTGGTTCCACAGCTGTCACCAACTAGCTGGCACGCCTGGGGTGTGGTTCTCCATTTCTCTGGACCTCATTTTTCTAAGTTGGAGGTATTCAAATACCATTCGGTGAAACCCTTGGTATTATTATTATTTTGCATTTTGGGCATCTGTATAAAGTTTGAGCTAATAGAAAAAGTTTAAACACTGCTGCTTTCAGCACTAATCCTCTAATGCTCCAAAAATTCTACCAAAATCCCCACTGATTGTTTTATGAGATATTTATTTTCATCCAGTCCAAATTTTTCTTCTTTTTCCTTCAAAGCTAATAAATGTGGGGGAATAGTGGTTAGAAAGAGGTTATGGTGGCTGAGCACGGTGGTTCACGCCTGTAATCCCAGCACTTTGGGAGGCTGAGGCAGGCAGATCACGAGGTCAGGAGATCGAGATCATTCTGGCTAACACGGTGAAACCTCGTCTCTACTAAAAATACAAAAAAATTAGCAGGGCATGGTGGCGGGCGCCTGTAGTCCCAGCCACTCGGGAGGCTGAGGCAGGAGAATGGCATGAACCTGGGAGGCGAGCTTGCAGTTAGCCGAGATTGTGCCGCTGCACTCCGGCCTGGGCGACAGAGTGAGGCTCTGTCTCAGGAAAGAAGGAAAGAAAGAAAAAGAGAGAGAGAGAAAGAGGTTATGGCCCTGATGTCTGGTAGATTAGGGATTCTCGACTTGATCCACCCAGTCTGGAAAGATTTTCTGTAGGAAGTGGTGACAAGAGGAGTTTGGTCAGGTTAAATAGGAACCAGGACTGGAACCCTCATAGCATGGCCATCTCCCCAAAGAGTACAGGCAGAAGAAAATTGCAGGTAACTCCTGAGCCTCTATACTAGCCAGCAATGAAATATGTACTTCTAGGATGAGTCCTTTGTTCTGTCTTCCGAAGTAATCTTAATTAAAATAGACTAACATAAATGAAGAGACGGACAATTCATTAAAAACCTAAACTTTGCTATCTTCTAAAAGTGGCATAATTTGCTTAGTCTTCTGGCTGTCAATAAGCTGTGAGTCCCATTGACCCCCAAATGTTGCTGTATCTTTGCCAGGTAACAAAGGACCAAGACTAAATTTGGTGGGCCTGGGAGAGTGGCATCCCAGAGGAGGCCCCCAAAGGGAATCTGCTGCAAAATGAGTAAAGTCCTCAAACAATCCACCTGGCCTATCCCACTATGCCCACCATTGTCTGCTGGGAAAGCGGGGACATCACGCATCTAGAATCCATGTTCTCTTCTTCCATCTCCAGCAATTATTCCCTACCATGCAACCCTCCCAAGGCCCCCAGTCCAAAATTCTCTCCAAACTCAAAAAGGTTTGTCTGGCAACAGAGAGATCTTGTGAACACACTGGGACTAGTAGATTTTTCTGAACCTGTCCTTAAAGCTCTTCTCGAAACCACGTGTTGATCCTCTGTCTATTTTCTCATCTCTCTGTTTCTCCCTCCACCCTCATTCTTCCTCTTTGGTGATCCCAAAATGTTTGTCCCTATGTCTGCTCTCATCCTCCATCACAGAGTCTTTCTACATAATGCTGAGCGCCTGGAAACAATCTCTTAGTAATGTGTTGTCACTTTAGCACTCTTATGAAGTCAAGAGGCAGATTTCTCAGGAAACATTTAAAAGGAGATTGAGTGTCTCTGTTTTGAATTATGGCACATGGAGAGAAAAGTCAAAACAGAGTATTATAATAGGCTTAGAGAAATCCCAGGACTGAAGCTCCTTAAATATGCTTTTATGACCTAGTTGGAATGTGGCACAAGTTGTCTTTTTGGTTCATTTATTTAAAACAATTGTGTGACATCACTCTTTAGTCCCTGGCCTGTTTATCCCCAAGGCAATTGCTAATGAATGGTGCTGGCAACTGTAAGATGCTGTTTTATATACAACAGGTATCGTGGTCAACTCTGCTAATTTGCAGAACATACAGTTTTCTCACACAACAGATTTTGTTTAATCAGTGAGACAGTGAACCTTCAGAAGGGAAATTATGACTGGTAAATCACTATCTTTTTAAAGGTCAGAACTATTTAGATTTTAAAATAAAATCTTTTAGCGCTAAATGCATCTTGCAGGTTTTTAAACTTTTAATTTTGAAGTAATTTCAAACTTATAAAAAGCTACAAAAATAGTATAAGAAAAACTCCTATATACCCTTCACCCAGATTCACCATTTTGGGATAACTTACCACATTCACTTTGCTTCTCTCTGGATATGATCACCATCATCATCATCATCATCATCATCATCATCATCATCATCATCATCGTCATCATCATCTGATACCTTTCAGAATAAGTTTCAGAAATAAGTTTCAAATCATCATCATCATCTGATCCATTTCAGAATAAGTTTCAAAATATTTATCCCTAAATATTTTGTGTATATTTTCTAAGAACAAAGACATTCTGTTACTACAAAGTAGAATTACCAAAATCAGGAAATGTAATATAATACTATTATCTAATCTACAGATCTTGTTCAAATTTGGTTCGTTACCTCAAAAATATTCTTAACAGCGTTTTGTTTTGTTTTCTGGACCAGCTCTCGCAGGTTGTGATAGGAGAAACTTTCATTGTCATTTACTTCTAAATATTTTATCATTTCTATTGTAGATTCCTCTTTAATCCATGTTTTAGAAGGTATTTTTTACTAGTTTCCAAATATGTTGTAATTATTATTTTTAACTTCTTTTCATTGTTGATTTCAAATTTCATTGCACTGTAGTCAAAAAAACAATGGTCTCTATGACAGTCCTTTCACTCTTGTGGAGACTTCTTTTGTGATTTTAACAGGAGGTAAGATTATGTAAAAATGTATTTGAATCTACTGTTGGGTATAAGGACTTTTTGCTGTATATCTGGTAGATTTGTTGTTGCTTAAACCTTTTCAGTTCTTGCTAAACTTTCATTTTACTTTATCTCGGTAATCTACACTACGATTGGAGGTTTGGAGATTTCTCCTAATTCTCTCAGCTTTGGCTTTGTGGTTTTCAGAGTTATGCTATTAGCTGCACACAAGTTCATGAATATTAAGTCTTGGTGGATTGCTGCTTCTATTATTATATAGAGGCTTTTGCCTTAAATTATATTTAGCCTGATATAAATATTGATATACCAGGTTCTTCATTATTATTTTCATGGGACCCCTTTTTTAAATTTTTTTACATTCAGTCTTTCTCTTTGGTTTTTTCATTGGATGTCTTATAAGAAGCACATATACCTGGACGTTTTTAAAAAACAAATTGATACTATTTTTAGAAGATCAATATAATCTCCTTATATTTATTTTATTTGAACTTATGCCTTCTTATTTTGGGTTTTCTCCTTACCATAATTTTTTCTTGCTTTGTAAATTTCTCTTTTTCTGTCTTCCACTGAGTTAATAAAGTTTCCATATATAGTATTTTAATAAATATAAATCTCTCCCCCACCGTTTTTTTTTTTTTTAAATGAGATGGAGTCTTGCTCTGTTGCCCAGGCTGGGGTGCAATGGCGCGATCTCAGCTCACTGCAACCTCCGCCTCCCAGGTTCAAGCGATTCTCCTGCCTCAGCCTCCCAAGTAGCTGGGATTACAGGCGCCCACCACCATGCACCGCTAATTTTTGTATTTTTTAGTGGAGACAGGGTTTCTCCATGCTGGTCAGGCTGGTCTCGAACTCCTGACCTCAGATGAGCTGCTCGCCTCGGCCTCCCAGAGTGCTGGGATTACAGGTGTGAGCCACTGCACCCAGCCAATTCCCCCTAATTTTTAAAACATGTACATTTAATCGTAAACTTTTCTAACAAAGGCTAGAGTTATTCAGTTTCTGTCCTCTTTAATATCACATATGCCTCAGAGATTGAACATGATGCTCCTTTCCCCCAATCTTATTGTTATGGAGAGCTTTAATTTTACCATCTTTTAATTACAAAAAAGTTATTAAACGTCGTCAATATGTATGTCCTTATGGTCAATAATTAATTAAAGTAATTTGATTAATTTAATAATTAATTAACAAATTAAATGTTACCACTTTCTACATGCATCATTATTTCTTATATTTCATGCCTTGGACTCACTGTTCTTCCTAGTAAATAACATCCTATAATATTTCTTTTAGTAGAGTTTTCAACTCTGTTACTTGTGATCAGAAATCTGTTGTCAGTGCAATTATGACTTCCTTATAAACAATGTAATTCTCTCTGGAGATTTCTCAGCGCTTTCATGTTGATGCCTTGCAGTCTTACTTCAGTGTGTCTGGTAGGTGTGGGTTTTCTTTATTTATTCAACTTAAGTCCCCAGAGTGCTCCTTTAGTCAAAGGACTTCTCTCATTTTTCAATCATGGAAGTCTCTACTACTTGTCTCTTCAAATACTGTTCTTCCTTATTTTCTTCTTCAGAAATCCTATTCAACATTTATTGTAGCTATTCAAATTATGTTCCTTATGTTGTTTCATATTTTTAAATCTCCCTGTATCTTTGGCTATGTAAGGATAATTCCTCAGAACTCTTTTCCAATTCATTAATTCCCTGTGTAACTGCTGTGAGTCTAGAATTTGTTCTATTGAACTTCTAAATAACTATAATTTTGATTTCAAAGATTTCAAATCGTGTATTTTCATATTTATACAGTATTATTTCATTTCAGCCTGTTTGTGTTTCATATCTTCCTCTTAAAAAAAAAAAAAAAAAAAAAAAAGGAGGCCTGGAGCTTAGAGAGAGGTCTGAGTTGAAGATTTAAATTGGAAGTAGGAAGTGGATAATATTTAAAGCCATGAGCATAGATAAGATCACCAAAGGAGTGCATATGGATAAAGAACTGAGAATTGAATCCACGTGTCCTCCAACATTAAGAGTTTGGAATGAAAAGGAAGAACCATTAAAACGGAAACTGAGAAAAGGGGCTTGTGAGGTAGCAGGGAAACCAGGAAAGCGTTATGTATCCCCATGCAGAAAAGCAGAAAATCTGAGAGGATCGACTATCAAATTCTGCTCAGTAAAATGAGGACTGAGAACTGATCTTTGGTTTTAGCAGTCAGGTGGGGGAGAATGCCTGGAGTGATAATACTTGACAATTATTTTTAAGTCTTCTTTTCACGAGCTGGCGAGGTGGGGATGTTATCCACTCCCAAAACCTTTGGCTTCAAGTGGTAATTGGCGTTTATACTCTGCCTCAGGTGGAACTCTTTAATTCCCTTTACTTTGCAGAGACTAAACTCCCACTGACTCCCTCCTGTTTTTATCTTGGAACACGGGAGATTTCTGGTTTGTAGAGATGTTTATCCATGAGCTAGCGATACTATTTTTTATTTTCTATTTTCTCTTATTGCTATGAGTTTAGAGCACCAAAGCACAAATTTGAGAAGCCTTGTGAATTGACTGGAAGTTTCTTACATTCTTCAAATATCTGAACATTTCGGATGGTGTGTTAGTTAACCATTGCTGCAGAACAAACAACCCTATAACTTAGTGGCTTAAAACAGCAGCTATTTATTTAGCTCATGATTCTGCAAATCAGCAACCTTGGGTGGATCAGCTGCACATTCTTCTGGTCTCCTGGGTGCTTTCATGCATCCCATGGTCAGCTACAGGCCAGCTAAGGACCCCTGCTTCTGAGGATTAACTGGCTGTTGGCTGAGGCCACAGGGGTTACAGGGTTGACTTGGCTGTGTGGTCCCTCACTATCTAGCAGTCTAGCTTAAGCTTGTTTACATGGTAGGTAGTGGGCAGATTTCTGAGAGAGAGATAACAGAAAAATCACAAGGCCTCTTCTGGCCTAGGCTTTGGAATGGCACATCACCCCTGCTTCGATGTATTGATCAAAACTGATATCATGGTCAGCCCACATTCAAGGGGTGGAGAATTATCTTTGATGAGATGAGCTAGGAAACCATATCGCAAAGGGGCATGGATGCAAGGAAGAGAATGATTTTTGGACATTTTTGCAAACAATGTATGATATGGACTTAAATTGTTATGGGATAAATTTAAATTAGATTGAAGGAGAAAAGATGTCAACTCTAGAGCACGTTTGTAATTTTTGAGCATTGCATGTACCGGGGGTAGTTTTTAAGACCAGGCCCAGCTGGAGCAGAGATGCTGCATCCGATTCAGGACCAGTTCAGTGCAGTCTGCCATTATCAAGGTAAGTGCTAGGAGCCATGGGAGATCACAGAGGAATTCCTTTCTGCCTTTCAAGGAGATAGTACTTGAACAGGGAGTTCAGGGCAAGCCTCCAGCTCTACAATGAGGCAAAATATTAAGTGCTATGAGATGACTGGTTAAGGGAAAATCTTTGGAAGGAAGTAGACTTCAAGTGTAAGCTGAGAGGAAGAAACCATGGAAGATTACAGACTCCAAAGAGTCAAAGATGACAGACAATGGTTGCACTTTGGCCAGCATCCTTCCTTACTTGTTGGACAGGCCAAAAGGCTGAGCAATACATCAATCCTCAGGAGACAAAAAGGAAAAGAACCAAGTTCTCCCAACTGATTTTTTCTTCCTTAGTTAAACCAGAAGGAATTTATGGCTTTTAACTGAAAGAACACTTGTATCAACAAGAATTCTGCACACTTCAGCAAAGATAGGTCCTAGCTTGTGGTAGTTCTGGCAGATTTTTAGAGTGTTACCAGTATACCCCCTTCATACCATGGCGGTCCAGCTGTTGATATTCTAGGTGCCCAGGCCAAAGGAGGCCAGAAAGAGAGCCCAAAGGCTGGTGCTTGGAGGGTATGTTGACCTGTGGGTCTTTGGTCCTGACTCTGGCAATACCAAAAGTTTCTTTTTGTTTTGTAGAACATGTAAAACTGAAGGCTGCTGCTCAAAATGTCCTATGGCTACATTTCCATTTGTCTAACCCACCCAGTGATTTTTTAATACTATCAAAACTTGCCTAGGAGTTCCACTTCCAAAAGTTATTGGCTGCATTTTGACTAATTCTTAGATTGAAGACAGGGACTAGGGCCTGAAAACCACAGCCCCCAAGGGAGCCAGGTCTGTTCAAGGCATTGCTTCCAAGTCAGAGACTCTTCACCAAGCCTTTTTTCTCCTTGGAGACCAATGGAGCAGCGTTAATCTGGCACAGATGAGCACTCCCATAATGCTCAACATCTCTTTCCAAGAGTGGAGAGAGATGATGCAGAGATTAGTCAATCATCCCAATATAAAAATTAGTGGACATATTGGCAAATAGGAAACGTGTTTTTTTTTTTTTTTTTTTTGAGACAGTCTCACTCCGTCACCTAGGGTGGAGTGCAGTGGCATGATCATGGCTCACTGCAGCCTCAACCTCCTGGGCTCAGGTGATCCTCCCACCTCAGTTTCCCAAGTAGCTGGGACTGCAGGTGCGTGCCACCACACCCAGTTAATTTTTTGCATTTTTAGTAGAGACAGGTCTCACTATGTTCCTCAGGCTGGTCTCGAACTCCTAGGTTCAAGTGGTCCTCCCACCTCCGCCTTCCAAAGTTCTGGGATTAGAGGCATAAGTCACCACACCCAGCCAGGAAATATTTAATAATTGTGTTGTTCATGCATCTATCCCAGAAATGAATTCAATCAAACACTGCATTATGAGCATGAATTTGTGTTACATGATTCTATTCTAGACTCGGGAAACAGCAAAGGGATGGCAACAAAAATATTTGAGTGCTACTCTTTGCTCGAAACTCTGCTTTACTTTTGCTCATTCACCATGTCTCATGAATTCCCCTGTCCTTTGATTTCTGGTTCTTTAATATTTCTGGGATTCAATCTTTCTCCCCATCCCCACTGCCTTGATTCACAACCTCCATCATCTGTCAGTAGATTTATTATAAAGCTCTCTGTTATGGGCTGAATTATATCCCCTCAACAACCTCTCCACACCTCAGAATGTGACTGTTTTGGGAGACAGGGCCTTTAAATGGGTAACTAAGGCAAAATTAGGTCATATGGCTGGGCCCTAATCCGATATGACTGATGTCCTTTTTTTTTTTTTTTTTTTTTTTTTTTTGAGACAGAGTCTCACTCTGTTGCCAGGCTGGAGTGCAGTGGTGCGATCTCGGCTCACTGCAACCTTCACCTCCTGGGTTCAAGCGATTCTCTTGCCTCAGCCTCCCGAGTAGCTGAGACTACAGGCATGCACTACCACACCCAGCTAATTTTTGTATTTTTAGTAGAGACAGGGTTTCACCATGTTGGCCAGGATGGTCTCAATCTCTTGACCTCGTGATCCACCCGCCTCAGCGTCCCAAAGTGCCGGGATTACAGGCGTGAGCCATCATGATGTCCTTATAAGAAGAAAGTAGGACACAGATGCACAGAGAGGGAAGACCATGTGAAGACAGGGAGAAACCGGCCATCTGCAAACCTAGGAAGGAGTCCTCAAAATGAAACCAATCCTTGTGACAAACGTTGATCTCACAAGTCCAGATTCCAGGATTGTGAGACAATCCACTTCTGTTGTTCAAGCTCCAGTCTGTGGCACTTAGTCATGGCAGCCCTCTTAAAATAACACAGCCTTCTGCCTGGGCTCTGTGCTTGTTCCTTTCAAGTTGGTACTTCTGAAAGTGGAATTATCTACCTCAGTCATTAGTCTGATCTTGTTACTTGACTGTTTAAAACCCTTCAATAGCACCCCCTCCTCTCCCAGTAGTGTTTTCTGCAGTAAGTTTACTGGAACATTAGTTATGTAAGATGTCCCCCGTTATGTAAGTTTGGGAACTCCACAAGTCTCCAACTTGAGGGGTCACTGAACATTTGCATATCAAAGACTCTGAGAAGTTTTACAGTCAAAAAACCCAGTTAACTTTGTTTCACCCAATGTTTGCCAAACTCAAATTTTTTTTCTTGGTATAATACACATTATATCTACTGCAGCGTGTGTTCTGTAGTACAAACTAGGAAATGCTGCCCCATGCAGTTAAATCCACACATTTGACTTGTCATGTGAAACGAGGGTCGCCAGATTTAGCAAACGAGAATACAGGATCCCCAGTTAAATTTGAATTTCAGAAAAGTCTAAAAAATTATTTGTTGTTTATCTGAAATTCGGTTCAACTGGGTGTCCTGTTTTTTATCTGGCAACCCTGTACAGGACCCTTTGTGACTGCTAGTGAACAGACTGAACCAAAATGAATTTGATAAGAATTGTTTCCCCCAGTTAACACAATAGAAAAAGATAAAGTCAAGATTGATTCTTGGCTTTCAATTGGATTCTTTCAATTTACCACCAACCCTTGTTCACTTAAAGCAGTGGCTCCCCATCCTGGCTACCCGTTAGAATTATCTGAGGAGCATTTAAAAATATCCATACCCCATCCCTAACCAATTAGAATTTGGGAGTTACTAAATGGGGAGTTAGAAAGGCAGGGCAGGGAGAGTGAGGCCAGGCAAGTGTATAGCATGCAAATTTAAGGAGGTGGCCACTCTCAGGAGCCAACCCTGCACTTGCACAGCCCTGAGAGTGAGAACCTCCTTAAATCTTATGCCCTATACACCTGTTGGCCTCACCCTAGTCAGGCCCTATTTAAAGACCTAGGTAAGCCAGCACACCTATAGTCCCTACTATGAGGAGGATGGGATTGCTTGAGTCCAGGAATCTGAATCCAGCCTAGACAAAATAAGGAGACCTATCTTTAAAAGAAAAAAAAATAAGTTAAAGAAAAAGATGTAGGTAGGTACAGGGTTGTGCAGAAGAGCTTCCAGGGGATTTCTGAGCAGTCCTGGGTCCCAGCTCTGTGTTTCATTGCTTTAGAAGGAACATCGACCTTTCCGAGCAATGAACATCAGCTCCAGCTCATAGGCATGAGTCAGGGCAGGCTTCACCAGGCCAGGTTTTCCTGAAATGTAAACTCACAGCAGGCTCTGGTTTCCTCTAGAAGACCACTCCTAAAAGGCTTTAAATGCTTAGGTTCCTTGTTCTTTTTCAGTTCAGGCTGGTGATTGAGTAGCTTCTAGTCATTGGCATCCTAAAGATTCTGTTTCACATTCAAGCATGGTTTTAAATTACTACAAGATGTAATGAAAGTATAGGTTTCACTCTTCTCTCCAAGGTTTTAAAGACTCTCACCCCTGTTCTCCTTCCTCCCTCTCTGCCTTCTGCCCTTTTCTTGCTGGTGATTTTCTGCCCCATCACTGGCAGCCTGGTCAGGAAGGCACCTCATTAATCCACCCACTGGTACAGTGTGCCCAGAACAGCCAAGGCCAACCTTGCTTGGAAGGCCAACTCTCTGAACAGTCCCTTCCTTTACTGGCCTCTAAGTTCCGTGATGTCATCAGCATTCTGCCCCTGGCTGGCGGCCAGATCCTTAACTACTGATTCCCAGATCTCTCCACGTTTTAAAATTCTAGGAAAAGAAACTGTACTTTTCCAGTGCTAAAAAAGGATGGGAATGGTTGGTGGAAGCTCCCAGCACAGCTAAAATTAACTTCTTTCTTTTGTGATAATTGAATGATTTTCAATGATGTTCTTCCTATAATAGGATTCAAAAAGTTTTCCTCAGGGGAAAATTTGGAAGAGAAAAATACAAGGGAAAGGGTTCTCTCAGACAGGGTTTGTAGCAATTTCCTTGCAATATGAAGCTCATGAAATTACATGGGTGTATCTCACTTAGCTTAATAGACATGTCCCTGTAAAGTTTCATATAAATGGAATGTTTAAAAAATTAAATCACTGTAAGTGCACAAGGAAAGATGGCTAAATAAAGGAAGCCCGGGGTGACTCACTTTATAAAGTGAATTATCTTTATGTAATGTACATCATCCTCCCCCACACACACATTGATTTATATATATATATATAATTTTGAATTTTTCAGAGGCTGGATTCTCATAAGGTAAGGGTGCCTCTTACGATGACAACTGGACTGAGGTCACAGCTGTTCTCATACTCTGAAGCTGAACTTTTTATAACGTTCTCTGGGGAGTGTGTAGATGCCAGGGTTCTGCGGGGACTTTTAAGCTCTTACACTGACCCAGACTCCTCCTGGCCTATCCCTGGAGTGATGTGGGCTCTGGAGCACCCAGGGAAATTGTCAATGACTGGACAGTGGAAGAAGTCATGGTAGACAAGCTGAGGCTAACAGTTGCCAAGTGCAACATGAAAAGCAGTGTTGTGTAGCAGTTAGAAGCATGACCTCTGTGGCCAGAAGACTACGGCCCTGCGTCTGTCCTCTAGCTGGGTGATTCTCTGAGCCTCGGTATCCTCCTCTGTAGAATGGGGATGATTACAGTGGTACCTACCTCAGGTACTACTACCTCAGGTCCTATTGCCAGGACTAAATGAAGAAGAAGACCTGGCACATAGGAAGAGCTCAAAAGATTGCTAACTACTTTTAACTTGTCTGGACATGCTCTATTAGAGTAGGAAGGAAACTATAACAAGAAAAGAAAACCAAAGATGCTACTGTCTACTGAGTGCTGCTCCATGCCAGATACATGCTGAACTCATTCATTCAATCCTCACATCACACGAACGGTCACTAATAGTATCCCCACTTCCTAGAGAAGAAAACTGCAGTTCAGAGAGGGTAAGCAATTATTCTAATGCCACACAGCAGATAAGGCACAAAGCAGATGACTTGAGGCCAGTCCTATGTGCTCTTTTCACTCTGTCTCAAGCCTGAGAAGACCAGAGCCTAAAGGTGACTTTTCAAAGATGAAGCCCTCAGACCTGGAGGGTATTTAGATTTGGAAGTAAAATGGTTCAGGAGGTGACATAAAGAAAGAAGGAGAGAGAAATTTATTCAACAAAGACTGATGGAGAGTCTAGAGTGTGCAGGTACTCCAGGTAGCAAAGGAAAATGGGGGTGACAGTCATATAAAATTACAAAGAACCCCAGCCAGTTGTTAGGATTTAGATATGAAAACTGTGCTGTTGAATTCTTAAGCAAAAAAATGACTAACTTTGAGGAAGACTTCAAAAGAGAGGTGACATTTGAAAGCTTTACAAGTATTATCTTATTTAATTCCTTAGTATTTGGTGAGATGTCCACCCCCACTGGACTTTGAGGCCAAGAGTGGGGTCTTCTTTCCCTTTGTTACCTGGAGTACCTGCAGACCCTAGACTCTCAATCAGTCTTTGTTGAATAAATTTCTCTCTCCTCCTTTCTTTATGTCACTTCTTGAACCATTTTACTTCCAAATCTAAATACCCTCCAGGTCTGAGGCCTTCATCTTTGAAAACTCACCTTTTCATCTATCACCCTGGGGCAGGAACTGCTGGTTGCCCACCTAGTATTTAAAAGGCACTTTTTAACTTTACATGGCCAGGCAGTGTGGCTGGCTAAAAGTCTCTATTTTCCAGTCTCCCTGGCAGGCAGCTATGGCCCATAAGATGGAAACAGATCATTGGGTCAGACTTCCAAAAAAGCTTCTTAAAAGGGGTATAGGCTATTTACTTGGAGTTTCTAAGCTCTTTCCTCTTCTTCCTGGTTCTTGCCTGAAATGAAGACAAGACGGCTAAGGCTCTAGCACCAACTTGTGACCTTGAGAAAGGCAAGGGGAGTCTGGTCCCTGGTGACCGTGACTTGCTGTAGCAACCTTGGACTGCCGAGCTCCAGACTTGCTTGTTTAAATGAAAGAAAAATAAACTATCTTACTTAAGCCTGTGTTATTTTTGGCAATTGTTATTAGCATCTGACCCAATCCCTAACTGGCATAAGCTCCTGAGGCCATTAGGCAGAGGTGCTGGGTTCCCACTACCCTACACTGTTGGGGCAAGCCTGTGGCTCCAGGGCACCCGAAGAGCCTAGAGTGTTTCCTTTAAATTGCAATTCCTTTTTTGTCAACTGTTTAGGCCCTGGCATCAAGCACACAGCCTGGTACTCAGTAGCACTCAATAATGTATGTTGAAAGAATACAATGAATAACTGCCGCTCGACCATTTCCCCAAGGAGCTGTTTTTCTGAGGGGTTTAGAATCATGCCTTCTCGGATTTCCACAGGACAGCATCAGTACGAAGCTTGTGGGACATCCAAAGTGCTTTGAGATATTTAAAAAGTAAAGAATAAATCGGAAATGATAAACATTTAAACAATGAAGATATACATAAAGCCTCATTTAAGTAGTATGTTTTAAAAGGTGAAGCAAAATTGTGTATTTTTTGTAGATTTTAAAAATATAATTAAATGGGATGAAAGTAAGAGCTGCTATCCCAAATCCCTGTTTTTAAAAAATTATTTTTGAGTGATTGCAAAATAACAAATATAACTTTGTAAAAGAATCGAAATTATTTAGAAAGGTTAAATATTGAAAGCCCTTTCATAACTACTGCTATGGAACAGTTTGGTAAATATCCTTTTAACTCTTCCTGTACATAAAAATCATGCAAATAGATGCGTATAAACATAAGCTCATGATGTGTATATTATTTTGCAACCTTTGCTTTTTTCACTTAACATCCTATCTTGGGCATTTCCCCACGTCTGTGCATTTAGATTAACCTGGTTCTCTGTAAGGTAATAGAGCATCCTTTATCCCAATACCCTCCTTTAATATAAATCTGTTTGGATGTAATTTTGACCTTGCTCTCTAAAGAGTCATCATGTTTACCTGAGGAGGTTGATGAGAAAGACATCAGAGATTAACTGTCACCCCTAACTAAAGTGAGCTGGGCCCTGCAGTAGTCAGACAGGCTGGCAGATGTCTAGATTGAGAAATAAAAATATCCCAGGATCAAGATTTTGTGGATAGAAAGCCATGAAGCTCAGAGTTAGGAACAAACAACTTGGGCCCATCAAGATAATGGACATGCTTCTAGAATCCCTGACAATTCCTGCCAGCGGCAGGCATTGATCACCTGAGAAGCAGGTATCATTCCCCAGTCCTGTAGGAGACAGTCTCTTCTTGACTGGCCTTCTCATAGGGCACTGAGCCTCTGGAGTGCTGAGCACTGGCTTTTCAGCTTCTGGGTACTGGGGAGGAAGTGGTCAAAAACCCAGGGGGAAAAGAAAAAAACCTCTGCCCTGGGGAAGTTGAGGCTCTACGTGTGGAGATGAATTATGTGAACCCCACTCCCACCACGGCCAAACCCCGTAAATCACCCCAGTCAGCTACCATCACTGGAGCTCCCTTTGTAAATGTTGACAGCAGCTGCTATCAACTTGGGCAGCCAACTGGGCTCAGCCAAGAAGCCTTTGGGGAAGATGTGGGTTAATCATCAAGCAAGGCTTTAAAAGCGGACGGAGGCCAGAGGCCAGACCCCCGCTGGTGCAGATGCACAGACCTGTGACAGAGGTGCAGGCTGTGGGGCGGCGTGGAGGCGGGAGGTGGTGGGGGGATCAACAAGATTAGCTCAGGCAGGGAGAAGAGTCTGAGGGGGAATGTAAGAAGCACAGGAAATGAGTGCAAGCAGGAGGGGCTTTCGAACTGTGTTGAGATTGACTTGGATAGATTAGCAGTGGGGAGCAGCTGTGGCTTGGGCAGAGGCACCTCTGAGGCCAGCCAGGCAGGCCACAGCTGCACCTGCTGGGCCCCTTCCTGCCATGCACCTATAAGGAAGCAGCTCCACCAGGAACCCCACCAGCCTCTGTCTTGTGCCAGTTGGGTAATGTGCACCCGGATGCATCCAGTATTATTGTTTCATTGGCAAAGCAGTTCAGGATTTTCTAGCTGACCAGTTGGCCCAATTAGGATTTCTCCCTCACAGATAGCAAAAAAGTTGGGCCTGCCTTCCAGTCCACTTTGCCAATCCTCCTGCTAGAGAACTGAAGTCAGTCCTCCAGTCCTCCTGCTAGAGAACTGAAGTCAGACAATGTTGGGTTTATGGACTAGTTGCAATGAGGAATAACACACAGATAGCACGGGGAGCCATGGGGCAGCTCAGTAAGAGGATGTGATAAAGGACTTCTTGTAGGATTTGGGCTTAGGTGATACTGGGGAGGATTCAGGGAAGTGGGAGATTGCTCTGGATTTTGGATGTTATCAGGAAGCAGAGGTAATTCTAGGACTGGGTATCTTAATAATTCTTACCTAGAAGGCAGAAGGAATGAGATGAGGCTAAAGGTGTAATTAATAAAGAAGCAGAAGTTGCTCATATTAGCCAGGAAAGGAGCATCTTTGGTCATTCTTGTGGTTCGGACAATGTTCTTATTTTTGTCTGGGTCTAGACATGATTATGGGATCATCTTGTTTTCTTTTGCTCCATTACAGTCACAGAGCGGCTGTATCTGATGTTGGTGTTCTATGGAAATTATGTTCAACAGGAGCACACCATGGCCCAGATGTGAGCGCCAGGCTTATGTCTAAAGGCAGCCAGGAATCCTGCAGAGAAAAGATTCTGATGGTTCTCAGCATTCCTATCTAAGCAGAAGCTCCTCTTGCAGGGCTAGAGATGATGCCGGAAGAAAGCAGGTGCTCCTGTTGGAAGGCTGCCTCAGGTCTATTCATCCATTCAACAAATACTTTTTGAATGGGAAACATACTCAGGCACTTGGGACAGAGCCGTGACATGGATAGTTCTCATGGGTATACATTTTATTGAGGGACACAGACAACATGAGTGAACAACACTGGGGCCTGTTGGGGGATGGGGTGGGGGGAGGGAGAGTATTAGAAAAGATGGCTAATGTATGCTGGGCTTAATACCTAGGTGATGAGTCGACAGGTGCAATAAACCACTATGGCGCATGTTTACCTGTGTAACAAACCTGCACATCCTGCACATGTACCCCAGAACTAAAAATTAAAAAATATATTTAAAAATAAAGTCACGGGTATTACCGGGCATTATAAAGACAATAAAAGTAGTTGTCAGAGAATGACTGGGGGACACTTTGGAGAGGTGGTCAGGTAAATGCTCTCTGAGGAGGTGATCAGAAGGTTCCCTGTGAGATTCTAAGGTGAGACTAGCAGCAGGAAGAAGGCAGGAACATCTGCAGTGTGGTAACTGAGGGAGAGATGGGCTGAGATGAGGCTAGAAAGGTGGGCTGTGTTAGGGGGTTTGGGGTTTACTCCCCATGCCCTGGGAGGCCACTGGAAGACTTTAGCGAGAAGAACAGCAGGCCCCACATCTCCCTGTGAAACAGCAGAGGCTTGCAGCATACTGGCCTCTCAGCATCCCAAGACCTGTTCCTGACCTGCCCCAGCCCCTCCCTCCAGGCCTGGGGTTTTGGGTGTACGGGAAATAGTCTGACTGTCTCCTACTCTGCTGAGGTCAGTCATTGTTCAGAGTGGTGTATTAGTTCCCTATTTCTGCTGTAACAAATTACCACAACTTAGTAGCTTAAAGCAACACAAATGTACTACCTTATAGTTCTGGAACTCAGAAATCCTAGCATCAAGATGTCTGCGGGGCCTTTGCCTCCCAGAGGCTGCAGGGAAGTACCTGTTTCCTTGCCTTTCCCAGCTTCTAGAGGCTACCTCCATCCCTTGGCTTGTGGCTCCTTCCTCCACCTTCAAAGCTGGTGGCATAGCATCTTCAAAGCTCGCCCACTGTCTCTCTGACTATGACCCCTGCTTCCATCATCATAGCTCATTCCCCGACTCTGACCCACCTGCCTCCCTCTTATAAGAACCCCTGTGATTACACCAACCCCACCCAGATAATTCAGGATAATCTCTCTATCTCAAGGCTCTTAAATTAGCCACATCTTCAAAGTCCCTTTTGCCATGTAAGGTAACATATTCACAGGTTTTGGGAGTTAGGAGTTAAACATCTTTGGGGAGCCATTCTGTCTACCACAGGTAGTCACCTGGACAGCAGAGAACCGAAATTTATCTTGAGCCATTCTACTAATGATATGTGTCATTTAGCCACTGGAAACCTACTCACTTATCTGTAAAAATGAGATGAGTACTTGCCCCACCTACCTCAGAAAGTTATTGTATCACATGAATTAACATAGCACATCTGGAAAAAAAGAAATGCTGTAAAATATAAGGAATAAATATGATGTGTTATGGAGTCTGCCAAACATAGGTACCAAGGGCATGTTATATATTAACATAAAATACTGAAATTGAAAGAACCAGGTTTGAGTCCTGCTCTTAAAAATACTTGCTGTGTGACCTTGGACAAGTAACTTAAAAAGTATTTGGGTTTTGTGTGTAAAATTTGGAAAACGCTATCTTCTCACAATAGTATTGTGAAGTTAAAATCAAGTAATATAGGCTGGGGTGCTGTGTGAAATGCTACACAAATGTTCTTTATTGAATATTTCATGGACAAGTGCCCAAATACTTCTTCCTAGATAGATGCTTAATGAATCCAAGTAACGGGGTGGTACCTATCAGACCAATGCCAACTGGTTTGGAATCTCCACTGTATACAGTGAGTGAGAAATGAAAAGAAGATAGTAAACCGGGGGTCACTCCCATTCCCTCCCCGCTCAGTTACTGAGGGGTTACAGAGCAGGAGGAAGAGCCTGCAGCATCTAAAATGGTTGGTTAGTCAGAAAAATGCAGAAAAATGCAAAAATACTGAGAATATAGAATCTTCCTGCAATAAAGAGGTTTAGATTGAGGCAGACTTTCTCCAGAAGAAGCATCTGTAGTCATATTTAAGACATTCAAATAAATTGCTCAAGAACAGCCTTGTTTATTCAGCGCCTATCATGTAACTTGAGCAGAAATGGGCAGGAAATATGTGCCTTCTGAGTGTGAGCTATAGACCCACGGACATATTAATTTATTCAGCATACCATTTTTGAGCACCTAACAATGTGATAGACACTCTCCTGCTTCTGGGGATACAGCAGGAGGTAAACACAGAAAACCCGCCTGCCCTCATAGAGCTTATTTTCTAGTTGAGGAGATGAACATAAATCAAACGATCCACAGATGAATGTAAAATTATATTTATAACTCAAAGGCAAGGTTCACCGTGCTATGAAGCTTATCACAGGGCTTAGAACTTGGCCTCTGAAGGGTAACAGTTCAGCTGAGATCTGATGGCTGAGCATGTGTATTAAGAGGGAAGAGGAGGAGGGAAGAGATTTCCAGGCTGAGGGAACAGCATATGCAAAGGCAAAGAGGAAGCATGGAATATTGGAAGACCTCAGAGAAGCCCATTGTGTCTGGAACTGGACTCAGAGTGACAGGGACAGTGGTCAAGATATAGACTGGAGAGGTGGGCAGGGGAGTTCTGGCTACAAGGGTCATTATGTGGGCAGATACAATGGCTGACAAAATCAGGACATAAGGTTTCACTCAGTCCAAGGTTTTGTTTTGATTTTAATGCTCCTGGAAGAATCTTATCATTGCATGTTTCTAACTGGAAAAACCCCTTAAATATGTAATAATTAACTCAAATTCTCAGCTGGGTAAGAAGCACATTAAGTCACCCTGTGTAGGTCAATGAAAGGTGCCCAGGTGGGTCTTAGGTGTCCATACCCGGCACTGCAAAGACTGGCTCCAAGATGGGATGCAAAGACCAGAATGGGAATCACTGACAGCAGCTCTTGCCTCACTGTTGTGCTTTTCCAAGGATTTCACATGCATGAGCACATTGGACTGCTGCAAGACATCTGTGAAATGGGAAGAATGTAGTAGTTGTGGGGAGATGGCCAATGACTTGCCCCAGCACCCACAGTGACAAAGGGAAACCTTGAACTCATATTCACTGTTTCTAGATAACAATGGTTTTCCCCACAGACCACAACTGAGTCACCTACATTCTTTATTTCTCTCTCTCTCTCTCTGACCTCCTTAAAATAATAGAACTTAGAATGATCAAACTCAAAGGGGACTTTAAACACCTCTCAACTTATTTAATTCCCTCCTTTGCAAATTGTAACAAGTTTAAATATTTTGAGAAGCAATAGTATTTCCCCCAAATAAAGACTAAAACTGACTTCTCTCTTTCCACTAAAGAAAGAGAGAAGTCACTATTCTGGTCCTTTCTAGTGACTCATTTTTGGCTCTTGGAACATGTGCTGTCATGGAAAGACTCTTCCTATAATTCACTGTGACCTTAGAAGGCAGATCACTTTACCTCAGTTACCCTCTGTTTTCTCACTGTAAAATAAAAATGTAAAATAACTACAACCAATGATGACAAATTCATCTTACATCATAACCCAGCACACACACACACACACACACACACACACACACACACACACACACACAAAGTGAGAGAGTATTGAAACAAAAGTTCCAGGAATCTGTACTTATTCTTACTAGTACAATGTACACTATTTTCATTCTAGTCTGTTCTATTCCATTTCATTCTATTCTTCCAAATAGCTCTTAGATATCCAGTAAATGGATTTTACTACCCACTAAAATGTGAAGTCCTCAGGTTGACAAGTGCTAGTCTGGATACTCTCTGAGGCACCCTCCAGTCCTGGTTCTCTGACATCCACTGGGGCTGCCCAGAGTCTCCTGGAGGCCTCTTTCCAGCAAGGCAGGTCCCCTTCTGCAGCCGCAAGAGTGACTTGGAGACACTCTTTATCAGTCCTTGGGCCTCTAGTCCTTGGACCAACTAGTGCTGTTGGTCTTAGGGCAATTTGCCCCTGCAAGTGTAAACAAAACACTGAACCCAGCCTTCTGATCACAGTTAGCCAAAATTAGGTGGAGAAAGATCCACATTCAGAGTCCAACTGCAGAGTTTGAGAGCTTGGCCATTCTCTGCAAGAATCCCACCCAAGACGCCCAGACATCATATACACCCAGACCACACACATAGGCACATAGACCACACGTGGTAATCCACGCCTACTCACCACACATGCCACATACAAACACATACACAGCTCCCTCAACATTCACACATACCACACAGTTATCCACACGTAAATACCCACACTCACCCATACCATGTGTACATACATACACACAGATACTTTACACACACACACACATATACATGTACACACACACACTCACCATACACTACACACATACCACAACACACACGCATACACAACTCCTGAGAATCCCCACAACTCCTTTGGTGTAAAGCAAGAAATCATATAATTTGAAGATGAATGAGTCAGAGGGAAATAATTTTTTTTTTTTTTTTTTTTTTTGGAGACAGAGTCTCACTCTGTCACCCAGGCTGGAGTGTAGTGGTGTGATCTCGGCTCACTGCAACCTCCACCTCCCAGGTTCAAGTGATTCTCCTGCCTCAGCCTCCCGAGCAGCTGGGATTACAGGTACCCCTCCAGCATGCCCAGCTAGTTTTTGTATTTTTAGTAGAGACGGGGTTTCACCATGTTGGCCAGGCTGGTCTCAAACTCCTGACCTCAGGTGATCCACTCACCTCAGCCTCCCGAAGTGCTGAGATTACAGGCGTGAGCCACCGCGCCCAGCCAGAGGGAAATAATTTACAGTTAATCCATACTATCTCTTCACTGTTCACTCACTAGCACAGAGTTGGAAAGAGGATTTTCAACAGTTGGAACAATTTGCATAAAACTAAGCTGGCAATGCATTGAAGCACTTTGCTTTAAAAATTGTGCTGTTAAAAACAGTCAAATGTATATTGCTACTGTAGTATTTCAATGATAGCTTTTTTCAAGTTAATCAAATTTTCATTTTATGAGTACTATTTTTCATATTCTTTTTCATTTGCTGATTTGTAATAGCGTAAGACTGTACGTTTATGCTTATACCTTTATAAAGATACACATTTGCTTCATGTTTTGAAACAGGTTTTAATGTGTGCTATAAATGTGTGCTCTTAAAAAGTACTGTACATATCATTTTACTGAAGCTTTAAAGTTTATGAATTCTGAATATTTAAAACTATAATAACAGTATCAATCCAAGCATTTCAGTATTAAGTAAAGTAAATCCCCAAATCCTGGTACTATTTGGCCTTGAAAAGTACTATTTCCCACGCTCCCATGATGAAACCTGAAGTTGCTTTCTGTGCCCAGAACAGTGCTTCCTATCCTGAAAAGCTCTCAGGAAATGTCTGATGAAAGAATGCATGAAAAGAAAGAAAAAGAGGCAGAGAAGAAGGAGGGGGAAGAGAGAAGAAAAAGATAAAGGAAGAAAAGGAGGGAATGAGATTGGAGGTGGGTGGATAAAGGGAGTGAGATAGACAGAAAGTCAACTGTAGCCTGCTTCTGACTCAGACGTCTTTTCTCTGTGGAAAATGGAGGCCAAAGACCATGTCGGATCTTGTTCAAAATATGATTGCTGGAACCCACCTTGTGAAGTGGCAACTTCATGGGACAGTCACTGGAAAATTCAGCTTTCCATCTGCAGTAGAGGAAGCAAATCTTACCGAGACATTTGACAGACACAGATGTTTAGTCTTAAACATTATTCCTATGGTCACTTTGCTATGGTAACAAGAACTTTGTCATGGAAATATTTGCATCGCTCATTTGCAATTGTTTTCTTTTCATCTCTAAGGCTCATTCGTGAGTTTTGGAAGGAGAGTTATGGTTTTATTGTTTCTCCTAATGATAAAAATAATACATCCTCATTATTTTTGAATAATGAGAAAATAAAATAAGCATAAGCAGAAAGTAAAGTAATAATGCCTATTATTCAAAACATCCAGATATGATAGTTATTAACATTTGGTTTTCATAAAATATATGTAAATATGATCATACTGTATATTCCATTACATAATCTCTTGTTTCACTTAATATATTGAAGACATCTCTGTCCATCTTTTAAAATTATTTCATAGCTTTCTGTTCTCGTTTGACAAATCTTTAGGTTTGCCAATGTTTTGTTATGATAAATGATGTGCTAAAGAACATTCTTGTACAGGCATTTTTATGCATTTACCCTGCTATTTCCTTGGGATAAATTCTTAGATGTGAACATTTAAATGTGAGTATATACATTTTAAAATACTATTTAAATTTGCTAAATTGCCCTCCAGAAAGCGTGACTCAATTTACATTCCCTTTAAAGTGTGTGAAAGTACCTATTATCTCATGCCTTCATCAGCACTAGTTATTATCATTCTTTTAAACGTTTTTCAGTTTTATAAGTTAAAAGGCATTTTCATTTTTATTTTTATTGGCATTTTCTTTATACTAGTGAGGTGAAATAGCTTTCATGTTGGCCATTTGCATTTCTCCTTTTTTGTGTAACTCGTCTGACCATGTTTTAACTGTATTTTACCTTTTCATAGATTTCCAAGAGTTCTTCATAATTCAAAACTATTAACCTTTTGCCGTCATATATGTTGTGAATTCTTTTTCAGTTTTTCATAACTTATGGTATGTGGTTTAGATACATAGAAGTTTTAAGTGGCCAGTATTCAATGATTTCTTTAATGTTTCTTATTAAATAATGCTTAGAAAGGAATTCCTAATTCCAAAATGATGTAATTTTTTTACCTATACTTTTTGATTATCTTTTGTTTTCTACATTTTTATTTTTAAGCCATTTGGGATTTATTTGATGTGTGGAGTGAGGTAGGGAATCTAGATTTTTTCTTAACTTGTCAACAAGTTGTCCCAATAACCTTTGGACCGAATAGTCCACATAGTCTTTCTAATGATTTGAAGTGCCTTCTTTGCCATACTCTAAATTTTTGCAGATCCTTGAGTTCTTCTGTCACTTGTCTTTTTACTTGCCTGAAGTCCTGTAGCCGTGTATGTTAGTCTTTTAGAACTATGTATTATTTTGACTATGCGGATTGAAAGTTCTCATTCCAAAGCCTCCTCAAGCTTTTAGAATAATGACTGCCACTTTTTATAGAAAAAGCAATGTCAATTTATTTACTTTGGAGATGTGCTAGAGGAGGGAATTCCCCCACCCCCCACCCACCATGTCCTTGAGTTTCAGATGTGGATAGACCTAAACATTTTCTATTTTAATCTCCTAATTTCACAGATGAGTTCCAAAAGCATAAATTGACTTGTTCAATGTTAACATAGCTAGCAGAGCTGAGACTAAGGCAAGACTAGACCCAAAACTAATTAATAGAAAACTGAGACTAGAACAAAGGTGTATAGCCCTAAAACCATGCTGGAGGAAGATGGTCACAGTGAGAGTTTGTCAAAGATGGCAAACACAGGATTAATAAAAGTTTGGTCCTCTCTGTTCTAGATCTCCAGCATCTGACTTCTTTAAGGGAAAATGAGCAGTTTCTGGAGCACCAGCTTAAGAGAGAAGTTAAATGTACAGGAGCCCTTTGATGTTAACTGACTGAATCCTCAGAAAACTCATAAAAAGGAAAGAGCACAGGCACACTAAATAGCACACAAGTGCACATGTGCTTCAGTAGTAGTAGCTTACCCAGCATTGGGCTTTCAAAGAGAAGTTTCAGGCATTTCTCAGTAGTGCCACTGTCACCCTGGTTGGCTCTGTTAAGGTCATTTAGGTCAGACATCAGCAAGCACAGACAGCTGAGAGGCAGGAAATGTGTGGCTCTGTGAGCAAAGCAAAGGAGAAAAGCTTTTTATAGCCAAGGCATGGGAGGAAGCACTGATAATCGGAGAAGGGTTGTGTGTTTTCTTTTCTCTATTGGGAAAACTCTCCAACTATGTTCTTTAAAAGCTAACCAGGCTCTCTCTTATCTTTCCCACCTCATGAAAAGTCATTCGCTAGCAAACAACCTTCCATCTAAGGGCACTGAGGTTTTAAAAATATGTGTAGTTTCCTAAAGATATTTTATAGTTTAATTCATTTTTATTAGAAAATATCGTCACATGGTTTAAAATTCAGATGTACAAAAGGATATACGATAAGGAAACTTCCTTCCATCCATAGCCCTCAGAGACCAAGTTTCCTATCCTGGGGAAAACCAAGTTCTAGATTCTTATTAACCCATCCAGAGTAATTTAGACATATTAAAATATATAAGTACATACAGATATTCTTTTGTGAAAATTTTTACAGAAGGGGTAGCATACTACACACACTGTTCTGCACCTTGATATTTTTACTTAGCATCTGAAGAATGTCCTGTATCCGTACATTAAGAACTACCTTATTCTTTGTTATGACTACACTACACTCGATTGCATGAATAAAGCATACCTTATTTATCCAGTTCCCCTATAGATGGACATTCATGTTGTTCCAAATTTTACTACTACAAATTATGCTACAATTAATGTATTATTTTATATATCAGCAAATTTGCATCAAGAATAAAGTCCTAGAATGGGAGGTGCTGGGTACAAGGATATGAACATTTGCAATTTTGTCAGAAATTGCTACATTTCCCCTCTTAGAGATTGTACCAAGTTAAAGCCTTCTCAGTAATGTGGAAAGTACCTATTTCCTCACACCTTTGCTGATACAGTGTGTTGCCAACCTTTTTTTTTTAAAACCTTTGTTACCTTAATGTGTTAGGTAAATAATAGTATCTCAGTATAGTTTTAATTTGTATTTCTTATATTATGAGTGAGATTCAGAATCTATTCATATATTTGAAGGTAATTTGTATTTCTATAAAGCGTTTGTACTCTTAGTCATTTTTATTTAGCATGTTATTGGTCTTTTTCTTATTGCTTCATAAGGACCCCATATACAAGAGGAAAATTAGTGATTTATCTGTGACTTTAGTTGCTCATATTTCCCCAAGTTTGTTTTTTATCTTTTAACTTTACAATTAACATTTTTTAAATTCTCTTTTATTTATTTATTTATTTTTGCCTGTAATCCCAGCACTTTGAGAGGCCAAGGCAGGAGGATCTCTTGAGCCCAGGAGTTTAAGGCCAGCCTGGGCAACATAGTTAGATTTCATCTCTACAAAAAAAAAAAAAAAAAAAAAAAAAAAGCCAGTTGTGGTGGCGTGCACCTGTAGCCCTAGCTACTCAGGAGGATGAGGTAAGAGGATTGCTGGAGCCCAGGAGTTCTCGAGGTTACAGTGAGCTATGATCACACCATTGCACTCCAGCCTGGGTGACCAAACCAGAACCTGTCTTAAAAATAAATAAATAAATTTATTATTATGGCTTCTGTGTTTTCAGTCAGGACTTTCTTAGTCTAAGATTATAAAAAATACTATCCTATGGCTTCCTTTTTACTCATTTAGGGTTTTTTGTTTGTTTGTTTTTTGAAACAGTCTCGCTCTGTCATCCAGGCTGGAGTGCAACGGTGCAATCTTGGCTCACTGCGGCCTCTGTCTCCCTGGTCAAGCAATTCTCGTCCCTCAGCCTCCTGAGTAGCTGGGATTACAGGCAGGCGCCACCATGCCCAACTAATTTTTGTGGTTTTAGTAGAGATGGGGTTTCGCCATGTTGGCCAGGCTGGTCTCAAACTCCTGACCTCAAGTGATCCACCTGCCTTGGCCTCCCAAAGTGCTGGGATTACAGGCGTGAGCCACTGTGCCCAGCCAGGTTTACTTTTTACTTTTATTTATTTAATCTGTCTGAAATTTATCCTGATTTAAAGTTTTAGGTTTGGATACAATTTTATTTTTTTCCAGATGGCTTACCAGTTATTTCCAACACTTAATAAATAATCTTTATTTTCCCTACTAATTTGAAATACTATCTGTATAATGTCTACATATTAAGGTATTCACATATTATAATTTATAATGAAACTTTTTTCCCTTCTAACATCTATTTCCAAGAATCTTTACACATCTTTCTTTTTTTTTTTTTGAGACGGAATCTCGCTCTGTTGCCCAGGCTGGAGTGCAGTGGCGCAATCTCAGCTCACTGCAACCTCTGCCTCCCGGGTTCAAGCAGTTCTCTGCCTGAGCCTCCCGAGTAGCTGGGATTACAGGCGCCCGCCACCATGCCTGGCTGATTTTTGTATTTTTACTAGAGACAGGGTTTCACCATCTTGGCCAGCCTGGGCTTGAAGTCCTGACCTCGTGATCCACCCACCTCGGCCTCCAAAAGTACTGGGATTGCAGGCTGAGCCACCGCACCCAGCCTCTTTACGCATCTTATAATGACTATATATAAGTCTCTTACATTCCCTGTAAAATCACATTTTAACAATTTTCTTCCTTCTCCTTTGCTTGTAAAATGTTATCCCCTGCAGGCCAGTGCCTTCTCTAAACCTCTCTCCCATTCTTAGCGTCAGCATTTCTGCGTTCTCAGAGATTACCCCTACTTGTAGAATCACCTGTGCCTCTTCTTTCTCTTTAGGAAGAGATTACAAATTGCTCCCATCCAGATGGGCAAATATAAATGGCTATCAGTGTGAGATTAGAGTTTCCAGGCTCTTAGCAGAGGAGCCAGGATTATCCACACAGGGAGGCTGCCAAAGCCTAGCGACTGGAGATTTGCAAGGAAGGATGTGTAGAAGAAGAGTGATGGACACTGAGTCTCAAGTTACACCAATAACGATCGCATGAAAGAGGAGCTAGAGGAGAAACTAGAGGCAAAGTACTGGAAGAAAGAACGAGAACGATGAAGAATGCAGAGCCTCTGAAGAGAAACCAGATAATACAGAAAGATCAGGGAGGTTACGGATAAGAACACCACTGGATTTGGTGACGGGGAGATCACTGGTGCTTCTTAGAGCAGGTCACTTGACGTATTCCTATCCCTCTACCCTTCCGGTTATAATTACTTCCTCTTCTGGGTAAATGAAGTTGCTGTCAGCAGACCAGCACCCTCAACTAGAATAATTAGAAAAGCCAAATACAATGCAGAAATTACCTATTTGAGGGAAAGTGATAGCTGCTGAGGCAAGGAACACTGGAAGGGCTAATGCACTGGAGAGAGAAACGTGAGGAGAGTGAGCTGGCTTCTGCAGCCGCTTTTACCAGCGGGGCATTTTGCAGGAGGCTGAGAACCCATTGCAAAATGCAGTGCAAAGGCTGGCAAAAGACTGCTCGGGATAGAGAAAATAAGAGTTTTAGTGGAAGATTTGAAAGGGCCTCAAACAAGACAGCCTGTTTTCACCTGAGGACTTTTGCTGCACACTGAATTTCTTCAGAGCAGGGATTCTAAAATGCAAATGGAAAACCTGCCTCTAAAAAGCAGAGTGCAGTTTTTCAGCATTCTTGTAAGACTAAGATTAGGGTTTACTACTGGCTGGGGGAGGGTTCTTGCAGAATACAATAGGGCCTTTGTTGAAAATCTAGGAGGTCAGAGATGAACCTGTGGAGGGCTGAGACTTACGAGAGCTATAATTCAACCTTGACTCAGCAAATCACTAATTGGATTAACATGATCAGCCACCAGTCTGTGTATAGCAGGGGGAGGGTACTCTCTCTCTGAAAAAAGCTATCATCTGAAGTCTCTACAACTTTGTGTAGATAATGTCTGACCTGCCATTAGAATGTATGAGGTACAACAAAAGACAGGCTCACATAACTGAAAAACCAAGAGAAAGAAGACAGTAGAAACAAACGGGTGATCCAGATGTTCAAGTTAGTTGACAAGGACCGACAATTGCCTACCACTGTATGTTAAAGAGGAAAAGATGAACAACATTGGTGGAAAGATAAAATCAATTGTTACCTCCTCTTGAGGAGCTTTATTTGGTTCTCCCTTTCTAGAAATCATCTTTTCCTTCTTCATATTATCCTGAAAATGTATCTATACTTCTTATTGCATGTACCACTGCAGAAAGTAGTATCTTGCAGTGGCCAAAAGCATGGAGGTTTTAAAGTCACATTGGGTTAAAATTCAAGACCAGCCACCTTTGTGACCTTAGATAAGTTACTTATCTTCTCTGAGCCTCAATTTCCTTGTCTATAAAATGGAGTTGTTGGCTGGGTGTGATGGCTCACGCCTGTAATCCCAGCAGTTTGGGATTACTGCTGAGGTGGGCGGATCACAAGGTCAGGAGTTTGAGACCAGCCTGGCCAACATGGTGAAATCCCATCTCTACTAAAAATACAAAAATTAGCTGGGTGTGGTGGCACGAGCCTGTAATCCCAGCTACTCAGGAGGCTGAGGCAGGAGAATCACTTGAACCTGGGAGGCAGAGGTTGCAGTGAGCCGAGATTACGCCATTGCACTCCAGCCTAGGTGACAGAGTGAGACACTGACTCAAAAACAAAACAAAAAAAAATGGAGTTGTTAAAATAATTCAGCGCCTTGAGTTCCTAGGTAAGCAGACTGAAATCCAGCTCAGTGTAAAACGTAAAATGAAACCTAAGATTAGCCAATCAAAAACCACCAACTAACCTCTCACTAGGGACTTTTCACTGGAATGATCTAAATAAGGCTATTGCTTCATTTTAACCAAATATTTTCTTTGCCTTGCTTCTGCATTCTCCCTATAAAAAGGCCTTCCCTTTATGCTCTTCAGTGGAGCCCCAAATAACTTGTGGCTTGCAGCTGCTCAATTTGTGAGCCCTGTCTGATCACATTAACTCTTTAATATTTTAATGTGCCTAAGTTTATCTTTTTACAGAGTCAATATAGTACTTTCCTCATAAGGTTGTTGTGAAGAATTCAAATATGTTCATACAACATTCAGTTGATATAAAAATGCATTTTTTCCTCTAGTTTTCCTCATGAACTCCATCTGCTGAGTAGTACAGAAACAACCTTAATTTTTGTCCAATCTACTCATTTCATACTGATATAATACTTTTAATATTTCTATAGGGATATAAAATCTCTGGGGGAAAATGTTAAGTCTTCAAGATGGCCTTTGCTTCTTTCCTCCAAGATGGTATCTGGGAGTTTGAGGGAAGGTCTATGGGTCAGTGACCCTGTGGCAGCAGAGGAGAGATGGGATCCTTAAACCCATCCAGTGTCCTCTGGAGCCTTTCTCATCTCTGCTGTGGAGTAACTGGACAATTCTGCTCCTTGGCCTGGGAGGCAGGGATGTGTACTTGGTCCCATTGGTCTGTTTGAGCTCAATGGACAGATGCTGCTAGATTCCAGAGCCCCGGCCACTTGCCCCTAGTCCCATAAACACTCTCCTTTTTCATGGCAGCTTCAGGCTTCTGCTGGACCATCAACCTTCTCAGCACCTTCCAGGGATGTGAAAGAACTCATACTGCTTCAGGACAGTTACCCTCATCATATACTTCCCTAATATCCTGTTGTTGTCCTTTATAACACTTTACTAAATTAGTAACTTTATTTTTTTGTATGAGAACATTAATTTGATATTTTCTGCCATACAGCATTGCAATCTTAGTGGTACTAGGAATCCTGTCCAGTTTTGTTCATTATTGTGTTCCCAGTGCCTAGATCAATCAATACTGCTAAATAAATAAATGAGAAACTCCTAACTTCAGGGCCCTGATATTTCAGAACACAGATGATCTTGCCTTAAATATTTTCCCATCCATACCAGGAACCTTAGTTTTCTTCCCAACACCATTCTGCCTGTGTTCTTTCCTATCAGAAGATTGATTTTGTTTGGTTGACAAAATGTCCAGCCCAGGGACTTTATAAATCATGAATTTGCCATGAACAAGCAATCCTGTTCCCAACACCAACAATAGATCAGAGTAGTTATGCCATGTTGTTCCATCTAATGAGCTAGAAAGAAAAGTTGAGGGGGGTGATTTTGTCCTTGATTTCCATCAAGAATATAAGTAGAGCTCTCTTCAGTCTTCTCTGCCCTCAACCCCTCACTTTTAAAATGTGGCAGAATGAAGATGTTATGTTTGGAGCTACAGTAGCCAACTTGCAACCATAAGGGAAAGACCTGAAGAAATGCCAAAATGATCTCATTGAGCTCCTGTACCAACCCTGGAACTATACCCCAGCTTTCTTGTTATGTGACATCATGCATGCCTTTATCATCTATGCTACTATTATTTGAGCTTTATATTGCCAGGAGCCATTTTTTTCTGATACCCTTTGGAACAAATCCAATTTTGCATGCATTTTATGACCTAAAGCTGGGCCACAGATCATTAGTTCTGTTTTTACTTCCATTTAAGTTATAGTCTATGCTCAGACGTAAGCCTCATTAACGTCCCAGGCTACATGTCAGATATGGCTTTAGGTGACATCTCTGAAGCACTCCGAACAATGAAGATCTAAATGGTCACACCTAGTGACCAGGCAGTTGCAGATCAAGGGAATGGGATGAGGAGGCAGAACTGTAGAGACAGAGTAGTGAGGGCTGAAGCCAGGAAAGCAAAGAGAACCCAAGAGGGTATCAGAACTCAAGGGAAAACAAGACTGGGGCGGAGGAAAGGTCCAAGCAAATAGTCATCAATAGATAGATCCAGAAAAAGATGGGAAAGGAAAAATTTAAATCTAGGAAATAATCTGACAATAATGCACAAGACTTTTTGGAGAAAATTTTAATTCCAATAATAGATATAAGCAAAGACTTGAATAAATGGAGTGATATGCTGATTGTGTGGAACAATTTAACATTTTAAGAATATCAGTTCTTCCCAAACTGAAGCTGTAGATCCAATGCAATTCAAGTAAAATGCCCACCCCAAGTTTTTAGGACTTTGAAAAACAATTTTAAAATTCATATGAAGAATAAATATCCACAGACAGCTAATTTTTTAAGTGTAGGCAAAAAGGAAATTTGCCTTGCTAGATATTAAGGCACATCACAAAGCCATGATTAAGAAAAGGGGAAAAAAGTCAAGTTGACCAGGAGAACAGAATACAGAACCCAGAATTAGACCCAGCTATAGAGGAGAACATGTTATATGATAGAGGGGGCATCACAAATCACTACAGAAGCAATAGATTAAGTAGTACATGGTGATGGGAAAATTGCCTCCATTCAGCCCCACCTCAGACAATTTAAAAAGAAACCCCAATGGATTAAATGCCCAAACGTTTAATATAACAGTTTATAGTGATAGGAAATAATATGCGTGAATATCTCTGTGACTTTTGAGTGGAGGCATTTCTAAAGAAAAACCCGAAAGTACAAACCATAAGGAGGAGAAAAAAATACGGATTTGTCTACAAAACAAAATTAAAGATTTATTCCAACAAATACTACAGACAAAGTCAACAGGTAAACTGGAAGAAGATGTTACTGACATCCCAAACCAAAGAATGTAGATCTAGGAAATCCTGCGAAACAGTAATAAAAAGGGAAAACAGGCAAAATATACAAGAGGAAACCTCTTAATGGCCAATAAGTGTATACAAAGATGCTAAACATTACTAGCAATCAGAGAAATACAAATTAAAACATCAATGAGAGATCACTTTAGAGAAAGTCGGATAAAATCAAGTATAACAAAGACACTGCTAGAGGGGTGGAAATAAATGCAGCCATCCTGCAGAGCAATCTAGGAGTCCCTAGAGAAATCAAGGATGCATTCTTGGCCCTGAGTATGTGCCCAAGAAAACACTGATGTGCAGATCATAAGAATACATGTAAAGCTGTCCATCATGGTGCGTGTGTGTGTGTGTGTGTGTGTGTGTGTATGTATGTATGTAAACAAGGACTGATGTTTGTTAATAAAGCAATGGTTTAGTTAAACATAAACAAATACAAGATGGGCCACTATTCAAGCCAGAAGCGGGAAAGGAGATTTACATATAGCAGCGTGGACGGGTCACCAAAGCATATTGATGATGGCCGTGGTACGTGAAGTGAGTAATTTACTCTATTCTCCTGAGGTCCAAATTAAATAAAATGTAAATACATAGAGCCAGTGGTCACAGAACTTCAGTGTCTCTGAAATGTTTATGTGCATGAGAATCATCTGAGGTATCTGTTAAAAGAACAAATTTGAGGGTCCCACACACAGAGATTCTGAACCTGCACTTTAAACATGCATCCCAGGTGATTCTCCTATAAGTGGACCACAGGCTGCACTTGGAGACACCTTCAACTAGGTAAAATCAAGCTACCAGGAGAGTGATCAGAAGTTAGTAGCAAGGGAAATGGCAGTAGAACATCTGCCCAGCACCGGCAGCAAGGAAATGACTCTGAAGCAGCTGGCCCTGTCAGCAGCAGCTGCCTCTCTCCCCTCCCTTTTTTTGTGAGCCAATCTTAGTGGGCCTGGCCTGAAGGGGTTTGGGTGATGGAAACTGACAACTGCCGTCTGGGGAGCGTGTCTGGAGAGACAGGAAGCCACTGGGGGGCTTTTTCTTCATGAGGATGCTGCTGTGCGTAGTGCCACCAGGGGTCCTAAGCTTGATGTGACCATCCAGACTCACAGTGGGCTTCTCCAGGTTGGGCTGTGGGTTGGGGGGAGGTGGGCTATGAAAAGAGTGAGAATGACATATGGGGGACATTGTCAGATGCCAATGCTTGAGTCTGTTCCGATGAGAGAAGCACTGCTGAGCCTTCTCCTGGCAGATCTGGTGGACTCTGGGTGCAGATGGTCCAGGAGTCGAGCCACAGAACCCCGTCATCCCTCCAGTGTCTTCATTGCTCTTGCCTCCTTTGGTCCCTGCCTCTGGCCTGTGCTTTAAGAGCTGGACTGTTCTGAGGCATATTGTGTACCATGTGGAGGGGATAGTGACTGCTATGATTGTAGGCAGATGGGATGTGGTCTTAAGCTTGCCTTTAGGGGTGTCTGATGGCATGCTCAGCCCTGCATCTCCAGCCAGAGACGTCTCCCTCCCTGTGAATGGATTACAGCCACCCCAGTCAAGAACGGACTCTGGACTCCTACTGTTATTTATCCAGGCACTGTTCCCCAACTGGCCCAGAGAACTAACGGAAGCCTGGATTCACTGTCCCCTTCCTAATGTGCAGAATGGCCTGGTTTCCTAAGGACAAGGAAGGTTTTTCAGATTTATACAAACAGACCGTGCATATTTGTGGGTATCCAGGTAACAAACCCAGTTTGAAACTCCTTTTGACAGCATAATTCATAACTCCAGACAGAAATGCTAACGTGAACACAGACACTCCAAAGGTGGAAAAGATTAAGAAATGGTCCCAAACATAGCTCTCTCTAGAAATCATCTGATTCTCTAACACACCTCATTTTGCAAATGTGAGTATTGTCATGTAAAGAGAAAAGAACCAAAGAGAAAAAGAAGACTGGCAGAGAATCCAGAGACACAAATATTTCAGGCTTATTAATAACCAGTAAAGCTTTCTTTCTTAGGAACTTCTTGAAGTCAGCTGTTTGATGCTGATGGTGTGTGATGTGTAAGCAAAGGTCTGTGAATCTGAGAATCCCCATGTGCGTCTACAGGACCGTTCTCCCTGCCCCTGTTTTAATGAGATCCAGGGCAGCTGCAGCTCCCATTGTGCTGAGTGGCCTGGGCAGGCTGACAGAGCTATTCTTCTCTCCTAGTAATGTGTTTGCTTAAGCATGAACATTAGTGTCAGAAGTGCTTAGTGCAAAGCAACCATTCAGGGGTGAAGCAGTCACTGCCAAGTCTATATGTCTGGGAATTCATTATGTCTATTCGTCTGGGGGTTAGGGTTAGGTAAACCTTGTATTTTCTAATGAAGTTGAAAAGGTAAAAAACAAAAACACTATTTATAAAATCATCTTTTTGGGGTGAGTCCAGCTGTGAAAACCCCAATGCCTTGTTCAGGCCATGGCTTCCTGAAAAACCGAACAATAGCTCTTGTTATGTGGGGCATATCCTCTTGCCCTCATCTGCCCTGTCTTCTGAAACGAGTGAAATGAAAGTTATTTTACACCCGACCTTGCACAAAGCTAATGTGCCTAATTAGCGGAAGATGTGCTTTTCGGATGGGAATCTGATTTTACTCAGTAGTGTCCTATCTTTCACGAGATGAGGACACATCATGGGCAGACTGTGTATTTTTTCTTGTCTTTCTCACAAGAGCAATGAATGTGATCTAAACTGATGACTCTCCTGTCTGTCTTGCCAGTATGGCCAAAGGCATTCATTTCCGAGGCAGCTGGCCAGGGCTGAGCCGCGGACAATTAACTGGGCCACAGGGCCCTGGGCTCACAACCTTCCTGCTGGATCCTGAACACAGGGCATTGGCATAACAATGAGCCACACTAAGACTTCCCTAGTAGGAAGCTGTCTGTTTTCATCTTTGTTGATCTTTTGGATAGATAATACCACGTGTCCTTCCCTCTGCTGTGTCTCCAGTACAGTGTTCCTGGAGTTAATGTGTATCACCAGCTTCCCCTGTAATGGTCCACCCACAGTGGTGTATAATGGGCAGGGAGGTGAGAGAGAGCAAGTGCAGGCAGTAATGGGGTGAGAATTTAAAGACAATAATAAAACTGACTCCAAGTCAGTCTGCTGCTTATTATCATCAAATGCTGACAATTTTTAAACAGTGTCACTGATAAAACACTCTTCCTTGCAAGCTCTAAACAATTACTAAAGTTGCTGTTGCCGCTGACATAGGTGGACCCCGTCACAGACATTCCTTTGCAAAGTAAGTTTGAGACAGGTGGGATTCATCCAAGCTCCCTTCAGCACATTTTTTATTTCCAGCCTGTGGGATGCTACACATTCCTGCATGTAAACAGTTTCGAAATAAGCAATAATAACATAGCAATGCTATGGCCTACGCTTTAACAGCTGGACTGTTGCTTCTTCTAGACGAAGAAACAAAATGTGAATTATTTCCATCCTATTTGACCATAAGGAGTTTTTAATTTGTATCTAAAATTTAAAACAATGAAACAGATTGCAAACTGCATGGTGTCACATTTTTGTTGGTTGTGTGTAAATTTTAAGTTCATATATGAAATATTTACTGAATTTGAATATCTTTAAAATTGAAATTTATTCTTTATAAAAATTGTTCATTGTTTAAAAACAGAAGTCCGTGAGAGTGAGTGCCTCTTTCCATTTTATGCCTTACCCTACTCCCAGCTGTGCCTACTACTTGGGAAGCAGGAACAGCTAGAGCACCTGCAGGTGACCTAAATGTGGCCCACCAGGCCACATGATGTTTAACGGATCCGATGTTTAATAGATCTCTTTGTTTTGTTTCTGTTTTTGTTTTGAGACAGAGTCTCACTCTGTTGCCCAGGCTGGGGTGTCGTGGTATGATCTTGGCTCACTGCAGCCTCCGTCTCCCAGGTTCAAGTGATTCATTCTCTCAGAGAGGGCTCCTATTGACAGAATTCCACCTGGAATTTTGAATCTGGAGTAGGTGACTCGAAGGTGCAAGGATATCTTGGAATCCTTTCTCCTGGGACTGGCGATGGTGCCAGGAGTGCTGTATGGTGTTCAGCAGCAGCGATGTTTAACCAGACCCTTCCTTTACTGTGATTTTGGCTGTTAGTTTGTAACCAAGCCACCCTGGTTTCTGTTTGTCAAGCCTGATTCTCTGGGCTTGACATTGATTATTTGGGCTCCCAGATATCCTTCTAGTGAATTTCTCTGCTGAAGTTAACCAGAGTCAGTGTCTGTCATTTGCGGCCAGTAACTCTTACTGGAATTCCTAATTCAGAGGAATACTTTGAGGATGAATTCTGAAACCCAAGATAATTGTGTACCACAGACAAACAAAAGCACTATAACATGTAGCACAGCAGCCTTACTGGAAATGTCAGCGATATCTTCTAACTTGTCAAAGCATATCTCATACTAACCTGTCATGACCACCCTGGCCAGATCTTAGTAGATCCAGCAAGACAAAAACCAGAGGATCTCTGTGTTTTGTTTTTGTTTTTGTTTTGAGACAGATTCTCACTCTGTTGCCCAGGCTGGGGTGTAGTGGTATGATCTCGGCTCACTGCAGCCTCCACCTCCCAGGTTCAAGTGATTCATTGTCCTGCCTCAGCCTCCCAAGTAGCTGGGACTACAGGGGTGCATCACCACGCCCAGCTAATTTTTGTATTTTTTTGGTAGAGACAGGGTTTCACTGTGTTGGCCAGGCTGGTCTCAAACTCCTGGCTTCAAGTGATCCGTGCTGGTCTCGAACTCCTGGCCTCAAGCAATCCCCCCACCTGAGCCTCCCAAAGTGCCGGGATTACAGGCGTGAGCCACTGCACCCAGTCTGATTGCATTCTTATTTCCACTGTAGCTCTAGCAAACATCTAGCTTTTATGTTAGGTTCTATAACTTGGAGCTAGCTTTTCAAAATCTCTAGACTGGGGCTTCCCCATATTTCTATTGGGATAATGACTTCATCATGGGAAGATCAAGTTTGTGTAAAGCACTGTATTATAGTGCCTGGCACATACTGCAGCACCTGGGCAATTTTTCCCTCACTTAGTCTTCAGTAAGCACCTACTCAGGACCCAGGACCATTTGAGGCACTGGAAAGCTACTCATATTTTTAGTGTATTTGCTGTGTCTTCCTTCTGCTGTTTTGCTAAGAGATGATTAGATGGTCTTTCTAAATACCAAGATGAATAGCCACAGGCACTAACTTCTTCAGCCTATCTCCTATCTGCTCTTCCCTCCCACCCCCTCCACACACACACACTTACTCACACGCTCACAAACACATGCCCAACCTAATTCAGGGACTCACATACAGCTTAGGAAAGGCAGCTTCATCATCAGTCCCACCAAACATCTCCTGCTTCTGCAAAGCTGCTTCTACCATTCTGACATGTGTAAGTCTATTCATTGTATTGTATGTCCTCATAGCAGCATATATGTTTCCTTTACTGTGCTTACAATTAGGTAATTATACATGTAATCACTATGCAATTACTGCTGACTTTCCCCCAGTCTCTGTCAGGACCGTCCATACTGTCTCTCTCACTTTTGTACCCATAGCACTTGGTATAATGCCTGGTACTCAAAATACATTCTTTGAATAATTGGAAAACAGCTCTTGAAACCCCACACCATTTATGGGATCTTCTGGGATTTAGGCATCTCATATTCCCACCATTATGCAAACTGTCTCTACTCCAAACTCTAAAAATGTCATAAGATTTGCCCCTTACTGTTTCAAGACAGTAAACATACACTGCATGTGGTTAATAAATTTAATTCAGATATCAATTTGAGGTCCATAGGGATGGCCTAGATAAGTGGGCAACCCAACTAGATTACTGTTTTGACGCTTCATTCAACAGACATTTGTTTAAATATTTTTTAAAATTTTTCTTAGAGGCGAGGCAAAGGGCTTCATGGGGATAAACTGACCATTGTAGTAGAGGTTTGCCTCTCCTTGGTTGTCCCTTGCAGTTCAGCTCTGGTCCCAAACTGGAACAGTCCAACGAAGAAAAAGCTCCTATAGTTAATTGGATTCACCACTTTTAGAGGGGAGTTTAGAAACCCTTTTTTTTTTTTTTAGATAGAGTCTTACTTTGTTGCCCAGGCTGGAGTGTAGTGGCACAATCTCGGCTCACTACAACCTCCACCTCCTGGGTTCAAGCAATTCTCCTGCCTCAGCCTCCCAAGTGACTGGGATTACAGGAGTATGCCACCACACCCGGCTAATTTTTGTATTTTTAGCACAGACAGGGTTTCACCATGTTGGTCAGGCTGGTCTCGAACTCCTGACCTCTGGTGATCCGCCCGCCTTGGCCTCCCAGAGTGCTGGGAATACAGGCATGAGCCACCACACCCAGTCAGAAACTTTTTTTTTTTTTTAAGTATTCTCTTTGGAAGTCTTGTTGCCCCAGCCCAAGGAATTTGCTAAATTATCCTTATAATCACAAACAGTACTCTCTCTGAGAGGGCTCCTGTTGAACTCAGTTTTCTCTATCTTCTTATATTTTCAGAGATGTTTCAAGACCCATTTTAGACTGATACCTCATTACATCCCCATCTGGCTCACTCTTTAATTTGGCTCTGGGTTCCCTATACCAACTGTTTGGGGTTTATAATAAAGAATGTACATGTTAATTAAATATGTTCATGCCACTTCCAGAAGTCTCAATCCTGGAAAGAAAAAAAATGCAAAATAAGAAAAAACATCTCTATGCTTTAAGACGTTTTTTGCAGTATCTTGACGGAGAGCAGTGAGAACTTATTGAATCATTAAGTGTTCTGCCAGATAATATATTAAAAAAAGATTTACTGCAAAGAATTGGCTTATGTGATTGTGGGAGATGGCTAGGTAAGCCCAAAATTCATAGAGCAGATCATCAGGAAGGACAGGCTGGAAGCTCAGGTTAGATCTGAGGCTATAGTCAAAGGCAGAATTTCTTCTCCTTCAAGTAAACCTCAGTTCTGCTCTTAAGGCCTTTCAACTGATTAGATCAAACCCACCCATATTATCAAGGATAATCTCTTTTACATAAAGTTAACTGATTGTAGGCATTAATCACAACTATAAAATACCTTCACAGCAACATCTAGATTAGTGTTTGATTGAACAACTGGGTGCTATTTAGGCTAACCAAATTAGTGCATAAAACTGTTATTTTTCCTGTTTTAAAAGCAATTATAGGAAAGTAGACAGAATTTTAAAAATACCTATAATTCTATCACTTAAGACAATTTGCTGTGTTTTAATTTGTGCCTTCCAGGGTTTTTTTTTTTCCCCTAGCAATTTATTTATAACAGCAGGAAAAATGGAAATAAACAAAATGTTTAGCAATGGAGAAATAGTTATGGGAATTATGGTATATGCACATGAGGTGAAATTATGCAGCCTTTAAAACTTATAATTATGAAAACTGGATCAACCTGAAAAAATGCTTCAAGTGAAAAAAGTACAGTACAAAATCCTATCTCTAATAGTTATGATTATAGCTATGTAAAAACAGCATATCGTGGGACCATGCAATAGAAGGAAACATTAAAAATAGCGCAGCATCAGTGCCCCCCACCACATCTCCAGCACTTATCGTTGTTTGTGCCCTGAGTTAACAGCTCAGGCTGCTGCCAGCCCCCATGACCCTGCCTGAGGGCTTTCTCTGTCCTCTATGGCCCATTCTGCCCAAGCATGGACAAAATAAAATGGCCGGAGAATGCCTCTTCCCCTGGGAGCAACCCTCACCCAATGACGGATGGGAATTTCTGGGTATATACCTGGCCCCTTAGGTAAGGTGTCCTGGAGGTGGGTGTTTCATCCTGGTTCCATGAACCCCAGCGAGACTGGACTCCAGCTGCCTGCAGTGGCAACCTGCTCAACTTCCTCTATCTTGGCTTCCTTTCTGTCCCTGTCTCACTTTCCCACTCCCCTTCCAGCATTTTCTTCATAAACTATTTGCCTTGTCTTGGTTTGGTTCTGGGCCACATAATCTCCACAGAGGTGATATAGCCGCCAAGGGGCTGAAGTTGGTTACATAGGGCAGGGGTTCCCAACCCTCAGGCCAAGGAGCAGTACAGTCCGTGGCCTGTTAGGGACTGGGCCGCACAGCTGGAGGTGAGCGGCAGGCGAGCAAGCATTACCTCCTGAGCTCCGCCCTGTCAGATCCACAGCGGCATTCGATTCTCATAGGAGGGCGAAACCTACTGTGAATCGCGCATGAGAGGGATTTAGGTTGCACGCTCCTTATAAGAATCTAACTGATGCCTGATGATCTGATGTAGACAGTTTCATGCCGAAACCATCCCCCCATGGTCTATGGAAAAATTGTCTTCCATGAAACCACTCCCTGGTGCTAAAAAGATTGGGGACCGCTTACATAGGCGACAAAACAATATTGCTCTTTTAATGTATAAAGCACAGATATGCATACATTATACAAATTCACAGTATATCTGAGGGATTAAAAATTCACGGGGGGTCCATTTAGGAAAAAATATCTACCAAGGGTCCTTAGGAGGGGAAATAATGCTTTTTTAAAAAACTGTTGAAAAACACCGTGAACCCGAAGGAACCCAAAGTAAGACAAATACAAGCAGTTTCTCTGTTAGGATGACTGATCAAATAGGAACTTCGACCTCTAGTTTTTTACCTCAGTTATTTGGTATGTACAAGTATAATAAAATAATAATTTAAAAAACAGATATGGACCCAGCCCCTAAGATGCTTCTGGCCCCGAGACAAACACCTATCATCAATGTGTTGATTGTGGAGTCCCCCACGACTTCATTGCCGCTACCAGAGTCACCTACACACTTCTCCCCACCTCACCACTGACTCCCCACCATCATTTCACTTTCCTTTCCTGATAGCCTAAGTAGAATCATTTTGGATTAAGAGCTAGAATCAGGGTTCCTTCATTTCTTTTTTCAGCGAGAAAAAAAAAAATCAGAAAACTCTAAGCCTACATAGAACTCCACTGTTAAAATCCGTAAAGGGTACACGGGAACTCAGTTATTATGAGAGTGAATTAGCTGGAAAAGGGCGGCCAGGTGCTGTGGGGAGTGGAGAGTGTGAGAATGAAGCATCGGTCAGGAAATGCTTCCCAGCATGTAGGCAAGGAAGAGATCTCCTGCACAGGCTGGAGGGAGGACATCCAGGATCCGCTTGTACTTTCACATCAAGGGCAGGAGGTTAGAGCAGGCCACAGGTGAAACTTCGAGGCCAGGCTCTATTTAGCCTGGAGTCCAGAGTATTATGGTGGGATATGGGAGTGCTCAGAGTGTCATATGTAGAAATGACCCTCTCTGCAGAAAGCCGAATATTGTGAAGAGCAAGGGGAATGTTGAGAAACCAGTAAGGTGGTTACAACTAGCCATGGGTATCCGGCTGCCCAAACAAAGAGATCAAGTCCGTTCTGCATCATTGTTCACTGACCCAGTGCCCCACATTCTTGAAACTGGCCCAAGAAAGATTTTTTTTATGGTATTTATAAAAATGCTAGTCAAAGTGCTCTGTTATCATAGCTCATTTTAAAATACAGCACAAGACTGATAAACGCCATTGTTCCAACTTGGCTCCCAGGCAAGAAGGAGGCCCAGGGCTCTGACTTCGGCCAGCCTGGGCTCCAGGAGCCTGGCTGGGTGGAGGGAGGGCAGGGCTGACTGGGAGAGAAGGTAACTGGAGATGGAATTGTAAGATCCATGGGCTGTTTGCAGAAAGGCAGATTCTCACGTGTGGATGGTGTAGGTAGGAGCAAACTAGAAAGATTCTCAAAGTCTCTTTCTTAGCCCTCTGATTCAGTGAGCTTCATTATCTTATTTAAGTGCCCAAGAGACTTTCTCCTTGTAAGCTAGCCGTTGGAGAAGCTTCTAAAGTTTGGATAGCACACAAGGTAAAATTCCACTCCTGCACAAAGGGCCTCATTTGTGGAGAGTGAGTCACGATGATTTCCAGCATGTCTAGCAAATGCTTATGGATGTTAAGGGTCTAAACTGCCTCCTGCCCACAGATGAAACTGAGGAGCTCATTTGAAGATATAACAGTTTTAAGAATAAAAATACCTTAGCTTTACTGAGAGCTTACTAAGTGCCACTTTATGATAATTATTTTATTATTGTAACAACTCTTTGAGGTTATTGCGTGGTTATTGGTGCCTATTTTACAGATGGGAAGACTGATGCTCAGCTCAAGTAATTGGCCTTCAGGGTCACATAGCTGGAAGATGGAGTAGTTTGGAGTAGTTAGGTTAAGTCCAGGGACTATTCACTGCACTTCCTCTCAAAGTGGCAGAACAATTGTTTTATTGGAAGTGTTAATCACTGATTACTTTTAAAGATGGATGGGTAAAGATAACAAGAGAGACCTTTGACTGCAGAGATTCCCTCAGCTTGTACTTGAGATGGGAGAGTTAAAGACCAATATATAACAGTGGTAGGCCCTTTAGTGTATTTATCTGTGAACACCACAGTACCCTTTGGCTTAGCAATGGTCCCCTAACTCCCTGAATTTCCTCCTAGAGAGTGCCAAGTGCATGAAGAAAGTAGGTAGACCTCTGTGATTTTCCTGCATCCTGTAAAATGTCCTCAGGTTACCTTCAAGTATGTGGTTTATAGAGGGTTGTAGCATCATAAAAAGAGCTCCCTCCTCTTGCCACACATTTTTCAATCTACCTATCTGTGGTTTCAAATCTCAAATGTCTCATCAACTCCTGCCACCTCAGCTACCTGAGCAACTTCAATCTCTCTCGCTCTGTTTGTCTCCAAGATGGCTGCCATTAATTCCCTCCCTCCCTATGGCTTCATGTCATCCCTCATCAAGCGACAGAGTCTATTCCTTCACTCCTTTTGAATCCATCAGTGCAGGCCTTAATGACTTGCATGACCAAAAGAAAGCCATGGAAGTGATATTCTGTGGCTTTCAAATTTAGGTCAAAAAAACCTTGCCGCTTCCACCTAGGTCTCTTGGAAGTGAGTTGTCATGGAATGAGTGTGATTATCCTGAGACTGTCATTCTGTAAGAAGCCTGGGAGGGGAGAGAGATGCCAAGGAGCACCAAGGCACCCCATGTGCAGGTGAAGCAGCCATTGGGAAAGCAGACCCTCCAGTCTCAACCCCTGCTGCTGACACCACATGGATCAAAGCCAAACCACCCAGCTAAGCCCTTTTTCAATTCCTGACCCACAAAATCATGGGGCAAAATAAAATGTTTTCTTTGAAGCCATCCAGTTTGGGGATAGTTTTTGTTTTGTTGTTTTGCTTTTGAGACGGAGTCTTACTCTGTCGCCCAAGCTGGAGTGCAGTGGCACCATCTCGGCTCACTGCAACCTCTGCCTCCTAGGTTCAAGCGATTCTCGTGCCTCAGCCTCGCTAGTAGCTAGGATTACAGGAGCATTTCACCACACCTGGCTAATTTTTATATTTTTAGTAAAGACAGGGTCTCACCATGTTGGCCAGGCTGGTCTTGAACTCCTGACCTCAAGTGATCCACCTGCCTCGGCCTCCCAAAGTGCTTGGACTACAGGCGTGAGCCACCACACCTGGCTGGGGTAGTTTTTTATGTAACAATAGTTAAACTGAAAGAAGCATTTAAACATCCTGAAGTCTCTCTCAGGTTAAGAAACAATAACAAAACAAAAACACTACATCCTTCTCTAGTTACCACCCAGTCTCTTTCCTCTTGTCAAATCTAAACTTCTTGAGTGGTCTCCGACAGAGTCCTATACCTTCACATCTCCCATTCACTCCCTCATTCACTTTAATCAGCCTTCTAGCCTCTTCTGAAACTGCAAACCATCCGAACAGGCTTGCTATTGTGAACACCCTTTTGTACTTACCTTACTTGGCCTCCTTGTACTTTCTGACCTTTGTCTTCTTCCTCTTGGAAGCGCTCCTATCCCTGGGGCTTCTTCTTTCCCACTGATCCTTCCTTATCGTCCTCCTTCTTATTAGTTTCCTGGCATCTTAAAAGAACTGGGTTCCCTAGGGTTCTGCCTTCAACTCTCTTCTCATGCTACATTCTCTTCCTTATTGGAACACGTGCCTTACAGATGATATTGCATTTATTAAATCCACCAGAGGGAATGAGAAGGTAAGAGTTAAATTAAATTGCAATATTTTAAAAATGGGGCTATGCCAATAGTCAAGAGGTGGAAGCAACCCAAAAGTCCATCATCAGATGAATGGAAAAAAAAGTGGTGTACACAGACAATGAAATATTATTCAGCCTTAAAAAGAAAGGAAATCCTGTCACATGCTACAGCATGGATGAACCTTGAGGAAATTATGTGAAGTGAAATAAGCCAGTCACGAAAAAGACAAATACTGGATAATTCCACTTATAAGAAGTATCAAAAGTAGACAAATCCATTAAAACAAAAAGTAGAATGGTGGTTGCCAGGGGATGGGGGAAGGGGAAAAGGAGCGTTGTTATTTAACGAGGATAGAGTTTCAGTTTTGCAAGATGAAAATGTTTTGGAGATTTGGTTCACAACAACATGAATTTACCTAACACTATGGAAAATGGTTAAGATGGTAAATTTTATGTGTTTTTTACTACAACAAACAATGCAGAAAAGATAACTCTAGAAGAAATTAACCGGTTGTATTTTTTACATAGTTTAAAACAGTCTTTGTTTTTAAAATGTCAATAAATACCCAGTTATCCAAAATAAGGATAAAATTATGTTCCACCAAGGGATAGCCCTAAACCTTGGATGAAACAGTATTTGATATAATCCTGGCATGTCCTCATTTGAAGAGGATAACGTCCTTGTTTACCTACTCCATGGAGTTCTTAGAGTCATACAGCTTGAGAGACTTAAAGATGACCTACTTCCAGTCTATTGTGTCTCACCGGAGTCCGCCATAGTTAACGGAGTTCAAATGTTAGACCATGAGAGTGATGACAGCTGAGTCCTGCTGATTTCTTTGTCCTCATAATTCATCCACCAATGTTTCCTTTTTCTGCACCATATTATCTTTGCTGAAGGAGTGGATAGTGGAAAAAACAAAGGAGCAGAAGAAAGACCCCAGAAAATGATAAAAGCAAATGAAGTTTTGAGGCTTCTAGAAGGAAGTTCTCTCAAAAATATATTGCTACTTTCTGAAAATACAATAGAATATTATACGGTTGTGAAATTTTTACAACCAGCTGACATCTCTTACACTAAATTCATGTGATCATTGTTTCGTGTATTTACTTTTAAGAATAGCACGACATGAAACGGGAGTGTTTTCTGAAAAATCCTGCTTTTTGTAGATCCGTTTAGAAGACGACCAGACACTCAAAAGATCTAAAATAGTTCTCACCAGAACCTTTTGATATCATAACCCAAGACTTAGGTAATACAAGCAGAACGAAGCAGAATGGGATGTGTGGAGAAAGAGAGCATTACACAATGGGAGACACGTTTATCGGGTGCAGCAGAGCACTGTAGGAAGCTATGGAATTTTACTCCAAAAGTTTCAACACTGCCGTTCTGGATCCATCACCTTTTAAGCAGTATGGGATTACATCAATTTAACAAAGATGTAGTTTGTGGCAATTACAGACTAATGATCTCAAAGTATTTGTAGCTGCCCGGAAGAAATGTTGCAAATAACTAAAATTGTGAAGCAAAGGTCAAGAACAGCATCTAGGGAGGCCTGTGGATAGCTCTGGTTAGCTACAAGATTGCTGCTAAGCTCTCTGCCCCTTTCTCGGGTTAGATAGGATATATCCCTGGTTCAACAGCAGCATTTTTCTCTGCTCTGCAAGGAGAAGCTTAGGTATGAACAATACATCCCAGGTTTGATTGCTGAAGGGTGGAAGACAAGACAATGTATGTAGATTTTCCTGCCAATGCTGGGACTCACACTTCCTTTCTCATTTTTCTCATTAAGGTTAGAAATGAGTCATTTGTACTTAGTTAAAGAAGAGAAGGGTACTTTGCCAATATAGCCATGCAGCTATTCTGAATCTGAAACTGTTCCCAGACATAAGGTTTATGAGTGCTAAGACATCTGAGCTGTTCTCCCTCCCACTTAGCCAAGCCCCTGGTTCTGCCTCACTTCCAGGAACCCTCTCCTGGTGCATGCATGTCAGATAAAAGTCTGAAAGTGATGAGTTACATTACCACCATTTCTCAATACTTTGAAGAAAAAAATATCTAAAAGATTTCACAGTGGTTGGTCACTTTTCATATTATTATGAACTGAAATGCAACTTTGCACACACAATATTTTTGAAGATATATATTTAATAGTAACCATATTGAACATCTGCTATGTAATAAGTACTAACTGCTTCATATACATTTTAAAATTGAATCTGAACATTAAAGAAAGCATTTATAGTTAGGAAAACCAAAGACAAAGGTTTCAAGGAGCTTGTCTAAATTCACACAGCAAGTAAGGGGTGTGTTTCTTTAAAATCTCTGTGTGTGTGTGTGTGTGTGTGTGTGTGTATACACACACACACCCTATTGGTTCTGTTTCTCTGGAGAACCCTAATATACCCCCATATCCTGCAAGTTATAAAACATATCTGAAAAACATAGGCCAATACAAGAATATTCTAAATATTGGAAATCCTCAAAACCACTGGTTTGGGGCTTATTAAAAATAGAAACTATGGGTTCCACCTAAGACTTACTGAATTAGACTCTCCAGGAATAGAACCAGAGCAGGTATATTTTTATTAAAGCTTCATGCTGATTGGGACACCAATTCTTGATTTAAAATATAACTATATTATAAGACACTAGAAACGTTGCACGTTAGTCAGGATAGGCGAGGATTTGTGGTGGTAACAAATGACTCTGAAATCTCAGTGTTCGTGATGTGTGCCCAGTGCTGGTTGGGGCTGGCTGGGCGAGGGGTCTTCTCATGATAGTCGTCTTCATTCTGTGTATTAGTCAGGATTAGTCAGGTAGGAAACAAATGACATACTCAAGTAATTTAGGAGAGCTTAGTAAAGGTACTCTTTGTAAAGGTGAGGGTGAGGTTCAGGGAAGTCAACAAAAATGGCACAGCACCCAGACCCAGCAACGGCAGTGACCAGAACCTAAAGAGAGTAGATGTCACCTAACAGGAGATGGAGATCTTTGGTACGGGAATGCAGCCAGCCCATGGAGACCTGAAAGGGTGGGAGCAAGAGAATCAATATCTCAACATCGCTCTCCTCTGCCCTCTGATATCTGACCAGTACCCCTCATCAGTTGAACCCAAACAAAAGCCAGAGGACAAGGGAACTTGTTGACATTGTCCATGAAAGGCAGCCCCTCTGGCCACAAAGCATCATGAAAAATGTGCAAAATATCAAGTAGTGCACTCTGGAACTCAGTCTGGCACCATCTGGAACATTGCCCATCAACATGGCAGAAGGAAAGAGAATGAGGCAAAAATCTAAATTGGCTTTTAAAACTTCTGCCCAGAAGTGATGAGATCACCTATGCTTATAATTCATTGACTATGCAAATCACATGATCAAGTCTGCCTAGAAAGGGTGGAGGAAAATAATGCTCCTCCAGGGAGTGAAAGTGAATATTGGTGACAGTAACCAATTTATTATACAGGGGAGTCTATGTAGATGTCTGAGAGCCAGGAGAGAGGAAAGTTGGGTTTTTTTTTTTAACTGTCTTTTCTTATCTTTTGAACTTTGCAATGTATGAGTATATTACCTACTCAAAACAATAAATAATAGTAAGAATAATAAGATGAAACTACTGTGGTACACAGTATATTGGATAGGATATTATCCACATTTGTCTTTGGACTGGCTGTGTAGCATCTGAACCACTCACGTTATAAGGAAGAGTTGAACCTCCCACTGTGGGAAATTGAATATGCCAGAAACTCACTTTTCCTGCCTCCTTTGCTGCTACCATATGACCAAGTTTCTGCCAATCAGATGCCCTTGCCCCAGACTTTAAATTGGAAACTAGAGATCCAAGAGGGGACTAAACCAAATCCTTTCTGGTAATGGAGTAGCTACGTCCAATTTTCAGAGTCAGTAGGGAGAGCAGCCATGCCCAGGGGCCAACACTGGCCATGCTGGGAATGCCATCTGCAATGGCCATCATGCAGCAGCAGCAGCAGCAGTGGGTGCTCATAGAACTAGTTCCATGGCATGATTTCAGCACTGTGTGGCTGCGTATCCTCTCAACCTGATTCCTATCCCTTCCAGAGAGTGTAGGAACTATCCAATATCCTTTCATTAAATTCCATTTCCTGCCTAAATTAGCCAGAGTTTGATATCTGTTGCTTACAGCTAAGAACCCTGATAAGTTTTTGTCCTGTTATCGAAAGAAAGTATAAGTATAGGGCCGGGTGCAGTGGCTCACGCCAGTAATCCCAGGGCTTTTGGAGGCCAAGGCGGGCAGATCACTTGAGGTCAGGGGTTTGAGACTAGCCTGGGCAACATGCTGAAACTCCGTCTCTACTAAAAATACAAAAAAATTAGCTGGGCGTGGTGGTGGGAGCCTGTAGTCCCAGCTACTTAGGAGGCTGAGGCAAGAGAATCACTTGAACCCAGGAGGCGGTGGTTGCAGTAAGCCAAGATTGCACCATTGCACTCCAGCCTGGGCAACAACAGCAAAACTCCATCTCAAAAAAAAAAAAAAAAAAAAAAAAAAAAAAAACAGGAAAAGAAAAGAAAGTATAAATATAGGAACTAGATGAAACACTCTTTAACTTTCCATTAAAAAAAAAAGAAATTCAAGGGATTGGATAAATAGGCAAATTGCAGTTTAAGTTCCTTTAGCAATTCCACACATACAAAGCATTTCTGAGCTTGCTGCTGGTGACTGCCTAGAACAAGAGCTACAGGTCTTTTTATGCCTGAAAATTAAAAAGAGCTTGGCAATGATTTAGATTTTAAGATTTTCCTAGGATTTTCTCTTAATTAAATATGATATTGTAAAAGTGAGGCCACCAGGTAGAGTAGAGCAAAGGCTGCAGATTCTGGTTTGGGGCTGTATCTGACAGAGATTACCAGACCTCTCCTGTTTTCTCATATTAATCAGAGGACTGCTTAAATCCTTCATCTCTGATACTCTGTGCTTCTAAGTTGGTAAAACCCAGAGTGAATTTTGTTCCAAATTGGTTAAAGCAATTAAAAAAGGCGCCAGCCAGATACAGACTGGATTACCCTGTATTTAACTTCCCTGTACTTAAGACTCTTTCTCTAAAATGCATCTTTAAAGATAGTGCCATACAACCAGGAAAAGAGATAATCAGTTGTCCTCTGTGTACTCTGATCAGTAAATTTATGTACAAGACACAACCTTTCTCCTACTGCTTTACATTTTCTTAACCTCAAAAGTTAGGACTCCGATGACCACAGCTGCGTAAGAGACAACTCATCAACTAACAAAAAAGCTTACTGATGAGGTGTGTTCTTGAGTTTACTGATATGAAGAGGAGGCTATCTACCACTCTACTCAGTGATGGGCAGACAGAGGAAAAGATGCATTTTGAGGCTCATAGAGGCACACACAAACTGTTCTTTTTTTTTTTTTTTTTTTTTGAGACAGAGCCTTACCAAATCGCCCAGGCTGGAGTGCAGTGACATGATCTCAGCTCACTGGAACCTCTGCCTCGTGGGCTCAGGTGATCCTCCCACCTCAACCTTGTGAGTGTGAGTAGATGGGACTATAGGTGTACACCACCACGCCCAGCTAATTTTTTTTTTTTTTTTTTTTTTTTTGGTAGAGACGGGGTTTTACCATGTTGCCTAGACGGGTCTCGAACTGAAGCGATCTGTTCACCTGTAATCCCACCTTGGCTCCCCAAAGTGTGGGATTACAGGCATGAGCCACTGCACCCAGCCCACAGACTATTCTTAAGTGCCAAAGAAAAATATACAGTGCATGCCTTTAATAGAAAATCTATTCTCTTATTCAATTGGATGTATCACCTTACTTTCCACCTTATCCTTATTTTGAAAATAAAATCCATAATCTCGCCATCAAAAATCCTGGAAGGAGTTCAAAATTGAATCTCTTCTGAGCTAATTTAATTTAGGTTCTTTGTAGAAACCTTTTAATCACATTTCTCCCCTAGTTGTATACAGCTGTAGAATAGTAAGGCTCTATTCAGAGTTCAGAACAGCCTCTCTTTCTTGTTGCTGACTCAGACTTCTAAAAATTACATTCTGTGGCTGAGACTAGCAATGAAAAGAAATTCAAATTTGGAAAAATTTGGAGAAAATCTTCCTCCTTGCCAAAGGGAGCAGTTTGTCTTCTATCTTCCAACTTCTTCGTTCTTGGTTTTTCTTTCCCTGAACCCTTAAATAACTTTTGCCATCTCTCCATTCATAAAAATCTGTTTTCAGCAAAGGGTTAATAAGCATACTCCCATTTAGTCGAGGAATAGCCTACAGCCTACTACTATGCAGTCTTCAACCTACTATAATCTGGTTTCAGTGCCACTTCCTAACTCAGCCCCCATTAAAACTTCTCTCACTGAGGCCACCCGTAAGCTCCTAATTGCCAAATCCAGTGGACACTCCCCAGTCCTATACTAACTGGGCTCCTGTAGGAGAGACACATTGCTAACAGGCCTCCATTTTATTTGCCCAGCCCTCAGGGATGAGTCATGATTGAGCTCAGGCAGTCATGGCAACCCCCTTCATTTTGTCAGTCATTGATCTAGGAAGGGCAAGGACCCTTGGTCAATGAGACATAAGGGGAAATCTGATGCCATCCCCTGGAAAATATTTTCTTCCTTGAAAAAGAATGAGGCACACAAGGAGAAAGACTTATTGTCTCTACTCCCCTTGATTTCTGTTTGGCAAGTTCTCACATGCAAACTTTTTGCTTGTAATGTCCAGCCTATGACCCTGAAGGTGAAATTTTTTACACGCTGAAGGTGGGCAGAGAAGACGAATGGAAAAAGTCTGGATTCTCCATGACATTGCTGGGTCACAGAGCCCAGAAAGAGACCACCTACCTCAGACTACTTGATAAGTCATTCATAATGACTGAAGCCACTTCTATTCTGTTACTTGCAGCCAAATGTATCCTGATTAGTATGATCTGTCTGTGTAGCATGTGATATTGTATACCACTGCTTCATTAAAATCTCTGACTCTAATCTCTGTGTGCTCTATGTACTCTTCCTTAATATGACCCTCAAATATGGGTGCTTCCTAAAAGACTAGCTTTCCAATCTCTTCTCTGCTTGCCCCCCATAGTTTCTGAGAGGGCTCTTCCTGGCCCACTGCTTTAGTTACCACTCATATTCACATCTCTCCGACTTCTCTCCCACGCTTTTTCTCAAGATATGTGAGATAAAACTCAACATTTTCCTTTGTGAACATGCCCCTCTGCCTGTATGCCTCATCTTATTCGATGCTAACTTCTCTACCCAGTCACCGAAGACAAAAATGCAGGCATCATAATAATCTTTCTTCTTTAATTATTCATACCCTCTCCTAGTCTTTATCATAGTGAATTGATTAAATAGTCATGCTCATTTCCTACTAAATATTTTTTGGCATCTCTCCATCCTCTCTCCTCTCACTCATTAGTTTACACTTTTTCACCTTCTGCTAAAACCATTGCAAGGCCTTCTTAACTGACTCACTTTCCAGTTTTGCCTCCTTCATCCAATCCCTTGCATTGCCTCAGGATGATTTTCTGCAGGCCAAATATTAGAGGGTCTCTCCTCTACTTAACCTGTCATTGATTCCTTAGAATGACATTCAAGTCCCTTCCTCATTCCACTTTAGAGTCTCCTTCTAGCTTCATATCCTCTGGGGCCAAGTGAGGAAGGGTCTATTTTTCCTGCAGTCTCCTTTCTACACTGTCTCTACTTCATCTACCTGGTGCACTCCCATTTATCTTTGGTTTAGGCATTATGTCAGCTGTGAAGGGTCTTTCTTTATTCTCATCACCCTCCTTACCATTCTCCATCCATCGTGAAAGAGTTAGATAGTTCCCCCGTAGGATCTTGTGCATGCCTCTACCATGGCATGTATCAGCCAATTCTGGAATCCTTGACTACATTGTCCAATCTCCATTAGACTCTGATCACCTTGAGGACAAAGACTGTCTTGTTCGTGTTTTTACTCCAAGTCTAACAGATAGTAGCAATAAACGTTTCAAGAAGAAAGAATTAAGTGAATGAATAAATGATGTTTTAATTCTCAGGGCATTTACATTTTACAAAAATAAAACAACGAAACCACTAAGCCATAAAAAGGAATTTCTAATTATTTGATGTCCCACCTCAGGGCCCAGTGAGGAGGCACCTTCCAGATGCTGTGGTGAATCACGCTGCATGGACAGCTATTAGTCCACAGTAAAATCCACTGTCTTGCCTGTTGGGCAAATTTTCTTTCAGAAAATTTCAGAAATTTTGGCATTTCAACAAGGCATTTCAAAGTCTATAAGTTGTCCAAAATTAATTATAGCCTTTAGTGAGCATACTGTAATGTTTTTCATGTAGTTATGATTCTTTTAAGGAACTTGTGTAAAAAGCATAGTTTTTCTTAAGACATGAATTCAGAAATTTTATGGAATGCATCTGCAATATGTATAGACATGAGGGATAGTTTTAGTCATGCTGTGCCCCCGATATCCAGTTATAAGTTGCTAGCCATCATTGTTAGGCTCAGTGTACACACTGTGTTTAACATAATGTGAGCAGATCCAGTCATTTTAAAAACATGGTAATCATTGACTGAGGTAGATGTTGCACTCACTCTTCTGCATTTGCTTAATTCAGATCTAGTCTGTACCCTGTTCTGTGCCCCAAGAGGTTGACCTTTATGGACTGCATCAGTTAGGCTGCCCATCTCTTGGGTTTCTGATTGGGATTGAGCTGTGAGCACCACCAGCAAAAGATTAGAAGAAAGGAAGAGAGAGAGGTTGTTTCTTCCTTGCCAGGTCAGATTTGACAATGGCTGTGTTCCTCAACCAAATGCCACAGCTCCTGTTGGGTGAACTTCTCCAGGTTGCTGTAACCTCTCCATCCTCTTGCCTCTTAGGCCTGGAGGTCATAGAGGTGGTAACAGTCTCTGCTGCTGCTAGCATAGGAGGGTTTCACTATCCTCTCTTGGTTTCCCTCAACTCTACCCTTACACTTGTATATATTCTCTTCATTAACCTTTCTCTAATCATGCACTTTGAGTGCCACCTGTTTCCTGCTGTGACCCTGGCAAATACACATGCTCAGGATGCTTAGGGAGATGACGAAAAGCATTAATCTATTTACTCCATCGCCCACAACTTTTACCTTTGTTTGCTCAAACCTCATCCACCATGGGCACAAAAGTTCCCAATTATAGCAACACAACAATATTTTGGGGTGGTCATCTGCAGAATTTTGGTTCTCTCTCTCTCTCTAATTCTAATATAATGGTTCTCAACTGCCTAAGAGGAGGGCAGTCACATGCTTTGGAACTGGTTAAAGCTGGATGAAAGGGCCCCTGGGGCAGCTGCCAATCAATAAGGTGCATTGATACATCACTGGGCTAGAGCAGACATGGCAGAAAATGCAACAAGACAGAGAAAACAGTATTACCTAGAAATCTTCGCAGGAGGAACACTGTATGTGTTAGTAGAAGAATTTCGATGAGTCATTTGGAGTAGGATGGAGAGAGGAAAAAGAGGATGAGAGACACCCTCCCTCTCCAAAAGCCATGCTGTGGTAATAACAGGTGGTTTGATAGACTGGTTTCTAAGGAGAACGGGTTGCCTTAACTTGGAAGATTATGCTTGGGCTAAATGTGTTTTCTTGGGTCAGAGCTGGAGTGAAATTTTTCTTGAAGGAAAAGGTAGAAAGTTTGAAATGGCCTCATTGACTCTCTTTTGTAATCATTTCCCCATGCAGCTTGCCTAACCCCTGAATTTCTGCCCATCATTTGCTAAACAAAATGATGTCTGTGTCACTTGGCTTCTGGGCTTTTGGTATATGTATCCCACATCAGGGCAATAGGGCTCTGCTTCTTTGTGAAGGCTTGGGAAGAGCCTTAGACAACATTGTGGGGTATATTTGACAATAAAAGCCAGTTGCTGCAGATCCCAGTGCACTCCCTACACTCAGACCGCATCAGATGCCTTTCTCCCGCATTCTAATGCAAAAATGACCAAAATAGTCTTCCTCTAAACATTGGGTACCACTGGGGGATTAAGATGTTTTACCACTAAAATTGAATAATGTTAACCTTACCTAATTCACACACACATAAACTTACCCCATGTCTGATACAGACTCCAGGGGTTGGGGTCAGTGATGGGAGATGTTTGGTTATGGGATTAGATAGCAGGTGGCAGGGGAGGGGAGGGGTCTGGGGATGGATGTAAGAATCAGGGATGTTTGGTAGCAAACAGTGGTTTTACAGGTTAATACAATTGTTTAAACATGACTGAGTGAAATGGCACTCTCTGATGGGCCATTTTGCATTGTCATGCTTTGTTCTTATAGATGCCATCCTGCAAGCTTGAATGCCCTTTTTCTCCACCAGTGACCCCTGCCTCACAGAACTAATTTCTGTTCATCTCTCAAACTCCTGGCCAGGTGTCACCTTCCCTCAGTTATTCTTCACTGGCCCCAAGTTGGGTGAGGTGCCTGCCACCCCTCTGTGTGCTAGTGGCAGTGGCACTGTTGCATTTTCCTGGGGTAGCTCTGATCACACTGTACTGTGATTATTTATCTGCCCGTCTCTCTTCTCAAGGCAAGAACTGGATCTTAGTCTTCTCTCTATCCCTAAGGATTTCACAAAAATATGCCTACTGATAGGAGATGCTTATTGAATGAATGAAAAAATGAATGGGTGAGGTTCTAGGACGGTCTGAACTCTAAAACCTGCCGAAGCTCCATGAGCACAAATAAACCGGAGTCCTACAAGACCTCTTGCCACACACAAACACACACATGAATTAATGTGTAATCTTTGCTCCATTTAAAATCTTTTCATCTTGAATCCCTCTTATAGTTTTGTTCCTCAGCATTGGCAAAATGTTGGCATAATGCTTAAAGAACATGAGTTCTGGAGTCAGACAGTCTGGGTTGGAGGCTAATCTTTACTTCTTGCTGTGACACTGGGCCAGTGACTTAACTTCTTTATGCCATTTTCTTATCTGCAAAATGAAGGTAATACTAGTGTCTGTCTCATGAGGTTGTTCCTATATTTATATTCATGGAAAAACTTACAAATGGCTCATATTTATTTTAGCAGAGAGTTTTTGACATGGACATATGTGCTCATGATTCTGATATTGTATACATATATTATAGCCTAATGAATTAATTAGGTGTTTCACAAGGGACACCATAACACTTAGAGGCTCTGTCATTTGAATAAATTTGAGCCCCATTGATGTAAAACATGCAGAAAATCTCAAGTCACTAAATATATGTTCAGTCTCTATTCTGTTTCTTGGCAGCTTTATGACCTCAAGCAAGTCCCCTAATTTTTAATCTCAAATTTTTAATCTGTAAAATGAGGCTACTTATATTTGCGTAACTTCTAGGATTTTTCAGTGCTCAAATAAAATATTACAAAATATGGAGCCATATGATATAAAAGCTTATTATTATTGCCACTAGTATTTTCTCTAATCAAAATCTAACAATTCAAGGTTTTCCCTAATCCTTTAGGGCTCTATGAAAACACATTATATTGTGTTCACAAGTATCCAATTCTCCTCTCCTGGACACAGGAAGACTGTACTGCTTTGCCTCCCTCTGTGGGGCCACCTGACTTGTAGCTAATGAAATGTAAAGCAGTGCAAAACCTAGGCATGATTCTCCAGCCCCCCATCCCCTAGCACAGCACCTAAGTCGACGTGCTCCAGACAGCACAGCTACAGGTTAGTAACCAAGCCATTCTAACTTGGTAGTAGGTAAGATGTGAGGAGCCCTTCTGAGTTACTTTATTTGCATTTCAATTAAAACCTCTGAAGATAAAATGTCATAATACAAATAAATGATTCAAGTGATTAAATGTCAGCTCCTATAACTGCAAACCCACTGGGGAATATTTTTTAAGTAGAAAATGTCTGTTACTCACTTCAATCACATTTAGTGTGTGTCTGCTTACTTTCGTGTAGAGCCAATTCTGGGTGCTTAGCCAGAATACTAAATGACCACATGAGCTAACATTAGGGTTGCCAGATTGAGGGAAAAAAATAAAGGACATCCAGTTTAATTTGAATTTCAGATAAATAATGAACATCTTTTTAAATATAAATGTGTCCTATGCAATATTTGGGACATATTTGTACTAAAAGAATTATCGGTGGTTTACCTCAAAGTCAAACTTAACATGATGCCCATGAAATATTTGAGACTTACTTATACATTGTTTTTCTGAGGTTCAAATTTAACTGAGTGCTCACTGTTTCATCTGGCAACTCCAGCTACATGGTGCCTTAGTCAATGGTGCTTTTACGGTTGTTTATACTTAATTGCTATTAAACCCGAAAGGGCAAACATAAACTAGACAATTACTCTAAGCAATATCCTGTTTGACCTTGCTGCAAGCTAAGGCAATAAAAGATTTATGAAAGGAGTATCAGTTGCCATATTTGTTAAACTTTTCTTATGCACTGTTAATATCCTCTTGGCCTCACCTCTTTTCAGGGCCCATGGACACTATTTCTACTTCAGCTATTTTGATGGAACCAACTCTGTATGCACTTCAATCAGTTTTACACATAAACAACTTGACAATGCCCTGCCTTGTGTCCATAAAACGTGCACCTCACCATTCACCCTGGAGCTTTTTTCTTGCTGCTGAAATGTGATGCTGTGAGGCCCACTCGCTCCCCAACACATGGGGCAAAATTTTCATCAGTGGGGGACAGGAGCTGGTGAATACAGTTTTTCTCTTCCTCGCCTAACACTGATTGTCCTGAGATGCAGTAGTTTATATGGCTTTTCATAAGACAGTCTTGCGGATTAAGGAATCCATTGCATTTGATACCTAGAGGTGCCTACATTTTGCCTTGGGTTCTGCTTTCTGGGAAGCTTAGGCTAAGATATCATATGACAGACATCTAATAACGAAGCCGTCTGTATGGGAAAAGAGTAAGGATTTTCAAAGGACCTGGGCTCAATCTAGTCACTGCCATTTACTGACTGAATGCCCATAGAAAAAAATATTTAACCTCTATGACTTTCAGACTCTTCATCTGTAAAATGGGGGTAAGAATGAGCACTTCATAGAATTGTTATGAAGATTCAATGGGAAAATATACATAAAAAGCACATTAGTAGAGATCACTGATAATTTTCTATGTGTTGGGCACTGGGCTGAGGGATTTATGTTTTTAGAATCAATAACCCTGTGAGGTAGGTTCCATTGTCATCTTCTGAGGCACCAAATGAGATGACTTGTTCAAGGTAACGAAACCAATACATGAGGAGCCAGAATTGGGAACCAGGCAGTCTGACTCCAAACCTATGCCCTTAACCATTACATGGTGCTCTTCATCCAGTGAACAGAACAGTGCCTGGCACAGCATCCATTCTTTCTCTCCTCCTTAGTAAGAGAACCCCTTATTTATTTGAGGTAGCAATGTGCCCAGCTAAATGACTGCAGCTCTCAGAAGTCCCTTGCAGTTAGATGTGATTACGTGACTCAATTCCGACCAATTATGTACAAGTGGAACTGTTAGGTGGTACTTCTAGGGGGTTTCCTTAAAACGGTGGGAGGTGGGCCCTTCTCTTGCTCCTCCTTTCTCTTAGCTGGAATATAGACATGAAGGCTGGAGTGCAGGTAGCTATTGTGGACCCATAAATTGATAATACTAAGGATGACAGAGCAGCAAGATGTTGTGGAGCCACCACATGGACCAGAGACAGCCTGTCTCAGATCTTCTTTTAGATAAGAGACAAATGCTTTTCCACCTGTTTCAGCCAGGGGAGTTTTGTTTTTATATTTGCACTGTGTGTATGTGTGCGTGTGTATGTGTGTGTGTTTTCTTTTCTTATTCTTGTCTACATAGCCAAATATAATCCTAACGGATGCAGAATTTGACATTTTTGGCTGCCTGCCTATCCATTTATATTATAAACCATAAAGTAGCATATATATTTTAGTTGTAATTATTACATTTAATATTGATGAAGTGAGTATCCTTATGAACCATAGTTCCTACCTAAGCATAACTTTGGTTGGAAGTTAGGAGGAAATATGAGCATACTTATTTCAAGAATCAAAATTGGTTGATATTGCTACACATATTGCAGAACAGCTGCTGTCACATAAATCTAATTCCATCTTTTCAGCCAAGGCTCATCTCTCCCCAGGCAATATGCTACTTGCTTCATGTAAATATATTCATTTTCCCCACAAGACGTGGTAAGGAAAGAATGTATTCATTTACCAAGGTGAACTCTAAAGTGTGGAACAAAACCTACATCCATAATTATTTTTGAGACCAATGGCCAGGCAGATCATACTGTTAAAGACCTGAAAATAAGCACATTAACAAAGCAGCCAATATTTATTCCTGACCATTGGCCAATTTGGCAAAGTATTAAAAATTAATTTTATGATCACCTCTAATTCTTGTGTCAAAAAAGTGTATGTATACTTCTCACAAACTTGCTATTTATAATCATCCCTATTTACAAAATCAATGAAATTATATTTCAGCCTTATAAATAATGCCTGTGTTGTCAAAAACAAAACAAAAACAGACGACTCTGGATAATGAGAATGTTTAAAAAGCAGCCACACAGAATTTATGCATATAAATGCCTACTTTAATCTATTTCATGTTTATACCTTTTTTATTTTAATATGGTTATATGCCATTTACAAATAAATGATTAATTCTTTATAATAAGAAAAATAAGCCAGGCACAGCAGCTCATGCCTGTAATCCCAGAACTTTGGGAGGCCGAGACAGGCGGATCACTTGAGGTCAGGAGTTTAAGACCAGCCTCACCAACGTGGTGAAACCTCGTCTCTACTAAAAATACAAAAATTGGCCAGGTACAGTGGCATGTGCCTGTAGTCCCAGCTACTAGGGAGGCTGAGGTAGGAGAATCACTTAAACCCAGGAGGTGGAGGTTGCAGTGAGCCGAGGCTGTGCCACCACACTCCAGTCTGGGCCACAGAATGAGACTCCATCTCAAAAAAAAAAAAAAAAGAAAGAAAAGAAAAATTAAAATCACCAAGTACTTGAACTAAATTAATTGGTACAGTGAGGCAATGAATCTAATTTGAGTTTTTTTAGTGGCTTTGACAAAAATAGAAACATATCGGGCTATATATTAAGTTATATTAGACTTCTTGCCTGATTAGAGCAAACAAATACAATTTTTCTAATTTTTAGTTTTTCTAAACTATAATTTTTCTAAATTTTTCTAAAATGAAAAATTTTCAATCTGGTTTCAAGGATGAATTTCTACAGGATCCTTAGAAAATGGAAAACAATGTCTTCAGCTGCAATTTTGTAAAATTATGAAGGTATTCTAGGTAACTTTTCCTATGTTGATCCTATATAAAGCCTGAAAGTATAAAATTATAACTCAGTATTTTATTGGTGACATTATGTGAAATTGCATAAGAAATTTATTTGTTCATGATCCAATTCTTTGGTTTCAGCAAAACAGATATATGTATGCTCAAAAGTTTAACAAATTGCCACTAAAATTCCACAGTTATGTCTCTTCTTTCTTTCCCATTCAAGAAAGCACATCTGAATGCAAATCAAGGGGACATTAGTATGTGTATAATCTTAATACTGCTTTAATTTAGAAAATAAGGTAAATCATTGACAGAATTCAACCATCTAACTAGTATTAATATCAAATTATTTGCAATATGGGCTCTCTGCCAAAATGATCCTTCTCCTTTCCTCTATATCTATGATCCCTCTCAACTCAAATATTGAATTATTTGAAGGGTCTATATTTAATTTTTAAGTAATGAACATGTACTAAATGGGATAATTTACTATTAATAAGTTTCAAAATATATTAATTTAATTTCTTAGTACAACCTTTATGTTTTCTCATAAAAGGAAATAGAAAAGTGTTATCTCCAAGAAACTCCATACCTTGATTATGTTATTTTCTTAAACTGTACCTGATCCTCTATTTACAGCAGAGTTAATAGCAGATGACAGATTTATAGAATCCTCTACTTGAATTTTCTGGGGGTTAAGTCCCAAACAGTGGCCCAACAATAGTCCCATTCCCCCAAACTCAGAAGGATTTGAGAGAATGACTCAGACATACTACAATTTACTTAGCAAAAATCACAGACCAAAAATGCTAAATCCGTGCCTCCACCATGATTTCCACCTTCCTGATATTTTCCGAGTGGTGTCAAATATGAAACAGCCTGACTTCACGTCAGACTTGGGAGGATTAAGAGGGAGTAAAGCCTTTTTCTTAAGTAGAAAAGCAAATGACAGAAATATGACTCCTTTTATTACATAGAGGATATAACATTGTACGTAAATGTGATTTTGTATTTAAACATTAAATTTCATCTGTATATAGCATGCATTATTAAATAAGGTCATTAAAAATGCAGACCTGGAATGCCTTCCAGCTTATATAATTCTGAGAGTTTCTCAAAGGGCATATAGGTATATGTTGACACTGTGACTGAGAAGCTGCTCCAACTCAACACAAGGAGAAAACTTAGGGAACCCAGAAGAATAACCAGGTATCATCCCTTGGTTTGTGGCTTTCACATATCAGATGTCTAAAGGAAAGCCTTGGAAAATATCAAAGGGCATTTTCTGACACTGAAAAGTAGAAAGACACCATTTTTGACTGAAAGGAAATCTAGCCAGGCACTTGAGAAAGTGGGAATGAGGGAAGAAGAATTATCCTTCAGAGTTGGCCAGAGAACAAGTCATTCCCCTTCAATGCTGGCATAAATTAGAGGGTGCCTACCAGTTAGGGTAAAGTTTTCCAAAAGACAACTTTTGAGTCTATCCATACACGTAGATCAGAACCTGGTTGACAATGTAGAGTTCTGTGCCAACATGGAAAACGTGGTTTCAACATGAAAAAATATTAAGAACAGGTGTTAACAATCGACTGTCTTGATTATGAAAGAACTTCACTAAGTCTTCCAGAAAATATCTAATTTTCCACAATACTATTCTTTTTTAGATTAGGAAGGATGGATTAGAAGAAAAATCTAGGCCAGGCATGGTGGCTCATGCCTGTAATTCCAGCAATTTGGGAGGCCGAGGCAGGAGGATCACGGGAACCCAGAAGTTCATGACCGGCCTGGGCAACATGGTGAAACCCCATCTCTACAAAAAATGAAAAAGTTAGCTGGGCATGGTGCCATGTGCCTGTAGTCCTAGCTACTCAGGAGGCTGAGGTAGGAGGATGGCTTAAGCCCAGGAGGAGGAGGATGCAGTGAGCTGAGATCATACCACTGCACTCCAGCTTGGATGACAGTGGAAGAAGAAGAAGAGGAAGAGGAAGAAGAAGAAGAAGAAAGAAGAAAGAAGAAGAAGGAAAAGGAGAAGAAGAGGAAGAAGAAGAAGAAGGAAAAGGAGAAGAAGAGGAAGAAGAAGAAGAAGAAGAAACCCAAAATGAACATCATAAATTAACCTAACCCCTAATATCAAGTTCAGGGCCAGATGCAAGAAAATTAAGGGTCATTGATAGAAGGAAATAACTAGTGAATGAGTAAATTATCTACTTGATGGAGTTGTTTCATGTTTCAATTTATTAAGGAAGAGTAACTATCAATTGAGAGATTTTAGTTTTGCTATGCTTTAGTCATAATGCTCTTCCTGGAAATTATTAGTCAGTAGGTTCATTTGCTTCTGTTAAAAAAAAATAAGCCAAATCCTCAATAAAAACTTGCCTTCCTTTTTGCTCTACTGGAAGGCATGGATCCTATTTTTTGCATAACGGGGACAAGTTATTTAAATATATGTTGGAAAGAAGAGATAGAGAACTTAAACACAACCCTATTTCCTACAATTTAGGGCTGGAGTTTTAATTAACACAAAACTTTGACAGTGGTGCCATAACAAACATAGAAGAAGCATTAATGGCCAGTGATCTGGAAACAGATTATATAGTTTGGTCCCTTGCTTATGGAGTAAGATAGATGAGGACATTGATATGCACTCTAAGAGGACTTTCATTTCTCTTAGCTATTTTTTTATGAAATAAAAGAGAACAGAGCAAGTATGGAATTCACACCACAACTTCTTTGTTCCTCATACAAGGTACTAGACCGAAAAACTTGACCCTATAATTTGAGAAGTCAGAGCTGTCCAATAGACTAGTGGTCTATAATTTGAGAGATAAATGGTTCCCCTTTCCCGTCAAAGGGAACAGTAAACCTCCAATTATATGAAGAACCTCAGCCTAAGGCTCCATGTTTTAGAGGAGTCCATCTTCTATATATTTCAGTAGCCAGCGGCTCAGAACCTTGGCATATATCACTGACAAGGACCTAGTCACATGGACACCTATTTCCCCTGCCTCCCTGAGTTCTTAGATTAGCCTAGAGGTTCCTCTCTACCACTTCTTGCTAATGGCCTGTTATTTAGGGAGACACTTCCACACTATGCCTGATGTTCTAGCCTCATTATTAACAACACTCCTTTTCACTCTGACAGTGGTCTCAGTTTGAACAATAAGTTATATGCTACCCTCACCTCTGATCAACCCACTATGGAAGTCGCTCTCCCAAGGGTTTTCTATGAACACTGAACAATTCCTCTATCCTGGTCATCCTAGATTTGAAAATACTTTCAGTATTATAGGCAGTCAGTTAAAGAAGAGCAGTTGTTATCGCACACATCAACTCTCTGTGTGACCAGGAGTAGGCCACTTAAATTTCCTGGGTCTCTGTTTCCTCATATAAAACAAATATTTTAAAGTAAGTGATCTTTTTAACAACAAATATCATTTTGGCTGACATAAATCCAGGTTTAGCCTTCTACTCTTTTCACCAGTTGACTCTTATGGACCAGACTTCTCTGAGACAAGAAAATCCTGGTCAGTAGGTTCTATTTAGAGCTTGGGCAAACCAGAAGGAAGGGTCAGATGTCCTCTCATAGACTACTCAAAGCATCTCTTGAAGTCTAATAAACTCAACCATCGTGAGTGGCTGAGCTCACCCCTGGAGCTGCTGTGGATTCTTTATCCCTATTTGTAGGTTTAAACAAGTCTGTTCCAGAGATACTCAGACCAGCTTGAGGGAAACAGAGCCACTAAACTGCTGTGTACAAAAAACTTGGGCCTCTCATCCCAGGTTGTCCCTAAGTATCATGTTTGAGAACAACAGTGTTCTCTTCAACTCTCTGGAAGACTTACTTCTCACTTCTGAGAAATATGGGCACATAAATAGACATACATCATGATTTTTTATTCTATAGAAGTAGGTAGGTACATCTCTTAAGCAATGCACCACATTTACAAACACTCATTTGTACTCTGCCTCTTCCAAAAAGAATTCGAGTTGGTTTTTATCTCCTCATTGATAACTACAATCTTGTTAGTTTGCTTATTAATTTGCTTTATGCTCCAATAACAGCTACTTAATTAGTAAGTGCAACTACCAGGTCAGAGGTGAAGAAGGAAGTCTGTATCTTGGCAAGCCAAAATCACACAGGAGCTGAAGTTATAAGGTATAGATATGAAGGAAGAATCAAGAGAAACAGGGGAACATGCTCTGTAGAGGAAATGGAACAGTTGATACAGACAAGAAACTGCAAGGCCTGAAATAAAATAGTCTTTCTAGTTCTCAGTGAGGTTGATGTATTCCTATTGGACTTCATTTGTGTTTTTAATCCACTGTGTCCTTTCAGTCAACCCTCTTTTCAATGAAAGTCTGAGTTGGTTCCTTGAAACCAAATAATCTATCAAAATCTATAAGATCCCTGTTAGTTAAACTTTTAGTGTCTCTCCAGTCTAGAATCTAAAAGTAAAAGCTCCAACAGCAAATAGTTGGCACACTCAACTTTGGATAACATTTACAATGGTACTGTTTATAAAGATGTGGGTGAGATACAATAGAGCCACAGGGAACAGTGCAATAACCCAAGTTAGTAACTGCAGAGACGTTACCACACCTTTGCCTGAAAGGATAAAGCGAAGTAATACAGTTGACCCTTGAACAAGATGTTTGAACTGAGTTCCATTTATATACAAATATTTCGGAGATTTGTAACAATTTGAAAAACAGACAAACCACTGAGACTAGAAATAGGGAAAAAATAAAGAAAAAGTGAGGTATGTCATGAATATAAAAAATATATGTAGATACTATAGATACTAGCCTATTTCGTCATTTACTACCATAAAATATACACAAGTCTATTATAAAAAGTTAAAATTTATCAAAACGTACACATTTACAGACCACACATGGCTCCATTCCCAGTTGAGAAATGTAAACAAACATAAAAATGCAGCATTAATCGTAACCGCTAACTGCATCAAATTAACTGTAGTACATACTGTACTACTGTCATCATTTTATAGCCATCTCCTGTTGCCGTTGTGGTGAGCTCAACTGTTGCAGGTATCCACTTAAAACGCGTGTGTTGCTAATCGTCTCCAAGTAAGCAGTTTATCTCTCTACTAGATTTCTTATTGTTGTAAAAAGTGATCTTGCGGTTCTCCTGTGTCTTTCATCCTGTTTAGTGCAATACTGTAAACCTTGAATAACACCATGGGACCCATACGAAGTGCCACTAGTGATGCTGGAAGTTCTCCCAAGAGGCAGAGAAAAGTCATGATATTACAAGAAAAAGTTTACGCCGGGCGCGGTGGCTCACGCCTGTAATCCCAGCACTTTGGGAGGCCAAGGAGGGCGGATCACGAGATCAGGAGCTCGAGACCATCTTGGCTAACACGGTGAAACCCCGTCTCTACTAAAAATACAAAAAATTAGCCGGGCGTGGTGGCGGGCGCCTGTAGTCCCAGCTACTCGGGAGGCTGAGGCAGGAAAATGGCGTGAACCCAGGAGGTGGAGTTTGCAGTGAGCCGAGATCGCGCCACTGCACTCCAGCCTGGGCGACAGAGCGAGACTCCGTCTCAAAAAAACAACAAGAAAAAAAAAAAAGTTTAATTGCTCAATATGCACCATACATCAAGGTCTGCAGCTGCAGTTCCTCACCATTCCAGACAGATGTCCATCTTGAAAACAGGCAACATAATAAACTTACATATCAATGAATACAGTTCAGTACTATAAATGTTTTTTCCCTTATGATTTTCTTAACATTTTCTTTTCTCTGGCTTACTTGCAATATGTAATCCGTACAAAATATGTGTTAATCGACTGTTTATGTTATTGGTAAGGCTTCCGGTCAACAGTGGACTATTCATGGTTAAGTTCTGGGGGAGTCAAAAGTTATACATGGATTTTTGACCGCATGGGGCTCAGCGCTTCTAACCCCTGCATTGTTCAAGGCTCAACTGTGGTTACTGGGACTCAGAAGGAAAGGGTCCTGTGCAGAGATATATATACTACCTTGACAGGCGCAGTGACTGAAGTCAAGGACCACAGCTTCACGAGGCAGCATCACAGGGAGGAAGTCAGGGGAATATAACCTGACCTCAGTCCCCTGCCTTCAGTGTCCTCCTGGGGCTCCTCATTGGCTGAGTCCCTCCAGAAGCTAGTGTGCAAGGAAACCTCTCCATGTTGTCCTGCAGCTCAGCTTCCCAGGGCAGAGAGCAGGGTAGAGAAGTCTCCCACATTTGGATTTATCTGGATACATTTCTGACTGCAACTTCCCAAGAAAGTGGTTAAATTTCCTGTGCTCACAGCCTAGGGAGAGAAGGGACTGTCTTTCAGGAAGATGAGGCGCAGGCCCTGCCTCGCCAAAGGCAGATACACCAGACGGCCATAGCATCCAGCAGGAGCAAGGAGGGGCAACATCTCTCCCGCCTGCCTCCCACCTGTGTCAGCCTGGGAGGAGAAGCTTTCCCGAAAAAGGGCGCAATGGGCAGTAATGAGATGTGGCAGCCGAGTGTGAAATCCTGCCACTGGCCAGCGGCAACTGGAAACAAGGCCGAAAATAGCTCAGGCAGAATCCCAGCTTCAGGACAGGGATGGAAACACTTTTACCAAGAGGCTTTCTTTAAAGCCATGTAGAGCACTTGTGGAAATGGTATTGTGGCGTTATTTTTATTCCAAACACCCATTCCCAAGGGAACCCTGAGCCACAATGCCCTTCTCTGTTGCTGAAGAAAAGGGACTATGCTGGCAGGGCTGAGAAAGCTGTGTGAAGAGGCATTGGCAGGTGGCACCTTAGAAGGACCCGGGTGCGGGACACATCTGCAGGTGCAAGTGAAGACAAAATGCTGGCTTGTTCTCAAAACTACTTGTGTTTCTCCTTGTGGAGAATAAAAATATCCCCTTTCAATTTTATCACCAGAACTGGATGAAGGAGATCATTATGTTTCCAGTTCTCAAATCATTTCTATGAAACCCAGTGTGGCTGCCTAATAATTGAGTTCCCCAAGGAATGAATGCATTTTTTTCACCTTCTCTACAAACCTCTCACAAGCCTGTCTCCTAAAATCATGAAAATTTTCATTAAATATTAATATTCATGTTATTTTTATTGCAAAAAAAAGTATCAGAATCCTCAAACATGCTCACCAATTCCAGAGCATAAATTCTGGATCAATATCATTCAATAGAATGGTGATGGGTTTCTTCTATATGCTAAGCACTCAGAATACCAAGATGAGTTTATTCATCTTTTTAAAAATAAATTTTCTTGTGTACATTTGAGGTTTATAACATGATGTTATGGTACACATAGACAGGAAAGTGGTTTCTGTGATAAAGCAGATTAACATATCTATCATCTCACAGAGTTGCTTTTGTGTGTGTGTGACAAGAGCAGCCAAAATACACTTATTTAACAAAAATCCCTAATACAAGCTTTTTGTTTGTTTGTTTGTTGAGAAAGAGTCTCACTCCATCGCCCAGGCTGGAGTGCAATAGTGCGATCTTAGCTCACTGCAACCTCACCTCCCGGGTTCAAATGATTCTTGTGCCTCAGCCTCTCAAGTAGGTGGGATTACAGCCCAGCTAATTTTTGTATTTTTAGTGGAGACTGGGTTTCACCATGTTGGGCAGGCTGGTCTCGATCTCCTGGCCTCAAGTATCCACCCACCTCGGCCTCCCAAAGTGCTGGGTGAGCCCCGCACCTGACCCCTAATGTAAGTTTTATTGACTATAGTCCTCATGTTATACATTAGATTTCTAGATTTGTTTATATCTGCTACTTTATATCCTTTGACCCATATCACTGCATTTCCTCTCCTCCCCTTGCCCATAGTAACCACTATTTTACTCACTGTTTCTGTATATGAGACCTCTTTTTAAAACTAATCCACATATACGTGAGATCATGCAATATTTTTCTTTCTGTGTCTGGCATATTTCACTCAGCATGTCCTCCACACCCATCCACACCCATTCTTCTTTTTTTCTTTTCTTTAAGGCTGAATAAAATGAGTTTAATATGGCCTGGCTTTCAAAGAAATGGATACATAAACAAAGAATTACAATATGATGTAATAAAATAAAACTTTATATTTTATAAACAGTAAGATCGTTGCATAAGAAAGGGAATGATCAAAATGTAAGTGGGCAAAAAGGCTTCCTGGAGTAAATGGAATACGAATTTGGCTTTATGAGATGAATAGGAGTTTGTGAGGTGGCTATGTGTGGGAAGGGCATTCCAAGCAAAGGGAACAAGACGTGCAAAGGCAAAGACACACAAATGACTACCATGTGTCCTAGGCACTAAATGTGAGTCAGCACTGCTGAAGCAAAACGTGCTCTAGGAGGCAGCTGGAGAGGAAGGCAGGGCAGCAGTCAGTGGAGCACGATGCATGGAGGTGTGTTCCAAGTAACCTAACAGCAGGAGCAGACTGAAGATGATTTCTTTTCTGTTTTTATTTTGTTTAAATTAAATTAGAGTATCTATCCCTGTAAAAGTTTCATCAGTTCCATTCTCATATGAATTCTTGAGTGGGAGGGACAGAGGCATTGACTTCATCATGCTATGAGTTGAGCATCACCTGTGTCCCCCGAGGGAAGTGTGTCATACAAGTGAACAGTCTTTCATGGCATCATGGCAAGGAAAGGGAGTGCTGCCTACGGGTTGCAGAGAGACAAGGGGTTTAAAGCGGGAGTATATGTTGGTCAGATTCACGTTTAGCAAGATCCCCCTGATAGCACTGTGATGAACTGTTTGTATTGGATGGTGGGAGGCATAATGGGTTAGTATTTTAGGGCTTCTAAACAAATTGCCACAAACTAAGAGGCTTAAAACAACAGAAAAATTATTTTCTCATCATTATAGAGACCAGAAGTCTGAAATCAAGGTATCATCACACTCCTCCTGGAGGCTACAGGGGAGAATCCTTCCTTGCCTTTTCAAGCCTCTGGTGGCTATTGCCAGTCCTTGGCTTCCTTGGCTCGTGGCCACATCCATTCATTCTCTGACTCCATCTTCATATTGCCTTCTCCTCTGTGTGTTTGTTGTGTCCTCTTCTGTCTCTTAGAGGGACACTTGGGACTGGAGTTAAGGCCCACTGGGGAATCCAGGAAGATCTCATCTCAAGATCCTTAATTACATCTGCAGAGACTTTTTCCAAGTAAGGTAGCATTCACAGTTTCCAGGGATTTGGACATGGATATATCTGTGTGGGGACCACCATTCAACCCATCACACAGAAGAATCTTATTTCTGAACCTATGATCAGCAAACCAACTGCATTAGGATCTCATGGAGTGCTGCACTTTATGAGTTGCACACTACTAGACCGGAGATGCGGACTCAGGAGGTGTCAGCCAGCCACCATGAGGACAACCTTGTGATGAGCGTGGGAACTAGAATTAGAATGATCAGGAGTCACTAGTGACTTGAAAGTAGAGATGAGGAGGATGAGGTTGAACATAATGACTTCTGGGTGTCATCACGGGACAACTTACTGAGATGAGAATGCAGGGAGAAAGCATAGTATCCTAGGAATCTCAACAGTTGGAAAGACTAGTGAGATCATCCTGTCTAGCCCTTACACATGATTCAGGATTTCCCTTTTTGGTATCCTTTACAAATGATCATGCAACTTTGATTTAAGCAACTGACTTTACTGAAACCAAAGTTGCATGATCATTTGTAAAGGATTTGTCTGACTGTCTTGTCTGTTTCCTTCACCAGCTTATAAACTGAATGAGAAAAGAGGCCACGTTTCTTGGGTTCACAGTTATTTCCCCAGAACCTGATAGAGTACCTGTAAGCATGAAGGTTCTCAATATGTATTTTTTGGGGGGACTTTTGGTGGTGGTGGCTGTTGTTAAAACTACTTTATTGAGATATGATTGTCATACAAAAAGCTGTACATATTTAATGTATACAGTTTGATGAGTTTGGAGATGTGTTCACCCATGTAAATATGTGTTTTTGAATGAATGGGTGAATGAATGAGCAACTTTGGTGACAGGAAGATGTAGAAACTAGGTAAGAATTAGAATGGTTAACAAGAGTTATTCCAGTGGTTACTCTTCCATTTGGGGCAGCTCTAATTTCATGTTCCTCTTTATACAGTTGCTTATTTTGTTCCCTAGGTCACTCAGAGTGAGTCTAGCCCTTCCTCTATGTGAAAATTTATTTCAAATACAAAGAGAACTGTTGTGCTCCCTAAGTCTCCTCCTCTCTGGCTAAGTATCTTCATTTACTTTAACCACATGGCCTGTTTTAGTCCTGTTTTAGAAATGCATCACAATTCTAGTTGTTCTCCTTTCATTCACTCAACAAATATTTATGAGCATCCACTGAGTGCTCTGTACCAGGGCTCTGTATGCAGTAGGGGGAAAAAAGAGACATGCACTTGCCTTCCACCTCATCAGTGTTCCTCTGAAGTTATTAAACATAGCAATCCCCAGAACTAAGAAAAGCAGATGCCCCTTCCTTTGTACTGGGTATGTTCTCTTTTACTACTACAGTATATCTAAATAAGAGATACTGGTTCTTCCACTTGCTTTTTTGCAGTACTAGATGTGGTATTTCTTGTTGTTTGTACAGCCATGGACCATGAATTAAGTGTGACTTTTCTTTTGGGTACAAGAGCATATATACATAGAAGGATATAGATGGTATGCACAACACAACCATCTACATTCATCCATCCCTTACAAATAGAATACGTGTTTGCACTCTTTGATAAAGGTAATGCAATGCTCAGAAAAGCGCCCCAGCATCTAGAGGAGCAGGGTGTTTTTCAGGCATCTGTGAGAAACAGATGCTCTGTCAAGCCAGGGACAGGGGCTCAGGTTACATCCTGTGTTCAGTGAAGCACATCAGAATCATTTGCCTAGTACAGCCTCAAGTAATTGTTTTATTTCTTATTCTTCTATTATTTTATGCATTTTTTCTACTTTTAATAATGAAATAAACCCATAATAAAACAAAAATAATTCAACAAAACTGATGGGATTTTTTTTTTTCATTGCAAATGTCTGTTTAACTAATTTGTTCACTAATGGAGGCTCCCAAGCTTCAGAAAAGATATTCTCCTTTAAGGGAACACAGATGTTTGACTTAAAATTCCATATTTGTGACATTTCAATATTGGTATCCTCATTTTTTTTTTACTAATGAAATTGTAAGAAAACAAAATCTGCTTGTCCTACAGCAATTTGGCTGTGATTCAAAAACTTTTTATTAAAATGAAGTAATATGTTCTGCAAATCTAATTGCAGAGGAATTAGACACACTAAACCAAATAGTCATCTGTGATACAAAATGAAATAAACTAGAGAAAAACCATTTCAGGAAATAGACAGTAGAAAGAGGTTCTAAGGAATGGCTGTCTGCTTCTATTGTGATCATTTCTGTGTTCAGTTTTGATGTTTTTTAATGAAATATTTTAACCTTAGACCTCATTTTCTTTATTTTCCTTTTTGCCCTGTCTTATGGTATGATCAGACCTCATTTTTAAATGACACATTTATTTCACTAACATTGTACTTATGTAGTTGAAGTGAATGGATTAGGATCATTGACCAACTTAATTGTATATAAATGCAAATGACAATATATCTGTTGGAGTTATAATAATGGTTAGAAAATAGGGAAGAATGACAAGAGAAGTTTAGTGGAAGGTGGGTATGGACATAACGAGAGTGCATGGGTAAAACTAGCCAAAATTGTTTGGCTGCTTTAATTTGCCTCAGTCTTCAACTTTAAATAAGAAGATTTAATCAATTAGATTACTTGCAGTATAACTATTTCAATTCTCCAAACACCATTAGGTTATCTGTTCTTCGGGCCAAATTCAATGCCACGTACAAGGTAAATGCTGAATATTTGCAGAATGAATGAATGAACTAATGGACAAATAAATGCCACACTTCTTCCTTTTTTTTTGTCTTGATAGGAGTGTAGGTCAGTAAAGACCTCAAAGTTCTGATGCCTGTAATCGAGATACAAACATTTGACTCAACTAATAGAGAACTATCTTTTGCATTAGAGTTATAAACAGAACACTAGATGAATTTTCATATTATTCTTCTCTAGTAAAGACATTAGGTCACAATTAGCATTTACTTGAAATGTTTGTATATTTAAATTTCTCTATATATTTATATTATTAAATTGTTGTGACTAGAATGTAGTTTTATTTATAAATGGTTTCCAAACTATACTCTAGCCATGATCAGTTGGATAATTCAGTGTTTTTATAACTGATACCAATCATTGCAAGTTATTTGAAATCCTGATGATCCTCACGGATAGCTCTAGTCACGTCCCACACATACTTCTAGCCCAAGATGAACAGGTTGCAACAAAGATGTGTTTGTGCACGCATGTATGTGTATATGTGTGTGCATGTGTGTGTGTGTGTGTGTGTGTGTGTGTGAAAGCATTGTGGATATTTTGTGTTTGCTTATTTTGTAAACACAATATTAATCTTTGCTTGTCAGTCCTTGAGGATTTTTGCACTTTCACTGTTTATATAAGCAACCAAATGAAAATAAAAAGTCAACTTGACCCTATAGAATAGGCTGTGGTGTATTCTGAAATAACATTCTTCTTCAAACTTTCTCATTAATTGCCAGCCTGCTCAGCGACTGCCAGAATATGATTAACCTTCTTAGATCAGTTCCCACTGTTGTGCAATGCATTCTAAAATATAGCAGCAAATGAATATATGATGTCACAGAGACAAAAATTCTGCAGGTAAAAACTAGCATAAAGCAGATAAGCATTCTCTGGCTGGGATACAGAGTTTTCAAACCTCTTAAACCTTAAAACCTTACTCTGAAAACACTACATACCAGATGTAAACTGCCCAAACTTGTTTTTGAACGGATTCATTTTATGTCCATAGAATTTAATGCACAGATTCATGTTCATGCAGTTCAATTCATAGATTTTTAAACTGTTTCAGTACTTAGCCCATTGATTGATCTAAGAGCCTAGATATTAAAATGAAGTCTGTTGTTCTTTTTATTCATTAAAGACAAGAAAAGACTATTTCTGTCAATGGTTATTGGATTATCCTACTTGACTATAAACAGATCCCTCCCCTACCATGCATGTGCACAAAAATTACCAGAGCCTTTCCTAAATTGATTGTGAGGTCAATTGCTTTGATGTCACTGAGGCTCCCATATTGTCCGAGGTTGCAGGGAAAAGAGGTTGGGGGAATAATCTCATTTCTAGGGGAAGAAGCATAGGAATAAGAATCAAAAGATTCACATTCTAATCTTGGCCCAGCCTCCAAACAGCAGTGTGACGTGGTCCAAGAAGTGGCGCTGCCCTAAACACTCATTACATCTTCACAGCATGAACAGGTACATTTAGATAGGTGCTGCAGTATCCCCTTTTACAGGTGAAAAGATTTAGATACTTTCCCTGTGTCAGGCCGTAGGTTAGGATCAGAGCCAGGATTCTGCCTGGAACAGGTTGGCTCCTGTACTGCTATTTTAGAGATATTGTGATAATGCATGTGAAAGAACTTTGAAAAATATAAAGAATGATTATTCTTACACAGTAGGGTCACTCAATAGATGTATTTACGTACTGAAAATTGGAATGAGGGTGGAAGAAATAGTGAAATAACTGACGGTGTTGGCTGTCGATGATCGTAGGGGTAGTCACCACCTGATTTTGAGGAGTGGCACATGCTAGCTAAGTAGGCCAGAGAAGCTAAACACAGTCTTACCATATGATTCAGCATTTGAACTTTTAGGTGTTTACCCAACTGATTTGAGATTTATATCCACATAAAAACCTGCAAACAAATATTTATAGCGGCTGTATTCATAATGACCAAAAACTGGGGGCAAATAAGATGTCCTTCAATAGGTGAATGGATAAATAAACTGTGGTACAGTCAGTTGCTGGAATATTATTTGATGATAAAAATAAATGAGCTGTTGAATCACAAAAAGACATGAATGAATCTTAAATGCGTAGTTCCAAGTGAAACAATCCGATCTGAAAGGCTACATATTGTATGTTTACAATTACATGACATTCTGGAAAAGGCAAAACTATGGAGACATTAAAAAAATGCATTGATTTCCAGGGGCTCAGGGAGAGGGGAGGAAGGATTAAATAGGTTAAGCAGGAGGAATTTCTTAGAGTGGTAAAACTGTTCGCATAATACTGTAATTATGGATACATGACAATGCATATATCAAAATCCATGGAACTTTATAGAACAAAGAGTAAACATTAGTGTATGCACATTTTAAAGATCATTTAGAAGGTCAAGGGTCCTAGAATGGACTGCAGTGACAAAACAATCTAACTGTACTAAAAATCTATAAAGCAACTTCACTGAAGGAAGTGGGAGGAAAAGATGCTGAGCTAAGTGATTTTGGAAATGAGAGGAGTCTGTAAGACTAAAGGCAAAAGAAAATGTACATAAAACTGTACTTAATAAAGTTGTTTCCCATAAGGTTTCAAGTTAACAATTCTAATACTGCTCTACATTTATACCAGAATTAGCAATTAAGTAAATGCATGGTGGATGGTGGGAGCCAGATTTCTCATGGGGTTCACAGATAAACAATGGGAATAGGCTAGACTGGTCCATGTGGTAATGAATTAGAGTTGGGGCTATCAGTATGAATTCACTCATGTTTAGCTTAACATAGATACCTATGGTTACATATAGAAATATTTATAGATATTTGTACATATATACAGAGCTTAGTATACATATTTCCTTGTTGCGTCAGCTAAGAGAGCCTAGAAAGCAATGACACCCCAGTAGCAAGGAGAACTTCTAGTGCCCAGATTTTGGTTTTAATACTGTTCTCCAGTAAAAGAAACTAGAGCTCCTTGGAGAAATTGCTGATTGTAAGATTGGGTTAGCATATATACAAGTTGGCCCTGGAGCATCTTGTAGTGCCAGAAAGTAAGTATCTAACACACACAGACACACACACACACACACACACACACACACACACACACACAAAATTATAAGAGGATCTCAAAGGGATACAGGAGCCAACTTCAACAGGAGCTCCTCATGGCCAAACCTGAAACAATGTGAACCACAAAATAATGCAGTATTAGACTATAAGCAAAAGTATAAAATAACTATGAGTTCATACTATTATAAGTGAATAATCGAATAAATAAATCGTGAAAAAATGACACATCTCCCATGCAGAAGAATTCCAAATAATGTCTTTAGATATTCTACACTCAAAGAGGTAGAACATAACCCCCTACTCCTTTGATGTGGGCTATATGTAGTGACTTCCTTCCAAAAGGTGCAGCATAGACATGGTTTAACTTTACAGCGAAGAACATGACAATAAGCCAAGCAATCAAGATCAATATCAACAGTAAGAAGTCATGTGGATGAAATGTACTCTTGATACAATGCAACAAAAAGCCTCTTTATCTTTGTGAATTTCTACCCAAAAACCCATAATCCAGTCTAATCGTGCAAAAAAAAAATCAGATAAATACCAATTAAGGAGCAGTCTACAAAATATTTGATGAGTATTCCTCAAAAACAGGGTAAATCTGAAAAATCATCACAGCCAAGAGGAGCCTGAGGAGACAGAACAACTAATGTAATATGGTATCCTGGATGAGATTCTGAAATAGAAGAAGGACATGAGGGGCCAGGCGCAGTGGCTCATGCCACTTGGGAGGCCAAGGCAGGTGGATCACCTGAGGTCAGAAATTCAAGACCAGCCTGGCCAACATGGTGAAACCCCGTCTCTACTAAAAATAAAAAAATTGGCTGGGCATGGTGGCTGGCACCTGTAATCCCAGCTACTCGCGAGGCTGAGGCAGGAGAATTGCTTGAATCTGGGAGGCAGAGGTTGCAGGGAGCCGAGATCACACCATTGTACCCCAGCCTGGGTGACAAGAGCAAAACTCTGTCTCAAAAAAAAAAAAAAAAAGGACATTAGATAAATACCAAAGAAATAGAAGGACATTAAATAAAAGCAAAACTGTCTCAAAAAAAAAAAGGACGTTAGATAAATACCAAGGAAATAGAAGGACATTAAATAAAAAGGACATTAGATAAATACCAAGGAAATAGAAGGACATTAGATAAATACCAAGGAAATCTGAATAAAGTATAGACTTGTTAATAATATACAGGTGTTGACTCACTAATGATAACAAATGTGCTATACAAATATAAGTTGTTAATAATAGGAGAAACTGGATATGGAGTACATAGGAACTCTCTTTACTATCTTTATAATGTTTTGTAAGTCCAAACTGCTCTAAAAAATAAAGTATATATATCCTTTTTAGTATATGTAAATATACTACAGAGAAGATTTTGGTTTTACCTAGATTACATCACTGAAAGATATTGATTTTCACCAACTCCATTAATTATTTTTTGATGTGGAGATAAAAGATATAATCAGACACAATCCTGTAAAAATCAATTCACCTCCTTGGATATCATGATGATTTTAGTCACATATGCTCCTTTTGGATGGACATACCTATAAGGAAAGAAATTTTTTTAAATGCAGAAGTATATTAAATTTATTTGTTAAATAAACAACGAACATCTCCAGATAGCAGCAAACGGCAAGGAATTACATCCAGCTATAATTTAACCAGCCCGCCTTAGGATTGCCGCTATTAGAGTTCAGTGGTGGTATAAACCATCTCTAGTGTATGCTTTTTCTATAGATGGTTTATTAGATGATTTACAATGAAATCGAACACATGACTGTTCTTTAACCCCTCCAGGAACCTGATGAAATGCCTGGTCTAACAGGAGGATGCAGAGAAAGTTATGAAGAGAGGTAGGTGAGCTTCTGTGTTATTTATTCTTGGTCCTGCAATATGGTCAGTGAAGCATCCTGAGCGCTCACCGTTTCCCAGTGCTATAAAGCAAATTGGATGGATGAGTGTGATTTAGAGGAGAAGGAAACTGCAGTTATCACTGCTTTACCTTGACCTCTGCCTGGAGACAAGGCTGAGAGGGTGACTACAAAATTAGAGCAACAACTAACATATGCTGGATACATATCCTGGGCCAGGATGATGCCAGGTATTTTACAGTCGGTCACTCCTCACAACAACCCTATGAGCAGCAGTCTCTTCCTTAAGATTTTGAGCGGGCCCAGTAATCACTACCCCTCTTCATCCCCTTAATTCTCAAAAAATTAAGATATAAGACAAAGGAGTAACAGATGAAGATGTTATAATATCACCTCTATTACTGATAAAGTCTCCCTTACAGTGCTAGTGGGAGCATAAATCGATATAGCCATTTTGGAAAACTAAACCTGAATATATGCATTCTCTATGCCCCAGCAATTCCACTCACAGAAATATACCCAGTAAAGTGTGTACGTATGCTCACCAAACGACATGTACTAGAATGCTCATAGTAGCACTATTTGTAAAACTGGAAAATACCCATTTGCCTGGCAACAGTAGAAGGGATCAATAAATCTTGGTATACTCACACAATAGATTATTATATAGCAATAAGAATGATCAAACCGTAATTACAGGCAACAATATAGATGAATATTGCAAATGTAACATACTGGCAAAAAAAACAGATGCAGAAGAGCATGAACTGTATGATTTCATTTATGCAAAGTACAAAAGTGGGAAAATGAATTGGGTTTTAGAAGTCAGTTCAAGATAGTTGTTGCCCTTGGGTGGGGACAGTGATTGAGAGGGAGGAGGCAGGAGACTTCTTGGGGACTAGCACTATTATTTTTCTTGAAATGAGTACTAGTTACTTGGGTGTGTTTGGTTGTGAAAATTATAGAGCGATACACAAGCAGTAAGCATCTTTACCATATATATAGTTCTTCAATTAAAAAAATTTTTAAATCCTCTCTTGATCCCGTCTTCCCATCCAACTACCACTATCTCTCCTCTTCCCTGTAAAGCAAATGTTTTTGAATGGAGTGTCTTTGCTCGCTGTGTCCAATGTCTGCATTCTCTCTTGAACCCAGTCCAGCAAACCTTTTGCCCTAGATTCTAAAAAGCTGCTCTTATAAAGATCAATGATGACTTGCATATGGCTAAACCCAATGCTCAGCTTGCCTCATTGTACTTACCAGCAGCATTCCATACAGAATATCACTCTCTGCATATTCTTTTGGTTTCTGTACACAGTATCCATCACTAGGTGAACTCATGGAGCCTCATGGCTTTAAATGCCCTGTCTGTACTGATGACTGTCTCATTTATATTTTCAGCCCAAATCTCTCCTTGGCACATCAGACTTGTGCATTCAATTGCCCACTCAACATCTCAAACATAATATATTCCAAACAGATGTCCTGATATCCTCCAAACCTGCCCTTCCCACATTCTCCTCCTTCTTATTAAGCTTCTCAGATCTACTCCATCCTTCCAGTTGTGTAGCCCCCAAACTTTGGAATAACCCTAAACTTCTCTTTTTTTTTCTCATACAATGCATCTAATCCATTAACCAGACCTGTTGATTCTACCTTCAAAATATATCCAGAATTTACCCACTTCTTGCTGCTTAGACTGCCACCATCCTGGTCCAATCCACCTTCCTCTCTTGCCTGAATTATCTCAATAGCCTTCTAGATGCTTCTTCCCTGCCCCTCACTGCCCTGCCCCTTGCCTCTGCCCTTGCTGCCCCACAACCTATTTCCTACAAAGAGCGATCCCAGTAAACAATAATCCAAATTATGTCATTTGTCTGCTCCAGACCCTCCTGTTTTCCATCTCACTTAGATGAAAAGGCAATTCCAGGCTGTGAACTTCAAGACTCTGTATGATCTGACCTCACACTGGCTTTCAAACCTCATCTTGCACACTGCTTCCCCAGTGTGCTCTGCGTTAGCCGCATGGGGATTTTTATGGGTCCCTGGACACTCCGGGCATTTCCCTGGCTCAGGGCGTTTGCATTGGCTGTTTCTGCTTACTGGAGTTCTCTTTCCCTGCTATATACATGGTTTTCTCTCTCATTTCCTTCAGGTCTTTCTTTACTCAAATGACATCTTTTTTAAAAGAGGATTTCTATCTAAAATTTTATACACATATCTCTGTATCCCCCTTCTCAGCATTTTTTTTTCTCCTTGGCACTTATCACTCTCATGTGTGTGTTTGTTCATGTATTTATTGACTGAGTGATTTTTTTCTCTCCCAATAAGCTGCAAACTCTGTGAAGACAGGGATATTTTTCCCATTTTTGCCCCATCATGCTGCAAGCCCAAGGTACAATTAGAACACATCCAATTCACTGTCCATCTACCTGTGGCACTTCAACCATGACCACAAACCAAATCACTCTTCCTGTATCACATTCCCTGAGAGACTTTGTTTTCTCCCACAGGAAAGATTTGTTTATTTTTCTGATTCAATCAAATGTACCACTAGTTTCTGCAGGATTATTTGTACCTCTTTCAGGATCCTGAGGAATTTGCTCCTGGGCCATGAAGATGGGAAGCTGAGTCAGAGTGCAGTTCTTCACCCAATCCCACAGCCACACGTGCCTGCTTGCTCACGGGATCTTCCCACTCTCCTCGGGAAGGCTTCCGAGCTGCTTCCTCAGGATGTCCTGTGATAGCAGCCTGACCTGTCAAAGCCATGCGAATACCATCTGTTCAGTTATATAACTTGAGATCTGGGAAGAATTCTCAACGTAGGATTTGCTGCCCAAATCAAATCATTTTCAGAAAGGAGATTAAGCATTCTTTGCTGGGAAAAGGAGAAATTACCAGAAAAAATTATCATTTCACTGAGTATAAACAAACCTTTGTCCAAAATACACAAATGAAAATGACAAATTTGCTTCATTAATATTTGCTTGCATTAAAAATATACACAGGGCTATGTATGGTTCAATATCTTAAGTGCAAAGTAAAATCTTAATTAGGAACAATGGAATTGTTAATTTAATGAATCTTAATTTTGTTTAGATCATTAGCCTGCAGTATAATGTCCCAAGCAGAATTTGGGGTGGGGAGCTTGGTGGTGGAAGAGGAAGTGCTCATTTCTACAGACATGACAAGATTATTAACACTAAAGAATGACTTTTCTTTCATGGGAGGGGAAGATATCTGACCCACCAGCAGTCAGACAGAAACCCTGACTTGTGATTTTAACATTACCTTATATGACCCATGGTCACCTTGTATGACCAAAGAAAACCATTTATGAAATAGCTGTCCGGAGTTCAAGATTTAAATGGTAACTTTGTAGACTAGGTTTTCTCTCATCATCTAATTTACTTGCCTTAACGCTTGTTTCTTTGCCCTTATTCCTACTGGCTCTCGAGTATAATATCCTGAGAATTTATGTTGAACAGCACTAATTTTTTCACTTGGAGCTAGCACATGTTTATGACTAGTACAAGTTTATAACTACAAAAAACAGAGATTTTGTCATCTTAAACTGAATTTACTGGGAATAAAATCAGTCAATTCAGAAAAGTATAACAAAGGAAATAAAAATCACCACAACTCCTACTACCTGAAGATTAAATGGTTAAAGTGTTTTGTATATTCTTCTGTAATTTTTACACCTACATGTTTTTTAAATAAAAATTAACCCTACCTATAAACCAAACAATATTATTTAACTAACAGGAGAAGAATAAATTATATTTTTTGATTGGCTGTATAGCAAAGAGAATCCTGCCATTCAGAAAAAAACAGGGTAAGACAAGGAAGGAAGCCAAATAGATGGACTGCAATGGAAGTTCACCCAGAATGAATAAATGAATGAATGAATGAATGAATGAATGGAGGAGCTATTTTACTGACTGTGGTCAGTCAGGGAACACCTATCAGAAAAAGCAGCATTTGGCCGGGGGCAGTGGCTCATGCCTGTAATCCCAGCACTTTGGGAGGCTGAGGCAGGCGGATCACCTGAGGTCAGGAGTTCGAGACCAGCCTGACCAACATGGTGAAACCCCGTCTCTACTAAAAATACAAAAATTAGCCGGGTATGGTGGCAGGCACCTGTAATCCAGCTACACCAGAGGCTGAGGCAGGAGAATCGCTTGAACCCAGGAGGCAGAGGTTGCAGTAAGCTGAGATTGCACCACTGCACTCGAGCCTGGTCAACAGAGCCAGACCCCGTCTCAAAAAACAAAAAAAAAAAGAAAGAAAGAAAGTAAGAAAAGAAAAGTAGAAACAGCCTTTGAGTAGAGACCAGTGAGCGATGGAACTCTGTAAGGATCTGGGGGAAAACTTATCTATCTGGTAGGAGGAAACCACAAGTGTGAAGGTAATGAGACAGGAGTGGAGTCAGTGAATTGGCGGAACAGAACAGCACAGAGGACCCTGGAGCTAGCCCGGGATGAGGCAGCGGAGAACAGCAGGAGACGACATGGAGGGAGACAGGTTTTTCCTTTTCCAGTTTTCTTCAGTTCTTTTGATTGACTCAGGAGAAGAGTCTTAGTTTGATATTAGCACATACTTAACACTTCTGGTGTTCACTACTCTATTTTTCAACAAAAAGACAGCAGACTTTGGGATCACAGCCTTCTGAGAGGATGGTATTTAACTAAAATATAATAACGTTGGTTTTTATTTTTTTTATTTTCACAATTACTATCTTTTCTTTTTTGATATAGGGTCTCACTCTGTTGCCCAGGCTGAGTGCAGTGACACCATCACAGCTCACTGCAGCCTCTAACTCCTGGACTCAGGAGGTGGGATCCTCCCCCCGCAGCCCCTCAAGTAGCTGGGACTGTAGGCATGCAGCACCACCTCCAGCTAATTTTTTACTTTTTGTAGAGATGGGGTCTTGCTATGTTGCCCAGGCTGGTCTCATACTTCCGGGCTCAAGCAATCCTCCCACCTTGGCTTCCCAAAGTGCTGGTATTACAGACATGAGCCACCGCACCCAGCACACAATTCCTCTCTGTTTATAGCAAGTTATGCTGGTTTCCTGTTTACAGGAGTGATAAAGTCTTTTTTAAAACAAATGTATTTAAGTTTCAAATTAAATCATCTTAAAGAAAAATATGACATAAGAAATGTCAAAAAGTGGTACATGATCAGAAGTGGCAAAAATCATAAAAGTAATTGGCAAGTGACTTAAGTTTGGGAAACACAGTTCTAATCCATCCCACCTATACCTGAACACCCTAAAGATGAATCCAAACCTATTAGAGACTTATTCCTGCTTTCTAAGATGATCACAACCTAGTTAATCTAGCTATAAATTAATCTGGATCACTAGTCAGTGATACTCCCACCTTCAAGTAAAATGGCTGCTTTTTGAGAGCTTTAATTCAGATTCTGTTCAGAAGAAATAACAGGTATCATTGTTAGTACAAGGACTGGTCATAGAGCTATATCCTGCCTGTTAACCACATAGATTCTGGCAGTGATTTCCCATTGATATCATCTAGGTAGTTTTACTGGTTTTTCCCCTAGTTGTTTCTCTTTTTTTGTTTGTTTGTTTGTTTTGACAGAGTATCGCTCTGTCGCCCAGGCTGGAGTGCAATGGTGCGACTTCAGTTCACTGCAACCTCCGCCTCCTGGGTTCAAGCTATTCTCCTGCCTCAGCCTCCCGAGTAGCTGGGATTACAGGTGGCCACCACCACACCTGGCTAATTTTTTGTATGTTTTGCAGAGGCAAGGTTTCACTACATTGACCAGGCTGGTCTTGAACTTCTGACCTCAGGTAATCCACCCACCTCAGCCTCCCAAAGTGCTGGGATTACAGGCCTGAGCCACCACGCCCAGCTCTCAGTTGTTTCTTAATTTGCCTGCCAGTTTGTTTTTTATATGATACTAATTGAAATGGAGGTCCTTCTTAAATGAACTTCTTTCACAAACAAAAACATTAGTTTTGGCAGTGATGGCTTACAAGAGTGTGTTCTATAATACCTACTTTGCAGATGCAATTTGAATTCTTCAATATGAGTTATTTGGATTTCTTTTTTCTGAAATTCTTTCTAATGAGATTTTTGTGGATTTTTTTTTTTGAGACAGTGTCTCACTATTGCCTATGCTGGAGTGCAGTGGCACGATCATGGCTCACTGCAGCCTCAAATTCCTGGGCTCAAGCGATCCTCCTGCCTCAGCCTCCCGCCTCAGCCTCCTCCCTCAGTCTTCTGAGTAGCTGGGCCTACAGGTAAATGCCACCACCCAACTAATCTTTTATTTTTTGTAGAGACAAAGTCTCACTATGTTACCCAGGCTGGTCTCAAACTCCTGAACTCAAGCAATCCTCCCATCTTGGCCTCCCAAAGTTCTAATGAGATTTAAGCAAGGAGATGGATGGAAGTTGCTTTGTACTGTTGATGTTCTCAGAAAAAAGAAAATCGAATCTGAACACAGCTATTGCAAGTACAGGTGCAGACTGATTACTAGCAAGTTAGATGGCCCAACACCATATCCATCTAAATGTAAATATTTTGCTTCTTTTTCAGTGGCTTCTAGAAGAGTGAGTCTGGAAAATACTGCCCCTACTTTCAAATGGGAGAAAGCCTCCCTTGTACTAAGTTTGCAATCATTAGAAAACTGTTGATATACAGCAAAAGAAACTACCATCAGAGTGAACAGGCAACCTACAGAATGGGAGAAAATTTTTGCAATCTACTCATCTGACAAAGGGCTAATAGCCAGAATCTACAAAGAACTCAAACAAATTTACAAGAAAAAACAAACAACCCCATCAAAAAGTGGGCAAAGGATATGAACAGACACTTCTCAAAAGAAGACATTTATGCAGCCAACAGACACATGAAAAAATGCTCATCATCACTGGCCATCAGAGAAATGCAAATCAAAATCACAATGAGATACCATCTCACACCAGTTAGAAAGGCAGTCATTAAAAAGTCAGGAAACAACAGGTGCTGGAGAGGATGTGGAGAAATAGGAACACTTTTACACTATTAGTGGGACTGTAAACTGGTTCAACCATTGTGGAAGACAGTGTGGCGATTCCTCAAGGATCCAGAACTAGAAATACCATTTGACCCAGCCATCCCATTACTGGGTATATACCCAAAGGATTATAAATCATGCTGCTATAAAGACACATGCACACGTATGTTTATTGTGGCACTATTCACAATAGCAAAGACTTGGAACCAACCCAAATGTCCATCAGTGATAGACTAGATTAAGAAAATGTGGCACATATACACCATGGAATACTATGCAGCCATAAAAAAGGATGAGTTCATGTCCTTTGTAGGGACATGGATGAAGCTGGAAACCATCATTCTCAGCAAACTATCGCAAGGACAAAAAACCAAATACTGCATGTTCTCACTCATAGGTGGGAATTGAACAATGAGAACACTTGGACACAGGAAGGGGAACATCACACACTGGGGCCTGTTGTGGGGTGGGGGGAGGGGAGAGGGATAGCATTAGGAGATATACCTAATGTAAATGACGAGTTACTGGGTGCAGCACACCAACATGGCACATGTATACATGTGTAACAAACCTGCATGTTGTGTACATGTACCCTAGAACTTAAAGTATAATAAAAAATAAAAATAATAAAATGGAACCACGCAAAAAAAAGAAAACTGTTGATATAATCTTAACAATCAGAAGAGAAGTTGGTTACTCATTTAAATTACTGGTAAGATTTTTGTAAGCCCTGTGACAAAACACATAAAGTGATGAAAAATTCTTCCCCCGCAGAAAGAATAGAAAAAGCCCTGGAGGATCCAGGTCTAGTCTTAACTCTGTCAACTACTCCAGTACCTATTAACCTTGAAGAGCTCACTTAGTTTCTCTAGGCTCAGTTTTTTCAACTCTAAAATGAGAAGAATACATTAGATTCCCTTTAGGATAAAAATGCAGTGTTTTGGCCTGGCACAGTGGCTCACGAACCTGTAATCCCAGCACTTTGTGAGGCTGAGGCAGGTGAATCTCTTGAGGCCAGATGTTCGAGACTAGCCTGGCCAACATGGCAAAACCCCATCTCCACTAAAAATACAAAAATTAGCTGGGCATGGTGGCGCACGCCTATAATCCCATCTACTTGGGAAGCTGAGGCAGGAGAATCACTTGAACCTGGAAGGTAGAGGTTGCAGTAAGCCGAGATCACACCACTGCACTTTAGCTTGGGGACAGAGCAAGACTCTGTCTCAAAAACAAAACCAAACCAAAATGCAGTGTTTTGACAAAATAGCATCAACAACAAATATTACCAAAGTTAATAAATTGGCCCTACATAAATAGGATATCTGCATTAAAAATGTAAAATATTTTCTGAATGACCAAGCAATTAAATTATAGAAAACTGCAAGCACAAACAAATACACTTGTTAGAAAAAGCATAATTATAGGAAAGTGCTAAATTACATTTGGAGGTTGAAAAGCCATGAAATGATTCAGGCAGACACAAATAAAATATATGAAATAAGAAGCACACAACAGTTGAGATGTAGTCATAGGCCTGCCCAACTTGTTGGACCAAACAAAAAAGGAAAAAAATTGCTATATAATAAATGACTTGTCTTTTCCATTCCTGAAATATGCACAACTGTCTGGATCATTGTGATATGAATATAATGTCAGGTTATCGCAAATGGGATCAATGCATAGTTGTTAGAAGGGAATTGTGAAATCTCCAGCTCTGAGCTCTTCTTCTGGAAGGGTGGAGAAAGAACAACAGCCAGTTTATGAAACCATTAGAAAGTATTTATAGGACCATGCTTATATCATTTCGTAATAACTTACATGTTATTGTCTGCTTGTATATTGTGTGATCTAAGAACAATTTCCAAATTAAAATATTGTAATTGTTCCCATTAAGTTTATCTTGGCAGATTTTTTTTTTTTTTTTTGAGACAAGATCTTGATCTGTCACCCAGGATGGAGTGCAGTGGTGGCACAGTCATGGGTCATTGCAGACTCAATATCCTGGGCTCAAGTGATTCTCCCACCTCAGCCTTGTGAGTAACCGGGACTACAGGCACGTGCCACCATACCTAGCTATTTTTTTTGTTTGTTTGTTTGTTTTAGAGACAAGGTCTCATTATATTGCCCAAGCTGGTCTTGAACTCCTAGGCTCAAGTGATCCTCCTGCCTTACCCTTCCAACGTGCTGGGATTATAGGTGTGAGCCGCCATGTATCCTGACAAATCTTTCTTTTTACTACTCCTTTAAGTGGGACCTGTAGTTGACCCAATACTCTGAACCGAATATATTCACCTGAGAGAGAAAAAAAAAAAAAACTCTGCCACAAATAAAGCAAAACTGTAACAAGAAGCCTTGGTCACATTTGTTGAAGACTAGCATACTGCTGGCTAGTCTGTCCAGATATCTGAGAATGGATTAAATGGCTTTCTGCTGTTCTTTTTAGGATCAAGATGCTATGAAAAGCTTTAGTATTTGATACATTTCAAGGGAGAAAAGGCTGAGTTTACTTATTTTGAAATGCTATGTGTCTTTGTACTTAGGTGAATACATGTGAGTATATTTTAAATTAAATTCCTTTCAACTATTTCAACTATTTTTACAGACATCATTTACTGAGAGGACAAATGGGTAATATAATAAAAATTGCCATGGGTGGAGGTGAAATGTTGTAACTTACAAGCAGTAATTTATCTTCCTGCTGGCATGTCAGGATATGGTGATGACTACACTTGTTGTTCAAATTATTTCCTAGTAACAACCTCAAAGGAAACCATGTTGAGTCTGAAACCATCTTGCATTTGAAAGCCTGTGTGGCCTTCTTACAGATCACATTTTCAAAGAGGTCAGAAGTCAATGTATATGTAGAATTTCAGACACTGTACCATCTTCCACAGGGATTACACTCAGAGGCCTAAACATGTCACAGGAAAAGTTGTTAGACTGTTTAAAGAAAATCAACAACCAGGCACAGTGGCTCATGCCTGTAATCCCAGCACTTTGAGAGGCCAAGGCAGGCGGATCACTTGAGGTCAGACATTCGACACTAGCCTGGCCAACATGGTGAAACCCCGTCTCTACTAAAAATCCAAAAATAAGCCGGGCATGGTGGTGGCGCATGCCTGTAATCCCAGTTACTCAGGAGGCTGAGGCAGGAGAATCGCTTGAACCCGGGAGGCGGAGGTTGCAGTGAGCTGAGATCGTGCCACTGCACTCTGGCCTGGATGACAATGAGACTCTGTCTCAAAAAAAAGAAAAAAAAAGAAAAGAAAATCAACTGGAAGAGGGTAAAAGGAAGCAAAATCTCTCTGCAACATTGGGGAGTGAATTTGCACAAAGGACGTTCCAAAACATCCATGAAGTTGACTGGAAAAAAAAATAGAAATACAAATGTAAAGTTTAAAGGAGCCCATGAACCTAAGGAAACAGATACTGGGGATTTTTGAGCTGAATACAAAACCTCTGAGAAGCAAAAGAAAAAATATGTTTGCCAAGAGGCGTCCTTTCCATATCTAAAGCAAAACCCACAAATACCCATGAGTAATATCATGCAGGTTATGAAGTTCCTATGCAAAACCAGCAACATTTTCATAAACCAGAATTGTTGGAACAGTTGCAGATATTCATTTAAAAAAATCTGACTGTATAACAGCTCTGAAACGCAAAGCTAGGCCACAAAAGTACATTTCACCACATATGTCAATTTTCTTGAACCCTCTCACTATCAGAGTTGCCCAGGTTTTAAAGTTCCAAAGTTAGTAAAGAGACTGTGAATCAGACACTAAAATATGTTCTTCTACTTTGTACTGTAGCAATGCCATATTTAAGAAAAATATGAAAATGAAACCAAAAAGCAAACAAGATTGTGGAATTCCCTGACATTGTATTATATTTTACCAGCAGCCTCTGTATTACACACTGGAATAGCTTAAATGTGTCTTTTTCAATTAATTTCCCTTTTTTTCCAGAAGAATAAAGAAGTACATTTATTACAGTAAATAAAGTTGGCATTGCTCATATTAAACAAACAGGATGTCTGAACTGTATGCATTAAAAGATTTCAGAATGACAAGGCAAGCAAATTACACATATTAGTGCTTATGCTTTCAGAAAGAATGGAATGCTCGGAAAGTACTAAATCACACGTAGGTACTAGAACAAGAAAAAAATGACAAGGGTGTAATTGGTGGTGAGGGTGGGAACTTTTTCTCGCTTAAAATACATTGGGCTCATTTGTGTCTGCAATGCATCAGTTCCCAGTGCAAGAAAAAAAAGCCACGAATATGGACAGACTCAAAGTCTTCTCCAAATGGAAGATCCAAATCAGAACCTTTGAGGAGGTTTGCCTCAGCACCTTCTGTAGAAGTGGTTGGCAGACACACAACTAGACACAAGGTAACATGGTAGAGCAGTGTTGAGAAGAGGATCCGCAGTGGTCTCCACTGCCCTGGCGGTGACCTTCTCCTCTGACTGTTCTGTATGTAACGGGACTGGCTTGTGCAGGCTGTTCAGCAAACCATAGGTCTGGTTTGCTATCCCCTGATCTTGTAGGTCATGTGATTGGACAAGCTCATTTGCCCTTGGGTGGATGGTGTTCAGTGACCCATCTTGCTGAGTCATGCTAAACCTGTTGAGCATGCAGCCTTAGTGCTTTAATGAAAGTGCCCTTCGTTGCATTTAGAAACAGTGACCCACCCTCTCCCTTCTTTGCTCTGTGTCTAAGTGTCATTGACACAGGACAGGGTTCCACACAGGATGTGATTCATATGAGCCAATCTTGAGTAGGTTTCTTGTGGTTTTTAGTTTTGTTTTAGTCAAAAGAAGGGAAACTTAACCATTTCCAATAGGTTTGATGAAGGTAAAAGCATTTCCCTCATTTTTCTGTCCATGCAAAAGAGCATACTGGGAGACCACAAAAGCCAAGGCGATTTGTGGGCCTATTCCCCCATTTCTCCCACCAGGTGTGGGAAAGAAGCAGAAATTTATGGCTTTGAATGGATTCTACAGATGCCAGAGTATAAGAAATTTCTAATCATTAAAAAGACCTCAAACGTGGCCAGGCGTGGTGGCTCACACCTGTAATTCCAGTATTTTGGGAGGCTGAGGTGGGCGGATCACCTGAGGTTGGGAGTTCGAAACCAGCCTGACCAACATGGAGAAACCCTGTCTCCCTTAAAAATGCAAAATTAGCTGGGCGTGGTGGCGGGCGTCTGTAATCCCAGCTACTCCGGAGGATGAGGCAGGAGAATCGCTTGAACCCAGGAGGTGAAGGTTGCGGTGAGCCGAGATCATGCCATTGCACTCTAGCCTGGGCAAGAAGAGCAAAACTCTGTCTGAAAAAAAAAAAAAACCCACAAACTTGTAAGGACCTTTAGAGTTGACCGAACACTTTCACATTAGTAATTTCATTTGTGCCATACAGCTTGCCCATGAGATAAGTCAGGGTTGGCCTCCTCTTTATGTGAGTTGATATTTTTAAAAATTAGAATGTACCGTAATACGCGTCCTGTATAAGTGATGTTCATTGTACAAGTAATTTTCATTGTTCCCCACTAGTGTAGATAAGGAATGTCCATAGGAAATTTTGTAACAGAGGCCATCCTCCAGCCCCCACAAATACATGCCTCACCCTACCCCAGTATATATGGAAGAATATGTTCAAGAGAAAGTGGCTGTTCACACCTTATTTTAATTTTTCTGAAACAGGAAGCAGGCAGAACAGCGGGGAAAAGGGAAGCTAACTCCTTCTTCCCCTTTCATTTTCTCTGGGGCTATGATGCAAAGCAATGCTACAGAATATTTTAACCCCAGCCAATCACCATAAGAGAACACATAATTAAAAGCATCAGAGGTAAGAGTTAAAGAAAATGATTTTCTAAGCTGTTTGCTTGTTTTGAAATAGAGACAGAGTCTCAGTATGTTGCCCAGGCTGGTCTCTAACTCTTGACCTCAAGCAGTTCTTCCACCTTGGCCTCCCAAAGTACTGGGATTACAGGCCTGAGGCAACACATCTGGCCCTAAGCTATTTTTTAAAAGACAATGTTTAACACATGATATGAACATATGTGTGTGGTAAGTAAAGTAGAATGAGATTTCTTTATTTTTTCTTTTTCTTTTCTTTTTTTTTCTGAGACAGCGTCCCACTCTGTCAGCCTGTCACTCAGGCTGGAGTGCAGTGGTACGATCATGGCTCACTGCAACCTCAGACTTCTGGACTCAAGTGATCCTCGTGCCTCAGCCTCCCAAGTAGCTGGGAATATAGGCACCCACCACTATATCCAGTTAATTTTTTTTATTTTTGCTTTTTAGAGAGGAGTCTTACTATGTTGCCCAGGCTGGTCTTGAACTCCTGGCTTCAAGCTGTCCTCCCGCCTCAAACTTTCAATGCGCTAGAATTACAAGCATGAACCACCTTGCTTGGCCGAGATTTCTTTAAATTATTTGCTCTTTGTTTCAGAGTTTTTAAAAGATTACTCCTTATGTATTTTGATGACAAAACTCCCCCTCAGGTTTTGGGCAATTTGTCTCACAGAAAAATCCCCTTTTCTTTCTTTCAATGACGTATCATCACTTGAATTCTATAAATGCTATTGGCCTTTTTGGCAATCATCACAAAACTATTTTTTATTATTTTGAGCATCCTTGAGGATTATTTGAATCTCTCTATATCTATTCTTGTCACATTCTCTCTCTCTCCATCTGTTTGTCTTTATGGGTTCCTCTTTCTCTCTCCATGTCTGTCATTTCACCCTCTCTGACTTTCTCCCACTACACGCTATCCCTTCCCCACCTCATTCCCGTTAACTGATGTCCTTTATGTACCAAGAACAATATCAATTCATAAAACATTTCCCTCCCTGGGCTCCCTCATATCCCTACTCTACTCTTCCCACAGTCTGCCCCAAAATATCTTTTACAAGTGCTTGAAGAGTCACCTTAAAAATCAGGTCATCAGATGTATGCCAATAGTGAAAAATTTGAGCTGATCCAAATGTTTCTCAGTGGGAGATTGATTAAATAAATTGCGGTGGGTTTATTAAATGGAATACCATACAACTATTAACAGTGCAACCATTTATTGACATGGAAGGTTGTTCATGACTTTTCTTTCTTTTTTTTTTTTTTTGAGACGGAGTCTCGCTCTGTCACCAGGCTGGAGTGCAGTGGCGCGATCTCAGATCACTGCAACATCCACCTTCTGGGTTCAAGTGATTCTCCTGCCTCAGCATCCCGAGTAGCTGGGACTATAGGTGCGCACCACCATGCTCAGCTAATTTTTATATTTTTAGTAGAAACGGGGTTTCACCAGGTTAGCCAAGAAGGTCTCAATCTCTTGACCTCGTGATCCACCCACCTTGCCTCCCAAAGTGCTGGGATTACAGGCATGAGCCACTGTGCCCGGCCTCATGACATATTTTTTGCATGAAAAAAGTGAATTACAGAGCAATATGTTTAATATGAAGATACTTTTAAGTATACATATTTGCATGGGAATGGTTTTAGAAGGATTTATTCCGAATTGTCAAAGGAGATCGCCTCTACATAGTGGAATTTGCAGTTATTTCATTTTGTTGTTTTCCTTTTTTCTTATCTGTATTTTTTAGTTTTGTGACAAATCCATATTTGTTTGTTCTTTGCAAAGTTAAAATGTTTCTAAAACACAACATTTGTCACTGCTATTCAAATAAAGTTATCAAGGACTCACTCTCTGTACCTTCCCAATGCCATTTCCATTTTTGATGTAGGGAACAGGAGGAAATGTTTCTCATGGGTTCTCAACCACCAGAAGACAAAAGACAAGCTGAAGCTATCATTAGCTTCATTTATTCCCTCCCACCCATAGAGTCAGCACCATCCAACATATACAGATCCCCTAGACACCAGCATGGCCCCTCACCTTGCTGACAGAAGCAAAATACAAGATCTGTAACTCTCAGGAACAGACCTGATGATTCTCCTCTGGGCCAAGGCCAACATATACACTTCTTAATGCCCTGTGTGTACCACCCGACATATTTAGCCATCGCTCACATTTAATAATATAGACCCTCACCAGAGGTTACCTCTGCAGATCATTTCTAGGGAAATTCATTGTGTATCCAAGACAGGAGAGTCAGAGGAATATTTAACCAATTTAAATAAACCTGCTATCTTCAGTTTATTTAGCAGTGCCCTTTATATACACAGTTATATTCACAACTGCAATAATTTCTAATTACTCTTATCTACTCAATAAGTGAATTAATAGCGAGGGCGACTTATTGCTGTCCATTTATTTGTATGACAACAATCCTGAAGGTAGTAAAACTGCATATGTTAGCAAACATGCAGTGATTCGGATTTGTTTTAACTCAGATTGGGCACTCCCCTGGTTGATTGAGCTCAGTTTTATTGTAAAAATGCATCCACCAATTAATATCACCTAAAAATAATGCTTAGGGTTTATACATTGATTTCTTCAGTGAATAAACACTATCAAGCACCTACTCTGTGCCAGGTGCTGAGTGGACTCTAGGCAAATGGACAGAAATAAAACGCTGTGGCTGGGCACGGTGGCTCACGCCTGTAATCCCAGCATTTTGGGAGGCCGAGGAGGGCGGATCATGAGGTCAGGAGGTCAAGAACAGCCTGGCCAACATAGTGAAACCCCATCTCTACTAAAAATACAAAAATTAGCCGGGCGTGGTGGCACGCGCCTGTAGTCCCAGCTACTAGGGAGGCTGAGGCAGGAGAATCGCTTGAACCCAGGAGGCAGAGGTTGTGGTGAGCCAAGATCACACCATTGCACTCCAGCCTGGGTGACAAGAGCAAAACTCCGTCTCAAAAAAAAAAAGAAAAAGAAAAAGAAAAAAAATGCAAATTAAAACCACACTCCAGCCTGGGCAACAGAGTGAGACTCCATCTCAAAAAACAGAAAAAAGAAATAAAACACTGTTTCTGCACTTAAGGACTTCTCAGACTGGTACTGGGCACAGTCGGGTAAGGAGGCAGTTGTCCTCCAGGGAAGTAAGTGCCATGGTAGAAACTCCAGCTATCTATGTGTTGATAACGCTCAGCCTATAACTTTGTCTCACATACTCAGGAGCTTTCTGGGTACCTCCACTTGGATGTTCCTCAGAAAATCAGAAATCACCCTGAACATTTAAAAGAGAAAGTGTAATGCTGCACAGGGAAGACAGAGCACTGAGAAGCCAAACAGAAAACTCTGAGGGTTCCCTGAATCTGGCATCAGCAGGAAGCCACTATCACCCCTAGACTGGATGGACAAAGGAAAGCCTCTGTGTCACTAGAGCACAAGGCTAGGTATTGCTGGAGAAGGCTGGAGCAAGCCTGTCGGGAGGGAGCTGGGGCTGCAGAGAAGATGCATCCACGACTGTAGACCCTGTCTGAGGTGGAAAGAGAAGAGGAGTAATATCTCACTTTTCCCCTGCTCTTGTCCTCTAATACCTGACCAGTGCCTCCCATTGCCCAAACCACATCAGAAGCCCACTGACATGGGAGCCTAGGAGTTCTAGCCAGCAAATCAGCTCCCAGTCATGCATGACAGAGGAAGGAAAGAGCAAGAAAAATGCATCTGTGGGCAAACAGGTCCCAGACTACTATGTGCCTCAAACTCACCCAAAATGTTCAAAACTGGACTTTTCTTAATTTTTTTTTCTGAGACAGGTTCTCACTCTGTCACTCAGGCTGGAATGCAGTGGTGTGATCATGGTTTACTACAGCCTTGACCTCTTGGGCTCAGGTGATCCTCCTACCTCAGCCTCCCGAGTAGCTGGGATTACAGGCGTGTGCCACCACACCCGGCCTAAAACTGTACTTTTCATCTCCCTCACAGCCCACCCCTAGCTCCAGAAACCTCTGCCTTTGTTTCCTATCCCAATGAGTGCTGCTAACAATTGTCCAAGACAGAAACGTATATAGCATCCTCAGTGCCTTTCTCATCATCATTCTGATGATCAATCCTTTGAGCTCTGTCCCCTTAATCTCTCAGACCAGTCCACTGATCTCCATCCCAACCACATGACCTGCTTTCAGGTCACCGTCACCTCTGACATCGTTTACCACACCAGCCTCCTAACTGATCTCCTGCTGTTAGACTTGCCTCTCACTCTCTTTCAATTCATCTTACCCAGAGTAATCTTTACAAAGTACACATCTGATTATGTCAACCTCTTGCTTAAAGTCTTTCTTTCTTAGAGTACCAGTAGAGTGTCCTCAAAATAAAATACAAACTCCTTTTCATATGAGATCCTTCTAATCTCGCCCCTTCTTCAGCCTCATTTTCTTGTTCATTGACTCATTCTTTCATTCAATAAGTGTTTGCTGAATGCCCACACTGTGTCAGGTATTGGACCAAACACTGGGACACACCTTACCCTGCATGAGTCAGGCTGTCACTAACCAGCAGTCTGAGCCACACTCCCTCTCTGTTTGTCTTTTCCAGCCACTTCCTCCTTTACCCATTCCCATCCCCTAACTTCCTCCCATTCTTCCTTCATATCTTAGATGACTTCCTCCAAGCAGCCATCCCTTGCTCTTCAAGCCTGGACTTACTTATGCCCCTTCTAAGTGTTCCCAGAGTGCCTTGTGGATACTTTTTCCATGAGCTAGCCACACTTTATTACAGTTATTTCTTTTGCTGGTCTAACTCCCCAACTAGTGTGTAAATTATTTGGGAGCAGCAGCCCTATTTTATTTACTGTTATATTCCCATCACCTAATCAAGCACATTGTAACCCTTCAAATATGTATTAAATGAATCAATTAATTAACTAATAAGCACAAAGTGCTGTGGGAAGGTGCTCTATGAGGGACATCTCACCCACACTTAGGGGTGATAGAATGGTAGGAACAAAAGTTTCTTCCCAGAGTCTTCCCAGAGAAGGTGGTGTCTAAACTGTATTTTGAAGGGCAGCTTGGAAAAGTTGTTGGAAGTTAGAAGGACAAAACTTAGGTGAAAAGGTAAGGGAAAACACACCAGTGAGAAGAGTTAGCATGGTATCAACACAGAAGATTTTTCCAAGAATTTTAAGTAGCTTTCTATAGCTGGTTCCTAAAGTCCAAAAGAAAGGCTGGTGAAAGATGAAGCTCATTAGGGATCATGAAGGGCTGTGCTAAAGGTTAGGAGCTTAACCTGAAATTCCTGAAAGATGAAACAAGGAATTGAAATGATCACATTTGCACCTACAAACAACACTCTGGCAGCTGCTGGTGAGTGAATTAGAGATGAGCAGGCCTGGCTGCAGGAAGAGCAGTTGAGAAAAGAAATGATCAGGGCTTGAACTTGGACAGAGGGAAGAGGTGTTAAAGAAATGGAATTGACAGGACTTAGTGACAGACTGATAAGGGAAAGGGAAAAATAAAGGGTGACTCTAGAATGATGACTTCAATTTCACCATGTTGAGTTTGAGAGGCCTCTAGCGCTGGGCCAGAGTCCAGGTAGAAATATCCATTTGAACTAGATAGGTATGAACCCAGAAATGTTCTAAACTAGATACCTGGGGTAGGAGTGACAATGAGAGTGATAAGGTAAAGTGACAAAGGGGCAAGTATATGGATGTACACTACACAAGTCTTCCAACTGTTCTCTAACTTGAATTTTTTATAATAAAATGTTGAGAGGGAAAAGTTGAGAAGAGGCTGATGATGAAATACTGAGTAGCAAAAGCCTAGGCAGAAAATGAAGAAGAAGCGATTCAAGAGGCATATAGAAAACTAGCCAAGGATGGGTATCCTAGAAATCAAGGGAGGTGTTTCAAGGAGGAAGAAATTGTCAAATTTTGCAGATCAGAAAAGTGAAATAAGAACTCTAAAGCATGTTGTGAATTAAGCAATTTAAAACCTAGTTAGGACAGGCGTGGTGGCTCACACCTGTATTCCCAGCACTTTGGGAGGCCAAGGCAGGCAGATCACTTAAGGTCAGGAGTTCAAGACAAGTCTGACCAACATGGCGAAACCCCATCTCTACTAAAAACACAGAAAAGTAGCCAGGCGTGGTGGCACACACCTGTAGTCCCAGCTGTTCGGGAGGCTGAGGCAGGAGGATCACTTGAACCTGGGAGGTGGAGGTTGCAGTGAGCTGAGATCATGCCACTGCACTCCAGCCTGGGTGACAGAGCAAGACTCCATCTCAAAAAAAAAAAAAAAAAAAAGTGGGGGAAAGAAAAAATAAAACCTAGATAAAGGCAGTTTCCTGGAGTGATGGGAATAGAAGATAATGGGACTAAGCAGTGATTGGGAAGTGAAAAAGTAGAGACAATGAGTGTAGGCTGTTCTTTTGAGATTTAGTTGTGAAGGGAAGGCAGTATTAAGTGAGAGAGACTGGGTGAGGTAGCTCATACCTGTAATCCCAGCCCCAGCTATTCAGGAGGCTGAGGTGAGAGGATCTCTTTAGCCCAGGAATTCGAGGCTGCAGTGAGCCATGATCACACCACTGCACTCCAGCCTAGAGGACAGGATGAGACTGTCTCCAAAAAAGAAAAAAAAAAAATGATACCTAGAGGGGACAGTGCAATCGAAAGCCTCTCTTTAAGATGGGAGCCATCTGAGCCTGTTTGTACGCTAAAGGGGAAAGAATCAGGGTGGAGTTTTGATAATACAGGTGAGAGAGGAGATCAATGATAGTTCTGGGTCCTTGAAGATAGGGAGACAAGAGCAGAGAGCAGAGATAAGCTGCTGGCAGCAGGAGAGACATCTCTTCCTAGAGCGAAAGAGATAAGGATGGGAGCAGATGCAGGTACATTTGTCAAGAGGAATGCAGGAAGTCAAGTGAGTTCTTGTCCAACTGCCTCCAGTTTCTATATGAAATGTTGGAAAGGACAGTTGCTGATAGGAACGGGAAGGGGACAACCCAAACAGCAAGAAAAGAGGACGGAACCACCCGGGTAATAAAATTTCCATATATACCGTGCAAGTTTACCGATTTTCATGGGATTGGAGAACTGTAGGGTAAAATGTAATTAATACTACACTAGACTATATGCAGCATAATTTAATCTTTCTTTAATGTTTTCATTGCCTGTGGATTGTTTTTACAAATATCAATTATAATTACAGTACAATCTGCTTAAAGAAGTGTGAGAGGAAGTGCTAGTTGATAGAAACTTCCGGCTGACAGAGTTCACAACGTTTTGCCAGAAACAGACATCCTTTTATACAATAGGAAAAAAACTGTTTTCTTCTACTGTACTCTCAAAACTCTATTTCTGACACCACATGTAAGGGAAAATGAAAACAGTTTTTCGTCTCTATACTCACACTTTTACAGAACACTTCTGTGACCAAAATGTGTGGGGTTTTCCCCACACCAGCCAATTCTCTGACACCAGCTGGTGTCAGAGAATTTAACTCAATTTAACTCAATTCTGACACTACTTACCTGGAAATAGTGTCAGATCCCATAGGTTAAGGGCTCAGTCTCATAAGACTGCCCCCCACTTCAGATGCCAATCACAAGTAGAGGTCTCCAGATTGCCCACAGCTTCTGTCCAACTTGGCTAAAAATTGGAGGTTCCTTTGACTTCCTCCTCAGGTTCAATAATTGGCAGTAGTGGCTAACAGAACCCAGGAAAACAGTTTACTTACTACTGCCTATTATTTCAAAGGATGTTTTGAAATATACAAATGGAGGCCGGGTGCAGTTGCCAGGCCTGTAATCCCAGCACTTTGGGAGGCTGAGGCTGGCAGATCACTTGAGGCCAGGAGTGACCATCATGAGACCAGCCTGGCCATCATGGCGAAACTCCGTCTCTACTAAAAATACAAAAATTAGCCGGGCATGGTGGTGCACGCCTGTAACCCCAGTGTTAGAAATATCGCTCAAATCCTAAGGAAATTGAACACTCGAACAAAGAATTCCTAGCCAAACAATTTTACTTCTGCGCAGAGGGGTGCCTCCTCGGCCAGTTGCCATGAGAGCACACCTGAACAAAGGGGCACGAGAGCCTTTATTCCTGACGCAAGTCAGTCCTGCCCCTGTACCCTTTCCCCATTGGCCGGGGTCGGGTTGTACAATCTAAACTAATTCCGGTTGGCTAAACATTTGATTTTTTTAGATAAGGTGGGCACGTAAAAGAAAGTGGAGAGGAAGGGGAAGGGGTGTCTGTAATGAGCTAGAAAGTTAGTCCTCTTTCCAAATAAGGAAAGGAATGTGAGCTGGTACTGGTAACGCCTGGTACTGTGGCGTGCCTGGGCATCTAACAAAGGAAAAAAGGAGAAAAAAAGTGGGGGGGGGGGAGGGTACTATGAATTAAAGAATAAAAGATTGATCAGACTATTTGAAGAGAAACCTCATCATATCCCACACCAGCTACTCAGGAGGCTGGGGCACAAGAATCGCTTGAACCCGGGAGGCGGAGGTTGCAGTGAGCTGAGATCATGCCACTGCACTCCAGCCTGGGCGACAGAGTAAGACTCTGTCTCAAAAGAAAAAAAAAAGAAAAAAAAAAATACACACACACACACACACACACGCACACACACAAATGGACAGCCAGATGACAAGACATGTAGGGCAAGGTTCAGAAGGGTCTCAAGCACAGGAGCATCTGTCCCTGTGGACTTTGGGTGTGCCACCCTATCATCATGTGGATGTGTTCACCAACCCTGAAGCTCTCCAAACTCCATAGTTCAGTTTTTCTTTTTTTTTTTTTTTTTTTTTTGAGATAGGGTCTTACTCTGTCACCCAGGCTGGAGTGCAGTGGTGTGATCTTGGCTCACTGTAGCCTCAACCTCCTGGACCAAGTGATCCTTCCACCTCAGCCTCCCAGGTAGCAAGGACTACAGGCGTGCACCACCAGGCCTAGCTAATTTTCGTATTTTTAGCTAGACCTGGTCTCAAACTCCCGGGCTTAAGGGATCTGCCCACCTTAGCCTCCCACAGTGCTGGGATTGCAGGCACAAGCCACTGCACCTGGCCCGTAGTTTTTACGGAGGCTTCATCACATAAGCGTGATTAATTATTAACTCAATCTCCAGCCCCTGTTTCCTTCCAAAAAGATGGAAGGTGGGGCTGAAAGTTCCAAGTTTCAAATCATGGCTTGGTCTTTCTGGTGGCCAGTCCCCACCCAGGAGCCTGCCGAGTGCCACCTTGTTAGAGCAAAAGATGCTCCTATGACCCAGGAATTCCAAGAGATTAGAAGTTCTGTGTCAGGAACCGGGGTCAATGACCAAATATTAGAACAAAAGATGCATGTAGCACCCCAATGGCTCATGAAATTACAAGGGTTTCAGGACCTCTGTGCCAGGAACAAAAGCAGAGACCGAATATATATATATTTTTATTATGTCACACCTTCCTATGCCTAAAAATTCTCATCTGCAAACCAAAGCACTTATCAATTCTTGTGATTACTGTGTGATGGGGCCTTTAGGGCACCTTTGCGTTGTGCTGGAGGCTCTTGTCTCAGAGCAGTGTTTTTGAGGATGTTTTCTTAAGAAGTATTCAAAGAATTTCCTGAATTAACACAGCTTCCACTTAGGACGCCATACAGTTTCCCTGGGCTAAGAATCCATCGATGTGACTTTCAGTAATCTCCCTCCAAAATACCACAGAATATAATTTAAGTCAGATTGGGTTTAGGTCAGTCTCTTCTATAAATTATATTGTACGAATAATTGTGAGGTAGAAAGTTGAAAAGCTCATTCTATGAGAAGGAATAATGAACCTATAAGCCTTAAATCTAAAAATTAGCAAAAGTGTTTAATGACAACATTGTTTTAAGACTACTATAAGTCTAGGGAGATCCTCTCTCTCTTTTTTTTTAACAGGACTTACACAACGAATACTTTCAGCCATAAGCGACCAAAGCTTTTATTTTTAAAACAAAATAAATGAAATAAACAGAAGAAAGAACAGATAATTTCTGCCCTTTCACCTCCACCTCCTCACCCTATTTTCCCCTAAAATTCCATCAACTTTCTACTTAGTGATAAATACTTACACTTTTCTGCAAATCTCTGCTACTGTACTATAAATATTTGTTGTGCTTGTTCAGGCAAACCACATTTTTTAAAAACAAAAGAGACTTATTAAGACATGATTGAATCAGTAAACATTTATTGGCCAGGTGCGGGGGCTCATGCCTGTAATCCCAACACTTTGGGAGGCTGAGGCAGGCGGATCACCAGGTCAGGAGTTCAAGACCAGCCTGGCCAACACAGTGAAACCCCATCTCTACTAAAAAGACAAAAAAAAAAATTAGCCGGGCGTGGTGTTGCGCTTCTGTAATCTCAACTACTCAGGAGGCTGAGGCAAGAGAATTGCTTGAACCCAGAAGGTGGAAGTTGCAGTGAGCAGAGATCACACCGCTGCACTCCTGCCTGGGTGACATTGTGAGACTCCATCTCAAATAAAACAATAACAACAACAACAAAAATTTATTTTACCTGAAGTTAACAATAATAATGTCATATGCAAAGTTTGCCATTTTTAAATTTTTATTTTACTTTAAGTTCTGGGATATATGTGCAGAACTTGTAGGTTTGTTACATAGGTATACACGTGCCATGGTGGTTTGCTGCACTTATCAACCCGTCATCTAGGTTTTAAGCCCCACATATATTAGGTATTTGTCCTAATGCTCTCCCGTTCCTTTCCCCCCGTCTTCCGACGGGCCCCAGTCTGTGATGTTCCCCTCCCTGTGTTCATGTGTTCTCATTGTTCAATTCCCACTTACGAGTAAGAACATGCGTGTTTGGTTTTCTGTTCTTGTGTTAGTTTGCTGAGGATAATGGTTTCCAGCTTCATCCATGTCCCTGCAAAGGACATGAACTCATTCTTTTTTATGGCTGCACAGTATTCCATGGAGTATATAGGTCACATTTTCTTTATCCAGTCTATCATTGATGGGCATTTCTGTTGGTTCCAAGTCTTTGCTATTGTAAATACTGCTGTAATAAACATAAAAGTTTGCCACTTTAACCACCTGGTTGCAGCTGGTGGTAACCAGGTTACTACGGTTGGTTTGTTGGGGAATTTTTTAATTATTTTCTAGTGTAGTTTCTGCAATTGGCTTTCCTGGAAACATACTTGAAACCCAAAGTTGCATGCCAAAGATTTATTGGAGAGATCTCTAAGGAGATATATTTGCAAAGAGGAAAGGAAGACAATATTGGGCAGAGGGAGAAGCCAGTCCCCGGTGCATTTGCAACTGAGACTTTAGCCAATCCGGCAGGCAGCTCTGGAATGGAGATGGCCCTTCTGAGTTGTCTCAGATTGAGGTAATCTGGCTATGTGTTTGTACCTGCACATGAGCTAGGCTTTGTTTGCAGGTCACCCCATCGCAGTGGAGATAGAGTTTGGCATGGTCGTTTTCTACGGCAAAGGGCAGAGAGAGACACAGCTGCAAGCTATCAGTTAATATTCCCAGCAGCTGGGGTTAGATGAGCCAACCCTGAAGAGATTCTGTGGAGCACCACAGAATTCACCAAAGCCTGCCACCACACCTCACAATTCCACTTGTTTCTTACAAGTTTGCCCCATCTAAGAGTAGCTTATCCAGGAGTTTGTTTGGGAAACCCCCATGTTTTCTGGACAACTTAAAAAGGTTAGTGTGATGGTGTCCAGCCTCTGAAGCTGCCACAAAATATCTTAGGGTCATAACTGATACTCATTATCCTCCTGCACTGTCCACCCTCATTCAACACCTCTGTTGGTCTAGGCAGCTTGCCTGGTGGGGTAACCCCAGCCTTCATTCCTGAAGAATCTGAGCCTCTAGTTACCATTACCCTTCTCCGGTGGTGGCTGTTGATGGTATCCATTTACTTGTAACAAAAGGGCATGGGAAAACCAAGAGAGGCTCCATGGATTGCCTGAGTGCCAAACACATTCTTTACTGCCCCTACTGTGGAGTAGTAGCCCTACATTCTTCTGACGATCAGGAACAATTACTTTTTGCCAGGATAGTGATTCCTTTTCTTGCTTGCTAGTCTCTTGTAAAATAGAGCCCAAAGTGACCAGGTAACAGCTGGAGCTCAAAATGCAATACTTTTTTTTTAAATTTTATTAAGTTCCGGGATACATGTGCAAGTTTGTTACATAGGTAAACATATGCCATGGTGGTTTGATGCACCTATCAACCCATCACCTAGGTATTAAGCCCTGCATGCATTAGCTATTTATCCTGATGCTCTACCTCACCCTGCCACTACCCCTCACCCCAACAAGCCCCAGCATGTCTTGTGCCCCTCCCTGTGTCCATGTGTTCTCATGAAATGCAATACTTTTATTATGTGCTTTGGTAATAGCGCCTCCAGATCCACAAAACCCAAAGCAAGGATAGAAAGTACAGATTTCTCAAAAGTACAATTTCTCAAATCACTTCCTGGAAGTGATGATATAAAGGGACATTCCTATACCATTCCTTGGTTCCCAAACCCTTGTATTCTATTAGGGATACAGAAGTACCATATAATGGGTTATCTCACATTCTGGGATATGGTACCAACCAAACTCACAGGGTATCGTCTCCAAGACGGAGGCTCAGATACATTTGTAAGAGTCTGTTCCACCATCCTATCAGGCTGGATGGCTTCTGGGGATATAGTATATGATAGAACCAGCAGACCCCATGGCCCTGTGCCACAGCTGCACCCCTTTGTTATAAAGTGGGTCCCTAGGTAAAGTCTGAAAGAGTTCAGCTCACAATGGGCAGCTCTAGGTATGTGGCTACTTGATGTCTCATGGTCATATGCTCTAACCCTACCACAGCCCAGTAGCCTACAGAGCTGCTTTTTAACTGGTTTGTAGTTCTTTGCAGCAGAAGGCATGGCTTTGTACCAGAACCCCCCAGATGTCTAATGTGATTGTCCTTTCGGGACTTGACATGAACTTCAAATGACATTTTTTCCCCATGACAAGTACCTCTAATACGTGCATTTTGAATGGTGGCAATATTGCCCACAAAAGAGCAAAAATAGATTCTTGGGTGGAAAAAAACTCTTAAATATCATAATAGTTTGTGGTTCTCCAAAGCTCGATCCTACCTGACAATATCTTATTCCTTATATCATTTCTCTTATTGGGTTTTCTTAGGCATTACATGAGCAATATTGACATTGACTTTATGGAAAATACACAAAAGGTATAAAAAGATCAATGCTACAAAACTATGGTGAATAGATGGCTGTGATTGGCAGACTTTCTTTTGATGGATTGCTCTGTCTTGAGGTTGTGTGGTGAGAGGTGTACTCTGTGTCTATTGGCCACCATTGGCTACCTTGTGGGTACTGTCTATGTTTGACCCTCAGTGCTATTGTGTATGACTTGGACTTTGAGAATTAAGTAAAAATAGTTTATACATTATTATTTAATTCTACAAAAGTCATTCAACCCATCATTAATTTTGTCAACTGCTGAAAAGAAATATTGAGAATATCTTTCTGAATATCTGACTATGATTTTATTGAAAGCCCATTAAACTCAAGACAGTCTATGTGTCTTATATTGTAATAGTTCTTAATAAAGAAGGTAAACTTACAGAGTATTTCAAAAATTTCAAACAGAATTTTGAGCAATGTAACACTGCTACTTCCTTAGTTAAGAACACATGAACAAATGAGGATGAAATGATTGGGTCTTAAAAAGTTGCAGAAATCCTTACAAAACCTGGTCATGCTCATACATTTGCCTAGACTGCAATTTCAATAGTGATGAAGCAAAATCCAGTATTTTGAAAGAACTGCCATTGAGCAAGAATTCAATTCAAAGACATATGTATGAGTTGTTAGTTAACATTTAAAAGCAGTTAATTGGCACATTCAAAACAAGAAAAAATTTCTATTCAAATTGATGAAAGTTACAATAAAACCCTCCTAATGGCAATTGTTTGTTGTCTCAATGATGATTGTGTATTGCAAGAAGGGATGTTTGTAAGTTCTTTAGAAACTGACTATACTAGAACATCGATTTTTGCTACTATAAAGTTTTTGTTTAATACAACACAAGTGCCATTGGAGAATCAGGTGTCCAGTGCTTCTGATGGAGCAAATTCCGTGGCTGGAAGACACAAAGGTTTATAGCTCACCTGAAAGAAGTATGTCTTAATGTTCTTGCATTAAACTGCATTGTTCATCTAGATCAACTGGTTGCAAAAATGTTAGCCCAGTTCTTTATCACTCTCTCACTGTAATAATTAAAACCATCAGTAAAATATAGTCACATAGTAAGTCACATTTTCTGCCTTTTCAGAAAATTAAGTGTTGTTAAGAAACAGTATATAAGGTCTCGATGTAGAAAAGTCAGATGTTTTTCTGAAGAAACCTGTCAACAAAATTTGTAAACTTTTTTGATATAATTCATTTTTTTAGAAAGTGAATGAGACACAAATTTAGCAAAGGAAATCCGCAAACACAAAAAATAGCTTATATTTATTGGTTGGATTTTTCAGAAACTTAGTGAAGTATCATTTCAACTTCAGACAAAGTTTAATTTGCATGTTAGCAGCCTTCACTGGAAATATTTTAAAACAATATAATGAGAAAATAATTGCATGGTATTCAGGAGTTAGTTGAAATCAAGATCACTCACTAAGAATAAGCTTAGAAATTATTCAGGCAGGCCGGGCATGGTGGCTCACGCCTGTAATCCCAGCACTTTGGGAGGCCAAGGTGGGTGTTCACCTGAGCTGAAGAGCTGGAGACCAGCCTGGGCAATATGGTGAAAATTCGTCTCTCCAAAAAAAACAAAAACAAAAATTAGCCAGGTGTGGTGGAGTGGGCCTGAGGCTACTCAGGAGGCTGAGGTGAGAGGATCACTTGATTCCAAAAGGCTGAGGTTGCTGTGAGCCAAGATTGCGCTACCACACTCTAGCCTGGGTGACTGAGTGAGACCCTGTCTCAAAAAAAAAAAAGGAATTATTCAGACAGTTTAAGATAAACTTCTAACCACAAAGCAACCTAGAACAGCATGGTTTAAGAGGAGCCAAAATCCAGAAAACAGTACTCATTGTCTTGTAATCCTGTATGACATTTTGCTAGTAGAAGTCACCACCTGTTTAGGCAGGAATTCCAATTCCCTAAAGATTTTTGAGAATCCCAGAGGAATGTCTTGCATGCATTAATTAAGTAGTCCAGGTCATTCACTCTCCTAACTGTGGCTGGCCTCTGCCATGCTTGGGCTCTGGTGCAGCTAAATGCCGGCTGGAGCTCTGCTTACACGCAGCTGCTGGCCTCTGCTATGTTCATGTTTTACACCAGGTACAGATCCTTGCTAGCCCCTCCAGCTACCAGTGCTCTCAATCCTTGCTAAGTTGTAATAGCACAGCAGCAGTGAGTTGCTAGGTGAGAAAGGAAACAGTTTTCTCCCTTCTGTGTTAAACTATGTTAAAGGGTCCCACAGCAACATTTCTTAGAACCTAATGTGTTTAAAACCAACAAAAAACCCAGAACTGCTCTTCAATCCCTTAGCTTTTGTTGCTAAATCCAATTCACACCAGGCTTTTTCCCTATAGGGCAAATTGTCTGTGAGATTCAGCTGGTTTTTTTTGTTCTATTTTGCTCTCATTAGATTCTTCATTATCTAAAAGTTCCTGTGTATGCTTGAGATCCAATTATTGATGCTATCCCAGTTATTTTCCCAAAAGGCTTATCAGCAACCTTATAAATCAAATCAAATGGAATAGATGTACATGGAAAGGAAGGTGCCTATTTCTGTCCCCATAGCTGTATTGGAATCTTAGTTTTGGCCAACCCAGAAATGCCCTATTATATTTTCAAAATAAATATTTGTAAAATATTTTACTAGGCAACTTAATATATATTTAAAAGGAAAAAAACTAAAACAGGATTCTGGAGATTTGAATCCTAGTCTTATCACTAATTTTCTTTGTAAACTCCTGCCATAAACCTATTTCTTAGTGCAATGTATTAAATAGTTTTGCATGGTGGCTTTGAAAATCAAATAAGGAGATGGATGCAAATGCACTTTGAAAATATTAAATGTTCAATTCAAATGTGAAGAATTCTTATCTTTGTAATACTTAACAAAAATTTGGTCTTTGACTCTAATTGTCCACCTATTTAGTTATAATACTCACTCTACGTTTCTCAGTCTTAATTTTCTTTTTTTTTTTTGAGACAGAGTCTCACTCTGTCGCCCAGGCTGGAGTGCAGTGGCATGATCTTGGCTCACTGCAAGCTCCGCCTTCTGGGTTCACGCGACTCTCCTGCCTCAGCGTCCTGAGTAGCTGGGACTACAGGTGCCCGCCACCACGCCTGGCTAATTTTTTTGTATTTTTAGTAGAGATGGGGTTTCACCGTGTTAGTCAGGATGGTCTTGATCTCCTGATCTCGTGATCCACCCGCCTCGGCCTCCCAAAGTGCTGGGATTACAGGCTTGAGCTACCATGCCTGGCCTCTCAGTCTTAATTTTCTAAGGACTGTGTAAAATAAATTATTTTAAAGGAGCTTTGTCATAAAATGTTAGAGCTAGAAGAGAATTGGAGATCATATGCTCAAATCCCTTATTTTAGGATGAAAAAAGTGAAGCATAAAGAAGGAAGTGTTATCAGAATTGTGGATGGTGGAACAGGTCAAGAACTCAAGATCCTGATCCATAAATAGCAATCACTTCACCACATCCTAAAAGACTGTCCTCAAGGATACTAATTCTCCCTTTTCTGGGATTAGTTAACACAGCAATTATCCAACATGGGTTTCACTGAGCTTCCAAGTAAGCTATTTATTTATTCACACCATTCCTTATTTCCAGAGCTTCTACACACCAGTGCTCCTGGAACTCTTTTTAGGGCAGCAACAAAATGATATTTATTGAGCTCCTTTGCTGTGTTATGCACAGAAGGTACTGCAGATATAGCATTTAATAAGACAGACAAATTACTGCCATAATAGAGCATATATTTTACCAAAATACTGACCATAAAAGTAACATATGTATTAAAATAAAAGTAAGTTATTCTCCCAAGCTTATAGGACACACAGCTAATGTTCTTCTTGATAGTGTATTTCTTTAGTTGGAAGGCTAATGGAACATTTCTTCTCCCTAGTGGACCAACATTCAAGTTTCAGGTTTCCTAGAGGTAGTTTCCAAGTCCTTAAGCCATTTAAGAATATGTCTATGGATGCCCACATGCATTATGAGAAATACCTGTATGTCTCAGTTATCTTCCTCAGACTCAATGACACATGTATTTTTGCTAATACTCTCAGCGGCATTCATCCCCTAAACATGGAACAGCCCTTGCTAGGGCAGGAAAGAGCAAGGAACACATTTTTAACATCTGGGTCTGGCCATTTCATTTTTCCTCTGCGTTCTGGAGCGGGGATAATTCATTCAGCTATTTTATCTTCCTGAATTTTCCTCCTTTTCGCCAGCTGACAGTTAACTGCTATATATATTCTTCTGGTTGGGGTACTGGAAGCAGGGTGCGTAAAGTACCGAAGAATGGAGCTGGGATCCGGGAGTCAATGGGCCATAGGCAGAGACGAGATGAACAACCATAGGCTAAGGTGTAGATAAAATCCGGGTGATCAACCAATTGACAGTTGAACTGTAGTCTGGTGAGGATCGCATGAAGGAAAGGAACAGAAATTAGAAGAGCAATACAGTGAACAGGTGGTGAGCCTCTTTATGACAGTATCATTTCTAACAAACTTTATGGAGGTAAAATTTACATACAATAAAATAAGTCATTTTGTGTGAGCTTGATTTAAGATATGCATACATTCATGTATCCACCACTACACCAATATAATATAATAGTGTTTTAGGGTGGACTTCTGTTATTCCAAGGCATAGTTTTCTCAGCTTATTTCCTCCCACAGTTCCTCAGATAGCCAAGCACTGGGATTTGTCTTTGCTCCAGCAGCAAGTATCAATGAAGTATCAATAGCAACAAGATCTTGAGGCAAGCAAACTCTTGTTCCTGAACCGAGTTGCAATAGATCTCGCTAAGAGGATCTGGAACAGGGCTTGGAGAATGTCTGTGCAGCAAAATCAGAAAATGTTCTGTTTGCCTGGTCACATGGGGGATGTGGTAGAGACAGTCAGTTGAAGAATCCAGATGCTTGTCTGTCTAAACACAGATACAACCCACTGGATGGTCTTCCTTTTGTCTCTTATGATCCTAGAAGAGCAGACAAAAAGTGAGGGGCGGAGGTATAGTCAGGACCAGAAAGTGTTGGTCCAGGTAACGTTAGAGGGTGTCTGCAATTCCCAAGATCCACCCCAAAACTTGGCACATTGTACCTATTTAATATCATGATCCCTGTAATAAGATAATCCTGTGAAGTTCTGGCTTACTTGATACTGCCATGTAATTTACACTCACACAAGAGAGTAGCTAACCTGTCTTTGCAAGTCCAGGTATAAAATTAATCAACTTCTTGTGACTGCTTCTGCTTCTTCGTAGACAAGTTCTGACACACTTAACCAAAGGAAACTTTATAAGTTTTCCAATATAAGAGCCAAACAGCTAATGTTCCTTCATTACCCACAAAAAAAAATCAAAGGGAAAACATTATCCACCCAAAATTTGGAAAATATGAATTGCCAGTGGCTTAGGGCACATGGGAAGAAAACCAAGTTAGGATAAATATTAAGCTATGTATGATCCTTCTTTCTTTTCTGCTGTAATTCTTCCATTACAGTTTTTCATTTTAAAATAGTAAAAATCCTCAAATAAAAAAGATACAACTTGTAGTGAAAATTAACAGTTAGGGGAAAAAATAACTTTTAAATGCCACGTTCACTGGCATTTTCAATGTTTTGATAGCGTTTTTCTTCCTGATAGAAACCACAGTTGTTTTTGGGAGAATGACTGTGTCACAATAGCTTATAGAAGTAAAAGCTTGTGTCCTAAGATTTATTTTGAGATTCTCTCACCTACTCTCCATCACCTGACTGCCTGTATTATTATTATACGAGAAAAAGAGTTTTCTTCGTAGCATTGAAACAAAATAGGATGGAAATGCACAAAAATTCTGGAAGATTCACCAATTAACAAGAGTTATTGTTCAGCAGTGTTTTGGCAGAAGTTCAGCAGACTGTATATAGAACTTGAAGATGTTTCTCCTGTAGAGACATATGAACACATTTAAATTTTGGCCCCAAATAAAAAAATAACTATATAATATTAATTCATGTCATGGTAGCTTGGTCAAAATCTAGCAGGTGAATTCTATAGTAGAAGAATTCTTAGATTCATTGGCTATTTTTCACCCTTTGCTTTCATAAAAACCAGATATATCTAAGCTGGTTTGAACTGGATTTTGAAATTGTTAGTCATTTACGATAAAGAGATATAGTGTCCTTGCTGCTGAAAAATGATGTATGAGATGCGAAATCATTGTAGTCACTCCATAGATAGTAAGGACAAAGGAAAGAAAAACCCTAATCTTCTAACTGGTTGGAATAGTGAATATAGGTGGAAAGTAATTTTCTCTATTTACCTCTCATTTAAGGTTGATAGCTTTCACAAACAGATAAGGAAATTGATATGGTGGGGTTTTCCTGAAGCAAACTAATATCTAAGGTTCTCATTCTATAAAAGTTTGTCTTCCTAGCTATTAAATGTCTCCTTGCTAACCTGCCTAGAGAAATCTAATTTTATTTGCAATTAAATGTAAAAGATACTTGTTTATAAATATTAATGCCACATTAATTTTTAAATTCTTGTGATTTTGTTGACTTTATTATACATCTGTTTACTTTATAAAATATTTTTATATCATATAAATATTTATATTTAAAATATTTCATATTTTAAATATTTTACATATCATACATCTGCTTATTTTATAATATTTAAAATATTAAACATTTGTTTTCAGCAATCCTCCCACCTTGATCTCCCAAAGTGCTGGGATTACAGGCATGAGCCATTATGCCTGTCCTTTTATGTTTATTAATATGATATGTATGATATATAAAATGTTAAATATTTAAAAAATAAACAGATGTAGAATATAGAAAAAATTTAAAATATTAGATGTATGTGAATTTGTAGGAAATAATCTCCAACAATATTGTAATATGAAATACATTCAGCAGATAGACAAAGCATAAACTATTCTATCATTTGTACATAAAGGAAAGGACACTAAACACAGATATTTTGGTATACTAAATGAATACCTCTGACAGGTACACAAATAATTGATAGCAGCAGTGACCTCTAGAGAGAAGGAAGAGGCAAAGGAAGTCAGGAGAACTTTTGTGGTATTTGCTCATTTGCTGTATTTGAAAAAATTTTAACTAAATGTAAAACATATCCAAAAAACACACATGTAGTTATATCACTCAATTTTCTCTCATTCTAAAACTGACACTCCAGGAAGATGAACTATGTTTTTTCCCCTGCAGTAATTCCCCCCACCTCCACATTCCATAGATGTGAGCATTTCGTACACACTATTATCGCAGTTGGAGTAGAATAAAGGAGCGACATGGTCTATAATCCTATTTCAACTGCTTCCTAGATTTTGGCTTTGTATTTGACCATACCTCTTTGACCATTAACTTACTGATGCATAATGTGATTACTAGAATTCCTACCTCATAGGGCTGTCACGATGCTTAAAGGAAAGAGCATATCTAAAATGCTTATTACAGTGTTTGGAATGTAGCAGGTGCTCAAGAAATGATTGTTCTTGTGTGCTGGGCACCGATCCTAGATTATGGGACTGCCAAGATAAAAGTGTTCCAGCCCATAAGGAGCTCACACTCTATCTACAGTTGCACACAAACCTGCAGATTAAACCAAAATATATGTCTGACTCAGTAGAATGGACACAATATATTGAATTAATGAATTATAAAATGATATAATCTAAGTAAGTTTACACATTGTATTGTCTGGGATGGGAGATAGAAAGCAGGCAAAGCCAATTCTTTTTTTTGTTTTTTCAGGATGGAGTCTTACTCTGTTACCCAGGCTAAAGTGCAGTGGCGCAATCTCGGCTCACTGCAACCTCCACCTCCCAGATTCAAGCGATTCTCCTGCCTCAGCCTCCCAAGTAGCTGGGATTCCAGGCACACGCCACCATGCCCAGCTAATTTTTGTATTTTTAGTAGAGACGGGGTTTCACTATGTTAGCCAGGCTTGTCTTGAACTCTTGACCTCGTGATCCACCCGCCTCGGCCTCCCAAAGTGCTGGGATTACAGCCGTGAGCCACCGCGCCCGGCCCTGCAAAGCAGAATCTTAATAAATATCCTTCTCCTGGTAATTTATTTATTTATTTTGAGGCAGTGTCTCACTCTGTCACCCAGGCTGGAGTGAAGTGGCATGAGCATGGCTCACTGCAGCCTCAAACTCCTAGGATCAAGCAATCCTCCTGCCTCAACCTCCCATATAGGTGAAACTACAGGCACACACTACCATGCCTGACTAATTTTTAAAATTTTTTTATAGAGATGGGGTCGCACTATGTTGCCCAGACTGACTTCAAACTCCTGGGCTCAAGCAATCCTCCCACCTTGACCTCCCAACGTGCTGGGATTACAAGCAGGAGCCACCATGCCTATCCTTTTCTGTTTATTAATATACCAACTTACAGCTAGCTACGCTATTTACTCTTCAGCTATTGAAACTGATCATTTTAACAATTTAAAATTAATTTTATGAGTGAAGAAATATATTGAAATCCTGTAAGTGTCTGAATCAGGGGAGACTATTACCATTAATTTTCAAAAATGCAACTCTGTTCTTTGTTATGTCTTCTTTTTCTAGAAATGTAATATCTTATGGAACTGTGGCTTTTAAGAATCTTCCAATTGACTTTGATGTTGGAGAAATACCAAATATCATTTTCCTTTCTAGTCAGAATATAGTGAATGGGATGTTTTATTAAGGTTTATTCTTACACATCAACCCTTTTGCTTCATTCAGAAAGATAGGAAAACGTGACTTTGGTTAAGAAAAAAAGGGGGATATTCATTTTGAAAGTGGCCTTGGATTAATTTTAAAAAAGGTATTCAGGCCAGGAGCAGTGGCTCAGTGGCTGACGCCTGTGATCCCAGCATTTTGGGAGGCCAAGGCGGGTGGATCACCAGGTCAAGAGATAGAGAGCATCCTGGCCAACAAGAGATAGAGACCATTCTGGCCAACATGGTGAAACCCCGTCTCTACTAATACAAAAAAATTAGCTGGGCATGGTGGCACGCACCTGTAGTCCCAGCTATTTGGGAGGCTGAGGCAGGAGAATCGCTTGAACCCGGGAGGTGGAGGTTGCAGTGAGCCGAGATCGCACCACTGCACTCCAGCCTGGTGACGGAGCGAGACTCCATCTCAAAAAAAAAAAAAAAGTATTAGTTTTTTTCCTTTTAATTAATAGACTTTATTTCTTAGAGCAGTTTTAGGTTTAAAGAAAAATTGAACAGAAGGTACAGAGAATTCCCATATACTCTCCCTTTCCTCACCACCCCCAGACTCATGGTTTTCCGTATTATTGACATCTTGCATCAGTTTGGGACACTTGTTACAACTTATGAACCAATATTGATACATGATTATTAACTAAAGTCTATAGTTTGTATTAAGGTTCTCCCTTAATGTTGTATAGTTATATGGGTTTTGCCTAATGCATAATGTCACGTATCTACCATTTGAGTACCATACAGAATAGTTTCACTGTCCTAAAAAATCCCCTATGTTCCACCTATGCATCCCTCCCCTCTTCCTGTTAATCTCTAGCAGCCACTGATCTTTTTACTAGCTCCATAGTTTTGCCTTTTCCAGAACGCTGTAGAGTTGGAGTCATACAATATATAGGCTTTTTGGATTGGCTTCTTTCACTTAGCAATAAGCATCTAAATTTCCTCCAAGTCTTTTGGTGGCTTGATAGCTCATTTCTGTTTATTGCTGAATAATATTTCATCATATAGATACAGCACAATTTGTTATCCATTCACCTATTAGCAATTCTTGATTGTCTACAATTTTTGGCAATTATGAATAAAGTTGCTATAACATTTGTTAGGTAACATATGAGTTTTCAACTCATGCAGGCAAATAACAAGGAGTGCAATTGCTGGATTGTATGGTAAGACTATGTTTAGTGTTGTAATACACTAACAAACTGTCTTTCAAAGTGGCTATACCATTTTGCATTTCACCAGCAATAAAAGAGAGTTCCAGTTGCTCCACATGCTCACCAGCATATGGTATTATCAGTGTTTTGGATTTTAGTAGTTTAAGAGTGTAGTGGTATCTCATTGTTATTTAAAATTTGCAATTCCCTAATGACATATGATGTAGAGCATCTTTACATATGCTTGTCTGTCATCTGTATGTCTTTAGTAAGGTTTGTTCAGATCTTATGCCCACTTTTTAACTTGGTTATTTATTTTCCTTTTGTTGAGTTTTAAGAGTTGTTTGTATATTTTTGATACAAGTCCTTTATCAGACATGTGTTTTGCAAATATTTTCTCCCAATGTGTGGCTTGTCTTTTCATTCTCTTAGCATTGTCTTTTGCAGAGAAAAGGTTTTCTAAATTTAATGAAGTCCAACTTAGCAATTTTTTCTTTCATGAATTATACTTTTGGTGTTGTATCTAAAAATTCATTGCCAAACCTAAGGTCAACCTAGAATTTTTCCTATGTCATTTTCCAGAAACTTTATAGTTTTCCATTTTCCATTTAGGTCTAGAATCCATTCTGAGTTAATTTTTGTGATAGGTGTAATAAGGTGAGAGTCTAAAGTTAATTTTCTTTGCGTGTGAATATCTAGTTGTTCCATCAGTATTTGCTAAAAAAAATTATTCTTTCTTTATTGAATTGCCTTTGCTCCTCTGTCAAAAACGAATGGCTATTTTTGGTGGCTATTGTTGTGTGGGCTTATTTCTGGGCTCTAAATTCTGTTCCACTGATCTATTTGTCTGTACTTTTGCCAGTACTACACTGTCTTGATTACTGTATGTTTATATTATAGCCTTGAAGTAGTAGTAGTGTCAGTCCTGTAAATTTGTTCTTCTTCAATACCATACTGGCTATTTGGTTTTGCCTTTCCATGTAAACATTAGAATCAGCTGGTTGATATCCACAAACTAAGTTGCTGGGGTTTTGATTTGGATTGTATTAAATCTATAGATCAACTGGAAAAAGAACTGACCTGTTAATATTGAATTTTCCTTTCCATGAACATGAACTATTTCTCCATTTATTTAGATTCCTTTGTTTTCTTTCATTCGAGTTTTGTAGTTTCCCTCATATAGATCTTATACATATTTTCTTAGATTTATACCTAAGTATTTCAATATTTTAGTGCTAATGTAAATGGTAATTTTTTTTTTTTTTGAGACAGAGTCTTGCTCTTGTCGTCCAGGGTGGAGTGCAGTGATGCGATTGCGGCTCAGTGAAACCTCCGCCTCCCACGTTCAAGCAATTCTTCTGCCTCAGCCTCCCGAGTAGCTGGAATTACAGGTGCCCGCCACCATACCCGGCTGATTTTTGTATTTGTTTTTAGTAGAGACGGGGTTTCACCACGTTGGCCAGGCTGGTTTCAAACTCCTAACGTCAGGTGATCCACCCGTCTCGGCCTCCCAAAGTGCTGAGATTACAGGCGTGAGCCACCATGCCCGGCTGGTATTGTGTTTTTAACTCAAATTCCAACTGTTCCTTGCTGTATACAGGAAAGAAATAGACTCTTGTACATTAACCTTGTATCCTGCAACTTTGCTATAATAGCTTATTTGTTTCAGGAGATTTTTTGTTTGGTTTTGTTATGTCAATTCTGTGGAATTCTCTTTTTTGCTCTTGTCCTTTGTTTCTGTGTTGTCTTCCACTCATTTTCTGTCTTCTTTGGTTTTAATTGAGCAGTCTACATAATTCCATTCTTTCTCCTCTCTTAGCATATCAATTATACTTTAGAGAAAAAAATTTTACTGGTTGTCCTAGAGTTTGCAAATACACATATATGACTAATCCAAGTCCACTTTCAAATAATATTATACTGCTTCACTGGTAGTACAAGTATCTTATAACAGTATTCTTAATTCCTCCATCCCATCCCTTTTAACATTGCTGTCATTCATTTCCCTTTTCCATAAAATAATCCAGAATACATTTTTACTATTCTTTTTCTGAACAAACTATTATGTGTTAGATCAATTAAGAAAAAGAAAATACTTTATTTTACCTTTATTCCTTTTATAACGTTCTTCCTTTATGTGGATTCAATTTTCTGATCTATATTATTTTTCTTCTTTCTGAGGAACTTCTTTTTAACATTTCTTGCAAGGCAGTTCAACTGGCAACAAATTTCCTCCATTTTATACGTCTGAGAAAGTCAGACTTTCTTTTGAAGAAAGGACAATTTACTCCTTTAATTTTTACTCCAACATTTTTGAAGGTTAATTTCACTGAGTACAGAATTTTAGATGGGTGAGTTTTTTCTTTTAACACTTTAAGTATTTCATCTCACACTTTTCTTGCTTGCATGGTTTTTGAAAAGAAGTTTGATGTAACTCTTATTGTTCCACCTCTATAAGTAAGGTGTTTTCTCCCACTCCCATACTCCCTTGCCCCTTCTTTCAAGATTTTCTCTGTGTCTTTGATTTTCCACAGTTTTGAAAATACTATGCCTAGGTGTAGATTTTGAAGATTTTGTTTATTTGTTTCTTTAAGAGACAGGGTTAGGCCAGGCGCGGTGGCTCACGCCTGTAATGCCAGCACTTTGGGATTCCAAGGCGGGCGGATCACCTGAGGTCAGGAGTTCGAGACCAGCCTGGCGAACATGGTGAAACCCGTCTCTACTAAAAATACAAAAATTGGCTGGGCATGGTGGCAGGCGCCTGTAATCCCAGCTACTCGGGAGGCTGAGGCAGAAGAATCCCTTGAAACTGGGAGGCAGAGGTTGCAGTGGGCTGAAATTGTGCCACTGCACTCCAGCCCGGGCGACAGAGTGAGACTGTCACACTCACACACACAAATGACAGGGTCCCACTCTGCTGCCCAGGCTGGAGCACAGTGGTGCCATCATAGCTTACTGCAGCCTTGAACTCCTGGGCTCAAGCAATCCTCCCACCTCAGCCACCCAAGTAACTGGGACTACAGGCACATGCCACCCACTCAGGCTAATTTTTTATTTTTTATAGAGACAGAGTATCCCTGTGTTGCCCAGCCTGGTCTCTAACTCTCTAACTCCTGGGCTTGAGTGATCCTTCCATTTTGGCCTTGAAAAGAGCTGGGATTACAGGCACGAGTCACCATCCCTGGCCAGTCCAGGTGTAGATTTTTTTGTGTTTATCCTGTCAGTGCTCTCTGAGATGCCTGGATCAGTGGTTTGGTATTTGTCATTAATTTTGGAAGATTCTCGGTCATTACTTAACTATTTCTTCTTTCCTTACCTCTCTCTTCTCTTTTGGTACTTTCATTACAGTTAGGTTATAACTTTTGTAATTGTCTCACACCCACAGTACGTGGGTATTCTGTTCCATATTTTTCATTTTTTTTTTTTTTTTGCTTTGCATTTCAGTTTTAGAAGTTTGTACTGACGTATCTTCAAGCTTACTTATTCTTGCCTTGGCTGTATCCAGTCTATTGATGAGCCCATTAAAGGCATTTTTTCATTTGTTCTATTGTTTTTTATTTCTAGCATTTCCTTTCTATTCTTTCTTAGAGCTTCCATATCTCTGCGTACATTACCCATGTGTTCTTGCATGTTGTCCACTGTTTCCTTAGAATCCTTGGCATATTAATCATATTTATTTAAAATTTTTGGTCTCAAATTCAAAAATCTCTGCCATATGTGAGTCTGATTCTGATGTTTGGTTTGTCTCTTCAGACTGTGTTTTCTGTCTTTTAGCATATTTTGTAATTTTTCTATCATTGTTGTCATTGTTGAAAGCCAGACATGCTGTATCAGTTAAAAAGAACTTAGGTAGATGCGCCTTTAAGTGTGAGGTTTCATGTTTATCTGGCAAAGAGGTAGGCTTTGTTACTGTTCGTGGTGTCAGAGGCTAAAATTTCCTACTGTGTCCTTGTTTTTGCTTCCTATGTTGTCTTTGGCTGTCCCCAGAGACTCTTAAAATAGGGTCTGAGGTTTGAGTTCTTTTAGCTGTAATGCCCCGTTATTACACAGGAGCTCTTCTGATGTGGTGATAAGGTGAGGGGGAGAGGAGGACTTTCTGCAGTCCTATGATTAGGGCTCAAGTCTTTTAGTGAGCTTGAGTTGAGTATTTCCCTTCTCCCCTGTGGAAGGCTAGAGCTGACCAGAGTTGGTAATTTCCCTTCCTCCAGATTGGTTAGCCTTTGGTAGATTCATCTGGTTAGGCTCTGATAGAGAGTTTCCCTTGAGGCCAGGTCTTGTTAAGAAGAACAGAGAGCCCTGAGAGTATTTCACGATGGTTACTTACCCCTTCTCCCTGGCAAAAGCAAAGCAGATTTTTCTCAGATCTTTACAGTGAGAATCTGACAGGATTCACAGAGGTAAAACTGAGGTAAGTATTGAGGCCCCTCTCAGACTGAGCCTCCTTGGAGTTTTTTAACTCTCAAGCTAGTCTGCACTGAGCCTCCAGCAATTCCCCAATTACAGTTTAGTGTTCCTACTGATGTTGGCTCCAGCTGTGAAACTAGCTTCAGCTTCTGGCTTCTGTGCCTGGGCTCTGCTCCTGGTAAACTGTGATTCTCTGAAAAGCTGTGATTCTCTGTATCTATCTGTCTGTCTCTCTAGTTTTTAGGGCAGTGGTTTTTCCTGTGACCTCAATTCTCTGGTGGATCTAAGAAGAGTTACTGATTTCAGTTTGCTTAGCTTTTTTTTTTCTTGTTGTGAGGATGGGAGTGACAACTTCCAAGCTCTTTACATGTTGAACAGGAAACTGAAAGCCCCTTGGTGTTCCTTTGTAAATTCATCTTAAAAATATTTATCATAATTGAAAAGTGCTAATATCAAATTTTCAGTCTGTTTATATTCCCCCTAAACTCAGATAAATATACATTTTATTTTGTGTGTCTGTGTGTGTGGGTTTTGTTGTTGTTTGTTTTTTGTGTTTTTTTTTAAGATATAGGGTCTTGCTCTGTCAAGGCTGGAGTGCAGTGGCACAATCGTACATCTCTGCAGCCTCGAACTCCTGGGAGAAAGTGATCCTCCCGCTTTAGCCTTCAGAGTAGCTACGACTACAGGCACTAACCACCAAGCCCAGCTAATTTTTAAAATTTTTTGTAGAGATGGGAGTTTCACTTTGTTGCCCAGGCTGGTCTCAAACTCTTGGCCTCAAGTGATCCTCCTGCCTCAGCCTCCCAAAATGTTGGAATCACAGATACTTTGTGTCTTGATTCTTGAAAGGAAAAAACAAAGATTTTTAATGCCTCTTATCTTGTACGCACTTTCCTTCCAAACAATACCCTTTTGCTGCCATTGTTCTCGTTATGAATAGCTTAAAGAAAAAGAAACAACTAAGGGTAGTAATAGGCCAGGAATCACTTACTGAATACTAGGTCTTCTTGTATAGTTTGATACCCTATAAATTGTGTGCATCTGATGCATTTCACCTTCAAAAGGCTCAATGCTCTGTATTATTTAGTAGTAATCAAAATTTCAAGTTTTACTTAACCTCCTGATTCACTGCCCAATTTCCTAATAAATACGGGCTAAGGGTCAATGGGGTCATTTGCAAGTAATCTTGTAGTCTACTCAGAAAGTTCTGCAAAGTTAGAAAGTGATTAAATGACTGTTTGTTAAGATATACTTACATAGTAATAACCTAAATGCATTTGTTAAGTGGTTGTAGAGAGAGGGATTTAAAATTTTATCCTATATGAAATTTTCCTTTTTGGTGTCTGTTATTTAATAGGATTGTTTGAATTAGGGGATACTATTTGGTGCCTTTGTAACTATATGAAAATTAGTTGGTTGAATATTACTGCTTTCCATGTTCATATTTATATTTGTATAGACATATATATATATACACATATACTACTTTCCTTTCCATTTTCATATTTATATTTGTGTATACACATATACATAAACATATATTTTATACATTTTTGAAAAGGAAAATTAACTTAAGGGCATATTTAATGAATATTCAAAAATTTTTTTGCTGATCAAATTATCATTCTGCTTTAAACTTTTGAAATGATCCAAAAAAATTTTAAATGACTTAGATTTACTGTTACAAAATGCTTGTCTTTTGATGTCACAAACATTATATACTATAATCACTGGCCAGAGATAATTGCTATAAGTATAATGAAAAGGGAAATGATGGAAGATCTCTGCAGCTATCCTCATAAATGAGGGTGGGAACACGATGGGCAGTTCCAAAGTTGAAAATAGAGAATATATGTGGATTTATATTAACATAATTGGTATTCTTGGATAGTTAAAAATGGCTAAACTGTAGGAGAAGCCCGAGTAATTACTGTTAACAGAGGAATAAATTTGAGGGCAATAATAATGATGATAGGCCAGGCACTGTGGCTCATGCCTGTAATCCCAGCACTTTGGGAACCCGAGGCGAGCGGACCACCTGAGGTCAGGAGTTCGAGAGCAGCCTGGCCAACATGGTGAAACCTCGTCTCTACTAAAAATAGAAAAATTATCCGAGTGTGGTGGTGCGTGCCTGTAATCCCAGCTACTTGGGAGGCTGAGGCAGGAGAATCACTTGTACCTGGGAGGCGGAGTTGCAGTGAGCCGAAATCGCGCCACTGCGCTCCAGCCTGTGGGCCAGAGCGAGACTCCGCCTCAGAATAATAATAATGATAATAATAATAACGCCACCAACAATACTAAGAGCTAACATTTACTGAGTGCTTACTATGCACCAGATATTGTTCTAAGTATACATTTATTATCTCATTTAACCATCCATAATACTGTGGTATAGACACTTTTATATCCATTTTATAAATAAGTAAACTGAGTTATGGAGAGATTAAACGACTTGCCAGTAAGATTCAAAGCCTGTGTACAAGCTCACGCTTGATTCTGGAGCCAGTGTTCTTAACACAGTATCTTGAGAATGTTAAACTAAAAAGTTTTTAATTTACAGTATTCTTTCCACAATTAAAAAAGAAATTATGAGTAATTATTTTTAGTTCTTTCTTCTCTTCAGGCATTTCCCATGGTTCTTTTCAAGACATAATACATATCATTTAGTGTTGTAGATCTGAAAAAACAAAAGTAGCGTGAAGATCAAAAATTTTCTAAAGAGACGGAGTCTCGCTACGTTCCCTAGGCTGGAACACCCAGGCTTCTCCAGCCTCACACCTCTGAGTAGCTGGAACCACCCTGTCCGCTAAGGTCAATGTTTAATCGTATCTTTGTAGGTCTACTGACCAGTTAAAAAGAGGTGCTGTATACATTGGTTGTTGTCTTGTCAGAGTTTGATGCTTCTATATAGACCATTGTTTTTACATGCTAATACAATTGAAAGCCACTACAGATATTTATATTTACAACCCAAAGCTAGGTTTTAACAAGAAACTCATAAGGCAAAGGTGAGAAGTAAAATAATTTAGCGCCAAGTGGAGATATATGTGCAATGCTACTTTGTTGGGCTCAAAACATATTTTTCTTTTAGAAGACTGACAGGCTTGAAGTTTATGCCTCCAAAGACAAAAGTGATTATGTTTTGTTTAGTAGCTTGCAAAGTTGCCAAAGGCCATTTTTTCTACTCTTTCCCTGAAATTGGTTTATATGCTTATTAAAGTCATTTATACCTATTTGCAAATGCTTAACATAGTTTCAGATTTTAAGATTTCCCTGCAACTTTATTTCCCTTGAAGTTTACAGCAACAGGAGTTCATTTTTATTTTTAATTGCATTTATTCAGTAAGTAAACTCCGCCACAGAAAAACTTAGTAGACAAGGTGAGTTCCCCTGTGCTCCGTGGCAAAGAGTGCGGTGGGTGACATTGACCCATGGTTAGGTAATCTGGTAAGGAAAGACCCCGTTGTAACACATCTGAGCAACGAGACCAAAGGAAGGGCTTGCTGCCACGAGGCGAAGTCTGCTTTTTTGAACAGAGAGCCCAGCAGAGTTGGGCGGCAATCGTGCCCAGCACTGAGGCCGAGGAGAAAGAGAGCAGGAGCATTACATTACTGCACCAAGAGTAGGAAAATATGATGCATGTTTGGGACCAGGCAACCGAAATCCCTTCTCAGCAGCGCCTCCCAAAGCCGGGCACCGCCTTCCTTCGGAGAAGGCGCAGAGTCCCCAGACTCGGGCTGAGCCGCACCCCCATCTCCTTTCTCTTTCCTCCGCCGCTAAACACAGACGAGCACGTGAGCGTCGCAGCCCGTCCCAGCTGTGCCTCAGCTGACCGCCTCCTGATTGGCTGAGAGCGGCGTGGGCTGGGGTGGGGACTTGCCGCCTGCGTCGCTCGCCATTGGATCTCGAGGAACCCGCCTCCACCTCAGGTGAGGCGGGCTTGCGGGAGCGCGCGCCGGCCTGGGCAGGCGAGCGGGCGCGCTCCCGCCCCCTCTCCCCTCCCCGCGCGCCCGAGCGCGCCTCCGCCCTTGCCCGCCCCCTGACGCTGCCTCAGCTCCTCAGTGCACAGTGCTGCCTCGTCTGAGGGGACAGGAGGATCACCCTCTTCGTCGCTTCGGCCAGTGTGTCGGGCTGGGCCCTGACAAGCCACCTGAGGAGAGGCTCGGAGCCGGGCCCGGACCCCGGCGATTGCCGCCCGCTTCTCTCTAGTCTCACGAGGGGTTTCCCGCCTCGCACCCCCACCTCTGGACTTGCCTTTCCTTCTCTTCTCCGCGTGTGGAGGGAGCCAGCGCTTAGGCCGGAGCGAGCCTGGGGGCCGCCCGCCGTGAAGACATCGCGGGGACCGATTCACCATGGAGGGCGCCGGCGGCGCGAACGACAAGAAAAAGTAAGCCCATTCCCTCGGCCCGCCGCCTTCTCCCCCGGCGACCCCGCCCGCCTGCCCGCCCTGGGCTCCTGGGCCGGCCTCGGCGTTAATGGGATTGGGGGGGGCAGCCTTTTTGTTTCTGCTGCTGCTCCCCTCCCCTCTCTTCCCCCAACCTCGCCGGCCGGGCTCCCCCGCTGTCCACGTCGCCATCTTGTCGTGGGGGGTGGGAGACGCCTCGAAAGTGCTTTCAGGGGCCGGGGTCTGAGCCCTGCTTGCCCTCCCCGCCGGCCGTGGGGGCCTCGCGCCGCCCACCTACCCGCCTCAAAAACCCAGCCTGCTCTGTGGCCCCATCCGGAGGGGACTTTACCCAGCCTGAAAACCCCGGGAAGAGAAATGAGCTGCAGCTCGGTAGCCGCGGTTTGCACCCGGAGCTTCCGCTCCTTCCCGCCCCCATCCTCTCCAGTTCCATTGAAAACTCGGCCCTGGGGCGGACCCTGCACGCTGGTCCTGGCTTTCCAGTGGACTTGGGGCCTTGAGTTCCCGACTGAGGGACTCGCGTGGTCGGATGCGATCTTGTCCTGTAGTTGTCCAGCCGTCGCGGGTGTCTTTGCCTTTGTGCATTAGGGATTTGCCGCGATGGCCTTAAGATGCGAACTTTTTAGTTTGCACGTGCAGGTTTTGTTTCGTTTTAATCGCCTTGAAAAACTTGCCTAGACTGAGAGTCAGAGTAATGGGAATTTAGGGAAATGGCAACATTTTAAAGAGAACTTCAGAATTGGATACTTGAGTTCATATCACCTGTCACGAGAACGCAGATATTATAAATGAATATATGCCTCATTCATTCTTCAAATAATGAAAATGTAGGGGCTGGTTAAATTTAGGCAGTTTTAATGATACTGAAAAAAGTATATGATGAGTGAATGAAATGCGGCACTAAAATGTTGCAAAAATTTTCGAACTCTGTCTCATTTTCCTGAAATTGAAGTATATTAAAGGAAAACCGTCAACATATATCTAAAGTAAGTAATCACTCGGTTAGAACTTAATGCAAGTTTTATAAATCACCTTGAAGTTTGAGTCTAAGGGGTACATTAGAGATTAAGAATTGTGAGTTGGACCAGTGGTGTTAAGAGCGGACTCCCCCATCCCCCAACACACACACAATTTTGCCCACTTTGGCATTTTAACTTTTAAGGAAATCACTTAAGGAATTGAAGATTTAGAGTAAGAGTTTTGGTTAGTAGACTGGCTTTGCTGTTAAATCCTTCCACTCTTCTGGCAGAGAGATTAATTTCCCTAATCAGTATCAGCAGAAGATAAACTTGTTTATATTCCTGCTGTTTTGTAGATCCCTTCTCCTGGTCCTTCTTCAATAGAATATTAAATTCTTAGTTTGTATACAGCAGAGAAGGTCACTTATAAAATTCAAAAAGTGAGCAAACAGGTCTAGATTAATTCCAAGAGTTACCAGGAATTAATTGCAGTTTATTTTGCGGAGGTGATTACAGTGCTTTTGATGAAATGATAAAGCTGCTATATTGTAAACCTAAGGCAGATTACCTCTGTGTAGTGCCAGTTTTCTATCCTTATTATATATTGAATCATACTTAATACAATGCATTAAATTATGTACCACTTTTTTTATATACAGTATCGAACTCATTGTTTTGCCATTCATCCGTTCAGAATATCAGAAGCAGTTTTGAAACGAATTAATAAATTAGCTACTGTTCATCAGCCCCAATTCTAAATAAGCTCTTAGATTTTCCTCAGCCCATCTGTTACTTTCAAAATTTTCTCATTTGAAAACTTGGCAACCTTGGATTGGATGGATTCATATTTCTTAGTATAGAAGTTCTTGATATAACTGAAAAATTAAGTTAAACACTTAATAAGTGGTGGTTACTCAGCACTTTTAGATGCTGTTTATAATAGATGACCTTTTCTAACTAATTTACAGTTTTTTGAAAGATAACTGAGAGGTTGAGGGACGGAGATTTTCTTCAAGCAATTTTTTTTTTCATTTTAAATGAGCTCCCAATGTCGGAGTTTGGAAAACAAATTTGTCTTTTTAAAAGAAGGTCTAGGAAACTCAAAACCTGAAGAATTGGAAGAAATCAGAATAGAAAATGGGTATGGTTATGATACTGTAGATTTAACGCAGGACATTTCATGTTGTTCCTAGTTATAGGGGCTGAACTTATTTAATAGCACGTGCATTTTGATTTTTAGATTTTTAAGGGAATGTCAAGAGAGTAATGATTCTGTTTCAGGCTTCAGGCCAGACTCCTTCAGAGTTTTCCAAAACAAATAATTACTGAATCATTAAAGTAAAATTTCTGAGAATAGATATTCCTTAATTTCCTTCATTAACTTTGGCCATTAAAAGTCAAGAAGCTCTCTCATTTATTAGCAAACTTTTCTCCTTATGATTCTATTTTGATTGTCCTTTTGTTTGAGGAAGCAGCATATGGTGGTTAAGAGCATAGGATCTAGAGGCAGATACCTCTGAGTTAAGGGTCCCAGCCCTTCACTTGTGAGCTTGAGCAAGTTACTGAATGCCTCTGAGCCTCTTTCCTCCTTTTGAAATGATGATAAGAATAGCAGCCATCTGAGCAGTTATTGTAAAGGTTAAATGAGATAATGCTTGTGAAGCACTTAGCCCATTGCAGGAGTCTTGATGACACTGTGTACTTGAAAATAGATGTTACCTGTTAAAATTCTTGTTTAAACTTCCACAACTCTTAAAACTCTTTTTTGCTAGTCCTTCCAGCTGTTTCCTTTAGTTTCTTTTCTGTGTCTTCATGCATCTTTTCTATCTCCTGAAAGTGAAAAGACTAACATTGGATCCAGAGCTTGAAAAGCGTTTTTTTCCTGTTACAATGGGCAAAAGAGTACATCCTTGGGTTATATTGGCACCTAGTATCAGTTATTTTTCTTGAGCATCTGATCTGCTCTCTACTCTAGTGGAGGCCTCCTGCTTCACAATTGCTCACCCCTGTGTTTTCTCCCCAAATAGAATACTGAGTTTACTCTGGACTCTAGAGTCAAACATACACAGTATTCTAGTCTTACTGTTCATTTAAGCAAGATATGTGCAAGACACTGCATTCTTAGTACTGGCAGTAAGTTAAAACATTTTTCGTCTTGATGCCAAAGTTTAGACAATTTTATAAAAATTAACCTTTGTAAAAGATAATGAGTTGATAAAATATTCTCAGTAAAGCAGCTACGTGGTAGAAAAACTGTCCTTTGCTTATGAGTTTCTCCAGAGTTAAGACCATTGGGTTCCATCTGAAGGCAAGACTTCAAGCTTGTCTTACTGGTCTGTTTTGTGGCTCAATTTGTATGAAGTCTATGCACTCTTCCACACGTGTGTATTTACTGAACTATCGAGTTATTTTAGACTGAGAAAGTATTGGAGTTCATTCCTACGGTCCACTGCAGAGCACCTTGTGCAGTTTGGAGAATGTCAACTTTTCTACCTGTTAACTTCCATTGTCTTTACTTTTAACGCCATTGTCTGTGACTCTAATGGTGTCACGGCTCAGGGTTTAGATTTTGTGGTTACATTCTATTCTTGTATGTCAAGAGTGGTGTATAGAAAGCTGAGGGGGATTATTTAGTCTCTTGACTGATTTTTTTTTTTTTTCTGAAGAACTCAGTTTATTATGTTTGGTGGTGAAATAAAAATTGATGTGCATGGATGTTAAAGATTTGGGTTAAATTGTGTGTTCATAGATGCCTTCTCTTAGTATATAATTTTTTAAATTTAGATACTTAAAATACTGTATCCCTTTATCTAAGATTAACATAAGTCTGTTTCTTAACCAGGATAAAAAAATCTAAATTTAAATGTGATGTTGGATGAGTTTCCAATCAAGAAATTGATTTTTTAAACTTTGTGACTAGTTATCCAGTGGGTGGATTTTACCCAGTGTGTGTATGTGTTTTCTGCTTAACTCTGGAAGGTTAGAAAGAGAATTTGAAACTAAGACAAGCCAAGCTTCTTGTTGCTCAGTATTTTTGGTAAAAATATGGTCAGATTGTTTAAATTAACTATAGGCTTTGGAATTTTAAAAATAATTATATCTCTTGGTCTCTTGACACATCAAGAATTAACTGTTTTGTATATGCGTTGAGTATTAATGTTCATGTTTTCTGCAGTAGAAATTTATAAACCCTTATTTATTTGCCAGACATGATCCCTTTAGAGAAATCTAGTATCTAAAACCTGAATTTTTAAAACAAAATTTAAAATTTTTGTTTCATAAAAACAAAAATGTGATTACCTCATGGCTTTTTTCTTATAGCTTTTGATTGTTTTTTAAAATCGTAGTTCAAAAACATTAACCTAAAATTTACCATCTTAACCATTTCTAAGTACTGTTCAGTAGTGTTAAGTATATTCACATTGTGCCACTAACTTCCAGAACTTTTTCATCTTGCAAAGCTGAAATCTTACCCATTAAACAACTCCCAATTTCCCCCTCTCCTCAGCCTCTGGCAACCACCATTTTACTTTCTGTTTCTGCAAATTTAACTACTCTAGATGCCTCATATAAATAGAATTATAGGGTTTTAATATTTTTGTGATGGGCTTATTTCACTTTGTGTAATGTCCTCAAGGTTCATCCATGTTGTAGCATGTGTCAGAATTTCCTTCCTTTTTGAGTCTGAGCAATATTCCATTATATGTTCCATATTTTGTTTCTCCATTCATCCAGCAACGGACACTTGGGTTGCTTCCACATCTTGGTTATTGTGCTGCTCTGAACATGAGTCTGCAAATCTCTCTTTGAAGCTTTCACTTTTTTTGGATACATATCCAGAAGAGGGATGCTGGATCATATGGTAACCCTTTTTAATTTTCAAGGAACCACCATATTGTTTTCTATAGCAGTTGCACCAGTTTACATTCCCACCAACAGTGCACAAGGGTTCCTATTTCTCCACATCCTTCTAAACACTTGTTTTCTTTCTTTCCTTCCTTCTCTTCTCTTTCTTTCTTAGCCATCTAATGTGGCAAAGTGGTAGCCATCTAATATGTTGAAGTGATTGTTTTTAAGGGCTTGTTTGTGGATAATTAACCAGCTGAAAGCTAACTACAGTTTGCCAGTGGAAGCTTTAACTGAAAGGAGAGTAAGTACCTCTAAAAGGAGAATTCAATTTTTCTAGTGACTTAGATTTGTTATGCCAGTACTTTTTCACAGAAACACTTTTTGGGTAAAATAGTGTACACCTGTTCTATTGTTGATAAAGCCCAATTTAATTAGGAAATTTGTTCTCTAAGATTTAAAACAATAATTGAAATAATGTATTTTTATTAAAAACTGTTCCCAAGATGTTAGCTTTTAGCTGTTCTGGTGATCTCAACTGTTATTTATGAGTGTTTCTTTATTTTAAAATTTCACCTTAACCGGTTACAGTTTTAACCATAAAGATTATTTCAACATATGATTTTGAAAATTTATTATCTTGTAAATGGGAAAATGTAGTGATGGAACATAGTTTACTGTATGTAGTTCTTCACTTGTTTGAAAAGTCACAATATATTTAGGCAAATTAATTTAAAAGTGTCTAGTATTTAATATTGCAATTTTCACTCATTAAGGACAGGTCCCCCGTGTTTCCCCCTTTTTTTTTTCCAAGTAGTTTGGGAGGATTTGTTTTTCCAGCTGAAAAATACTATGGTTAAAAATAAGGTTTAAAGGCGAAAGTTGAAGTCTTTGAGGGTTGGGATACGTTTCTGTTCTTAAGAGTCTTGTAAATTCAGATGCTAAGCAAATTTCTTTAAAATGATTTCTACCCTCCCCCTTTCCATTATAAAACTGGATATGTTTCAGTGGACCAAATCCCAAGTAGGCTGAATTTGAAATTTGTGGGCTGGGCGCGGTGGCTCATGCTTGTAATCCCAGTACTTTGGGATGCCGAGGTGGGTGGATCACCTGAGGTCAGGAGTTCGAGACCAGCCTGGCCAACATGGTGAAACCCCATCTCTACTAAAAATACCAAAATTAGCCAGGCGTGGTGGCGGGTGCCTGTAATCCCAGCTACTTAGGAGGCTGAGGCAGGAGAATTGCTTGAACCTGGGAGGCGGAGGTTGCGGTGAGCCAAGATCGCCCCATTGCACTCCAGCCTGGGTGACAGAGCAAGACTGTGTTTCAAAAAAATTAAAAAAGAAATCTGTGGTGTGAATACTGGTACGTGGTGTACACAGTGAGCTCTTAATAAGTATTTGAATTAACAAATGAGACAATGATTGAATAATTGGATGAACAAAGAGAATGCAGGTTTTTAAAAGGTTTCTTTAGAAATATTGTCGGCCCGGCACGGTGGCTCCTGCCTGTAATCCCACCATTTTGGGAGGCCGGGGCAGGTGAATCACCTGAGGTCAGGAGTTCAAGACAAGCCTGACCAACTTGGAGAAACCCCGTCTCTACTAAAAATACAAAAAAAAAAAAAAAAAAATAGCAGGATGTGGTGGCACATGCCTGTAATCCCAGCTACTCGGAGGCTGAGGCAGGAGAATCGCTTGAACCTGGGAAGCAGAGGTTGCAGTGAGCCAAGATCGCGCCACTGCACTCCAGCCTGATGACAGTGTGAGATGCTGTCTCCAAAAAAAAAAAAAAAAAATTAAAAAGAATGTTTTAATTCTTTAGTTCCCTGTCTGAGATTCACTGATTGGTAAGAAGAAAGTTAAAGAATCTCCTTTGACTTTTTTTGATATAGATATTTAAATTCTATTACTTTATAGTAAGGTTGGGGTTTATTTTCTTTGCTTTATAATAGAAGAGCATTGATTATTCTCTTTGCTTTATAATAGAATACCATTTAAATAGGAGTTCCCTGAGTGTGTTTACAATCATTTGATCTGGCTAAACTATTTTAATGTTAATGAAATTTTAAAATTTTGGAGGAAAAAATTTAAAAACTACACAGGTGCACAAAGAAATAAAAATCACCTGCTTTTTCACTATGTAGAGACCATTGTCTACTATTTCTCAATTCTGTGTTACATCTGTATGTTAATAACTGTAGGATTAGGGACTGAGTACTGTTTTTAACCTGCTTTTAAAAAATTTACATCTACATTTTTTCCCATCTAAATAGTGAGGAAGAGTATCAGAATTTTGTAGGCTTGTGGTGATGGTTAAATTAGATAATATTAATGTTGGGTACTTAACATAATATATGGCTCTTAATACTCTCCAGATTTCAGATATAGTCTGTTTTACCATTACTGCCTTTTTATCAAACCTATTCTCAAAAAAGTGAGAAAAGTGCTGAGATTACAGGCGTGAGCCACCATGCCCGGCCTCATGGTTCTTTCTTAATAATAAATTAGAAGAAGTAGAATTACAGGGTCAAAAAGTATCCATTTTAAAGCTTTCAATGTAATTGCCTGTTTATCTTCTAGAAAGTTTGACCTAGTTGTATTTTAGAGTGTCATTTTCTTGAACTTTATCATCATTAAAGTTTTAAATTTGGAACACTGGCAATTTGATAAGTATATTAGGATTCTTCTTATTGCAAGTAGCAAAATACAACTCAATCTAGTTTAAGAGGGGAAAATGTAGTCATTGGCTAACACAATCTAATTTTGGTTTAAGAGACAAATCTAGAGTCTCAAATGATCTCAGAGTGTAATAATCCCTGACTTTTGTCTTGATATTACTTGGCTTGTATACCTTTGCTCTATTTGCATGCTGGCCTTACTCTGCCACTGACAGGCTGTCTGTATGGTGTGGAAGAGGACGGCTAGCATCCCCATACCTGCATCCATACAGTTTGTAATATAAAAAAAAAAAAAGTAAAAAAAACTCCCTCTCTCTTCTAGTGTCTATATATCAGTTTCCTAGAAGAAAACGTTTTGCCCTACTTGGCCATGTGAATGGAGTTCCCTGATTACATGAGTCAAATATGTCTTATTGTAGCATATTTGATGGTCTTCTTGTAGAATATTATCTTACTATACACAGAACTCTTGACCAGTAATTAATGGGCCATGAGTTTTTGTTGCAAGTCATTTGAATTCATATTCTATAGTTTTCTACCAAGTGTAGTCATTCTGCAAGCTGTTCTTGTCATGACTTTTGGGAAGTTGAGTATTTCTTCTATGGGTTAGGGTTTTCATCTCAAGAAAAAGATGATCCTTTTCTCTACTAAATATGTGTTAAGATCACACATTTTTCTAGATCGTTTAGCTCTACTGTGTGATCTTACACAAATTGCTTTATTGGGATGATAAGAATAATTGCCTTATAGGATTGTTATGAGAATGAAATGATACATCAACTCATATGAAACACTCAGAACAGCTCTTGGCACAAAGTAAGGGCTTAATTAAGTAGAAACTATCCATATATTCATAATATTATAGTATTGGTTAAGTTGTTTTCAACATTGTTTAGAATCGCTCAAGCCTTCTTTGTGATAATCTGACGAAGGCTATTCACCACCAGTGAGTAAATAATAGTGGCAGAATAGTTACTGATGCTTTTCCTTTACTTGGTTTTTTTTCCATAAACATCTGGCCTTTGCAGACTAAATACTGGTTTATGTATAGACATGTTATTCTAAAATAATTTTCCATAGTGGTAATACTAAAGGAAGAAAAATGTTCTCAAAGCTATTTATTTGGGATGTTAAAGGAGGGGGAAATTAAGAAAGCCTACATTTCCATGTCCTTTGTGTCCAGAATCTCATTAAATGTCTTTTAACTTGTTAGCAGAGGAAAGTTGGATATTGCCTGCCTTTGTAGCTAACATAGTTAAAATATTTAAATGGTTATAGTGTCAAACCAGTAGTCAAAGCCTTCACTGTGAATGGATGAAGGGATATTTTCTTGAATAATTTAAGTTGACTTATTTCAGTGGTTCAAAAAATTTCTTCAACGCTTAACCATGACTCAGGCACCTAACTATTATACTATGTCCTGTAACAGATTGTTGTGCATTCATTTATTCAACAGGTATTTGTGCAGCTAATTTATTGAGTACAGCATTGAATCGTTGATGGCTTAGGCCACAGTTGAACATTCCATTTTTTATGTTCATTCATTCATTCATAGCATATTCCATTTTTAAATTTTCAGTTCATTGCACTTTAAAGTTTGAGGTTCTTGCGAAGTACAGACTTTTGGGTTTAAGTTTTGTTATTTAATGTCAACCACCACAGGCGCATTGGCCAGTCTGCTTTTAGAATTTTCAGACATACATACACAAAACATTCTCACAAGACAATCTACTTATTTTCTTTTTTATTCCTGTGTTTCTTAACACAGGATTAATGTTCAGATCTCTTTTGGAGCAAAATAATCCTCTGAATTTTTGAGATGTACCCAGTGACCTCAGTCTGAGTATGTATACTGCATTAAAAAATGTAACCTTGTTCCTTTTAGTGGTCATTTGGTAACAGTTTGATCATAAACAAATGCAGCCTCAAACACAGAAGGCTTGAGGCAAGTATACAGAACTATGGAGAGATCATTTAGATGATGTAGAATATGCCTTTTCTTTTTTTACAATGCCACCAAAATGAAAACACGGTTTTAAAAATTCTCATAGAGTGTAACTTCAACACTGCTTTAACTCTATTAAACAAAGCACTGCCATGTTGTAATTCCTATTTATTACTCTCTGGAGTTGTATAAATTACCAAATCCGCCTTTTGTTTGATATCCTTTTCAAATATCTGAGGGTAGCTATCATGTTTCTTCCTTCTATTCTTAAAAAATAGTCCCAAATTTCTTGAATCTTTTAATTTAAAAATTATATATTGAGCATCTGATTTGTGGAAAGGCATAGGCCATATTAAAAATGGGGCTTCATATTAAAATGGGGAAAAGGGTGGAGATTCTCAGGTGGAATCTGAGATCTGCCACACACTAATAGTGTTACCTAACCCTTTTTAAAGACAAAGAAACAGGATCAGAAGGTCACTTTGGAAAATTTATTTGGTAATATTGGATAGGATGGATTAGTATAGTTGGAAAACAGAGACTCTTGCTTTAGGAGAGCTGCTCCTTTGTCATTTCCAGAATCTTAATCATGGTCAAGGTTTAGAGCTAAATATTTAATAGAAGAAGTCTTTAGGGTATGCTTTCTATTGTACACCCTTATTTCAATACATGTGTTTTTTCCTGTTATGTAAGTACTTTATTATTATTTATGCATCTTCTATTAAAGTTAAGCAAATAATTATTTCAAGGACACATTCTTCTACATACACACAAAGTTTAGGGTCACTGACCTTCTTAGGTTCTAGTCTTAGATCTGTTACCATCTAAGAGCATATAAATAAGGGAAACAGAAAGAAAAGGATTTACAAGCTGAGAAGGAAGCAATGCAGAGAAAGAAGAGTGATAGAGTAGGTAATTTGGGGAAAGTCAGTGATACACAGCTCTTAACCATGAACAGTGATTCTTCACTCTTGAATGTTTGTGACATTCATGAAGGTATTAAAAGCTGACTTTTAAAAAATTGTTTCAGAGAACTGGAAAAAAATTCAGTTGCCACATTCTTCCTTAGGTCATCTTTGAACTCTACTCATGCACTTACGTGTTTAAGGCAAAGTTTTACTAAACGCACACTTGTTCTTGCTGGCTTATTGACTTTTACTGCTAGCTTCTTATTCTTAGCAATTATACCTCACATTACATAGTATTGTGAAACTCACTATATTCAGTGTTTTGCCTGACAAACATGGTATGTTATAGGATGTGTATTCAGTTATAGCTAAAAATAAATTATTCTCGTTTTTCAAAATTTGCTGGCCTACCTGTTAAGCTTTTGCTTTAAGACCTGCTAATGTTTCTCAAACTTCTGTGGTTAAATCACCTGAGTGTCTAGTTGCTCTATGGATTCCCAGGGACCCATTCGCCAGAGATTCTGATTTGGTAATTTTGGGATGGAACTCAGGGATCTGTAAATTTTACAAGCACTCAGAAATGAAACATAGACTTTAAACAGCTAAGAGTGCTCATCAGGATTATGTTGATATTATTTTTTAAACAGATGTGCCAAGCCTTTAATTTGAATTTCCAGGGTTGGGATTTGGCCTTCTATATTTGGGGGAAAAAAGTTCTATTGATGATTGTGGATATATACCACAGGTCAACCATTGAATAGTCTAGTCAGTGTAGTTAGTGTATTTTATAATTACTAAGTTCTAAGTATGTGGTGTATTAATGTCTTAGGAGGTGGATATATTTCCTGTATTTGTAAAGCATTTGGGTAGGTTTTTTAAAGAGAAAAGTATGTAACAAACTAGTTTTGAGCGTTGCTCTTTTACTTCTTTGGGCATTTTTGAAGAACACGTTAAGTATCTTCTTAGAGCAGAGGGGCTCAGAGTGGTCCCCAGATTATCATCATTGGTAACACCTAGTTGGTGCATTACTAACTTGTTAGAAATGCACATTCTCAGGCGCCATTCAGACTTCATAAATCAGAAACTCTGGAAGTAAGGCTCAGCATTCTGTGTTTTTTTTTTCTTTATTATACTTTAAGTTTTAGGGTACATGTGCACAACGTGCAGGTTAGTTACATATGTATACATGTGCCATGTTGGTGTGCTGCACCCAGTAACTCGTCATTTAACATTAGGTATATCTCCTAATGCTATCCCTCCCCGCTCCCCCCACCCCACAACAGGCCCCGGCGTGTGATGTTCCCCTTCCTGTGTCCATGTGTTCTCATTGTTCAGTTCCTACCTATGAGTGAGAACACGCGGTGTTTGGTTTTTTGTCCTTGCGATAGTTTGCTGAGAATGATGGTTTCCGGCTTCATCCATGTCCCTACAAAGGACATGAACTCATCCTTTTTTATGGCTGAATAGTATTCCATGGTGTATATGTGCCACATTTTCTTAATCCAGTCTATCATTATTGGACATTTGGGTTGGTTCCAAGTCTTTGCTATTGTGAATAGTGCCACAATAAACATACGTGTGCATGTGTCTTTATAGCAGCATGATTTATAATCCTTTGGGTATATACCCAGTAATGGGATGGCTGGGTCAAATGGTATTTCTAGTTCTAGATCCCTGAGGAATCGCCACACTGACTTCCACAATGGTTGAACTAGTTTACAGTCCCACTAACAGTGTAAAAGTGTTCCTGTTTCTCCACATCCTCTCCAGCACCTGTTGTTTCCTGACTTTTTAATGATCGCCATTCTAACTGGTGTGAGATGGTATCTCATTGTGGTTTTGATTTGCATTTCTCTGATGGCCAGTGATGATGAGCATTTTTTCATGTGTCTTTTGGCAGCATAAATGTCGTCTTTTGAGAAGTGTCTGTTCATATCGTTTGCCCACTTTTTGATGGGGTTGTTTTTTTCTTGTAAATTTGTTTGAGTTCATTGTAGATTCTGGATACTAGCCCTTTGTCAGATGAGTAGATTGCAAAAATTTTCTCCCATTCTGTAGGTTGCCTGTTCACTCTGATGGTAGTTTCTTTTGCTGTGCAGAAGCTCTTTAGTTTAATTAGATCCTATTTGTCAATTTTGGCTTCTGTTGCCATGGCTTTTGGTGTTTTAAACATGAAGTCCTTGCCCATGCCTATGTCCTGAATGGTATTGCCTAGGTTTTATTCTACGGTTTTTATGGTTTTAGGTCTAACATTTAAGTCTTTAATCCATCTTGAATTAATTTTAGCATAAGGTGTAAGGAAGGGATCCAGTTTCAGCTTTCTGCATATGGCTAGCCAGTTTTCCCAGCACCATTTATTAAATAGGGAATCCTTTCCCCATTTCTTGTTTTTGTCAGGTTTGTCAAAGATCAGATGGTTGTAGATAAGCGGCATTATTTCTGAGGGCTCTGTTCTGTTCCATTGGTCTATATCTCTGTTTTGGTACCAGTACCATGCTGTTTTGGTTACTGCATCCTTGTAGTATAGTTTGAAGTCAGGTAGTGTGATGCCTCCAGCTTTGTTCTTTTGGCTTAGGATTGACTTGGCAAGCATTCTGTGTTTTGAGAATTCTTCCAGGGGACTGTGATGAAAACTGACGTTTGAGAACCTTCATCTTAGAGTAAAAACTTTACATACACATTTTTGTTGTTTTATTTATCTAGCACAATACTTCTTTTTTTTGAAATGGAGTTTTGCTCTTGTTGCCCAGGCTGGAGTGCAATGGTGTAATCTCAGCTCACCACAACCTCCATCTCCCAGGTTCAGTTGATTCTCCTGCCTCAGCCTCCCGAGTAGCTGGGGTTACAGGCACGTGGCAACATGCCTAGCTAATTTTGTATTTTTAGTAGAGACGGGGTTTCTCCATGTTGGTCAGGCTGGTCTCGAACTCCCGACCTCAGGTGATCCGCCCACCTCAGCCTCCCAAAGTGCTGGGATTACAGGCGTGAGCCACTGCACCTGGCACAATACCTTATATATAATCAGGGCTCAAAGATTTGTTGAGAGGCTCAACACCAATTCTGGACCAGGAAAGATTTTATTTATATCACTAGTCAGGAATAATCTAAAAACAAAAAGCACATTCTTCTTACAAGTAATATTTCAATACACATTAATGTAAACACATGGAAAAGTATTAGCTACTTAATAAATTAACATGTAAATGAAAAATTTACACATTATGGCTATTTCAGATGTGATATAGATTTCATTTTCAGAAGGAACCCTCCAATGTAAAACAGTGATTCTTTTCCCCGTTTATTTTACTGCATTAGAAAATCACATTTAAAGTAAGCATTTTGGTGAGGTTTGGAAGGTGAATAAATCCATCTTTTCTTTAATTATGGATATTTAAGAGAGATGTTGTTGTGCCGTTTAGATAATAATGATCTAAACCAAGAAATTTAGTTGCTTTCAAAAATAAAATAAGTGTATGCATTCTGAACATTTTTCTTTAGAAACAAACCATTTCATCTGTTTTTTTGAATTTCAAATTAATTATACAGAATTTTCAAAATTTGAAAATTAGGTTAGCATGAGAAACTGAAGATACTGAATTATATTGCCTGTTCAGTCTATACTTTTCTTTAGGATATACAGTAGGAAAGAAATATGATAGTTCAAGTTAGATTACTACTTCTTTCAGAGTTTTTTGACAAATGCAGGTACAGTGATAGTGTCAGTTCATGGTGAATTTTTGTTAAAATAAATTACAAAAAATTTGTGATCCTGGTATCTTGAAACTAGTTAATATTTGTAAACTTTGCTAACACTGTATATCACTGTATTCTGGTTTTATCTGTGCATCTATGAGTTATATGTGTGTATAGCTACATATGTTTATATTTATACACATACATTACACACAGGAGTGGAATCATACTCAATTTTTTTTGTATAGCCTGCTCTGTTCATATAATACTATATTGTAGCATCTAGTATAAGCAAAGATTAATTTTTGTAGACTTTGCTTTTATCCTGAAATTTTGTGGTAGCTGGTTTAATGGAAAGACAATTTCTGTGACGTGTTTTGTCAGTTAGGGATTGACCCTGGTAAAATATTGCTGGATAACAACAAGCAATGTAAAAATACATTTGTTCCATAAGATAACCTCCGTGAAGGTAGAGACTTGGTCTGTTTTGTTTATTGCACCGTGTCCTGTTCTGGGAAGAGTGTTAGACTCATAGAAGATGATCAAGAAATATTTTTTGAATACATCAATAACATTCTCTAACATGTGGGTATCCTAAAGGTTTATTTTTAAAGTTTATTGATTAGAATTCAGAAGATATTTTCCCAGATAAAATAATAGATTGCTAGCTGTCTTGAAAATGTAATTTATATTTAATTTGAAATGTCAGGTTTTTGCTATTTTTTCCATTAAGTAGAGATAGGGTTTTTAAAAATTACATGTGATGTTTTAAGTATTCTGGTTTTGCAACAATTACTAGATAGAAAATGTAACAACAGATCCTATTAATAATACTTCCAATAATACATATAAAATACTTGTCTAAAAGTAACCCTCCTTAAAAAAACAAAGCTGGCCAGGCGCGGTGGCTCACGCCTGTAATCCCAGCACTTTGGGAGGCTGAGGCAGGCGGATCAAGAGGTCAGGAGTTCAAGACCAGCCTGGCCAACATAGTGAAACCCCATCTCTAGTAAAAATACAAAAAATTAGCCGGGTGTGGTGGCAGGCGCCTGTAACCCCAGCTACTCAGGAAAATCGCTTGAACCTGGGAGGCGGAGGTTGCAGTGAGCGGAGATCGCACCACTGTACTTCAGCCTTGGGCAACAGTGCGAGACTCTGTCTCAAAAAAAAAAAAAAAAAAAGGCAATAGGATTAGGTATCAACTTAATGAAAACTTCGTGACAGCACTTTCTTGAAAAAGACTGTGGAAACCAAAGTTAGTAAACTCCTGTTTCTGCCTGGGTTCGGAAAACATAAAGATGATAAAGATGTTTAAGTATTCCTTTTTTTTTTTTTTTTTTTTTTTGAGACAGTGTCTTGCTCTGTCTGGAGTGCAGTGGCACAATCACAGCTCACTGCAGCCTTGAACTCCTGGGCTCAAATAATCCTCCTGCCTCAGCCTCCTGAGTATCTGGAACTACAGGAGTGCACCATTACACTCGGCTAGTAATTTGATTGGTTAAGAACATTAACTATAACTCACACATTTTCCTGACCACATTTGCTTAGGACAAAACAGTAAAAGACATGAGTGTAGATGAAAGCGATAAGGGAACTAATCTTAAACACTGAACCTCTTTTCAGCAAATTGGCTTTCTAGTTTCTCAGCTCTCTCTTTACACCTCTAAATCTCTTTCCTGGCAAGATCATTTATTTGCCTTGGTTTATGGTGATACTCTTCATTGTTATACTGGTGGGTGATTGTTTTAATTGATAGCTGTTTTTTTCTACTTCAGGAAGATGACACTGCTGGCTCTGCTGGCTCTGATGTTTACCTTGTGGCTAATGCCTGTGTTTGCCTGTGTTCACATTTATTCCACGATTCATTTGTTAACATTTACTAAGCTGCTTTTCTGTGCCAGGAACTTGGCTAGATAAATAAATGGTTGTTTTTGTACACAGAATTAGCTGTCATAATCAGTTACTGTAGCATTTATTCTTGCAAAAATATATATTTATACTTCAACTAGTGATCGAATCTCAACTTATTAATTCATACATTCAGCCAGCACATAATTGAATACTTCTTATGTGTCAGAAACTGTTCTAGGTGCTTGGGATGTTCATTGAACAAAATAGACAAAAGTCTCCGCCTCTATGGAACTTACTTTCCAGTGAAGGTGTGGATTGGTGGGATAGAAAATAAAATAATCAAGTAAGATATGTACTTAGGCTTTCATAAAAATACAGCAGGGCAAGAGGACCAAGATGGAGGCAGTGATCAGGGAATCTCAATGAGGGTGAGACTGCGACAAAGACTTGAAAAAGGTGGAGAAGCAAGCCTTGTGGGTATTTAGGGTAGCAGTAGTCCAGGCAAGGGGAACAACTAGTGCAAAGGCTCTAGGAGGCAATGTGTTTGAAGTGTTTTAAGAACAGTAAGGAGGCTAGTATGGTTAGAACAGAATGAGCAAAGGGGGCAAAGTGGTAGAAGGTGAGATCAAAGAGGTAATGAGGCCATTGTGGAGGCCCATATGGACTATTGGAAGGGCTTTGGCTTTTACTCTAAATGAGGCAAAAACCATTTTAAGCAGAGAGGAGTGATATGACTTGATTTCTTGTTAAAAGGATTATTCTAGTTGCTGTTACAGAAAAAGATTACAGGGGTGCAAAGAAACAGGGAGACAAAAGAATATAAGATTTTCACTGTAACTTATATCTAGTATGCTTGCTTATACTTGAAAATGCATATCCAGATAATTGTAGTAAATTCAAATATTATGTTTATTTAATAGTACTAACATTGATATGCTGGTTAATTATGATTAGGAGCACTAATAAAGCACAAATCAGGGATTCCCAAAAAGAATGTTGAAAGGGCAGTCAGCTTTTCCTGTGCCAGAAATCAAAGTCATAGCAGATTTGGGGCAAATATGTCAAAGTCAAACTTACGCACATCACTACTGAGAAGACAAAGATGAATGTGTGACAGTTTCCTGCCCCCAAGAATCTTTAAGCATTGTGAAGGAAGATTAATATAGCCAAATAACTAGAGTGATCAGTTCTACCAGAGAGGACCAGTTTTGGAAGCCAGAGGAAAAAAAAAAAAAACAGAAACAAAATGATGTTTGAATTAAATCTTTAAAAGTTTCTCTTATAAATTTACCAAGCCACATATTGGGAATGGTACCCCAGGCAGAAGGAGTAGAGTAAGCAAGCCAGAAAGGAAATACTATGGTGCTTTTGAGTAACTGCAGTGTGGCTGAAGAATGTGGAAAATGATGAGGATAAAGAGGTGGACAGGGAACTAGGTAAGGGAGGGCTTCCTTTTAAATAATTAGACCTTGTCCTGTGTACATTTAATGGGATTTTAATCAGGCCATAATGCCAAATTTCTTTACTTCGGAAGGATCTTTATGGTGATGGTTTCAGAAAGAAATTAAAGCAGAGTAACAGTGGTTAGCAATAATGATCAGCTAGTGGTTCCCAAACTTACGTATCATATGCATCTTGGAAGTTTTTAAAAACTCAGATTTTGGGATCCTGACTTAGATCTACTGAATCAGAATTTACAGATTCAAATTCCCAGTGAGGCCTAGGAATTTGAAATGTTGAATGTCCTTCACGATGCAGCTAGACAAGCATTTGGGAATAAAGCATTAGGTGACTATTTCAGTAGACTAAGGAGTGGGAGGCCATTTAAGCTCAAAGGCTATTCTACTTCTCACTATATTTCTAGTACCTAGCACAGTGCATGGTACTTGATAGATGCATCCTTTCTCCCATACCTCGCCCTACACATCTCTTCATGTGTATCCTTATTAATATCCTCTATTATAAACTGGTAAACATGTTTCCCTGAGTTCTGTGAGCTGCTCCAGCAAAGATGGGTTTGTGAGAATCCCAACTTTTGAAGCCTGTCAGTCAGAAGTTCCTGAGGCCAGACTTGCAACTCCTGTTGAGGGGGCAGTCTTGGGGACTGAGCCCTCAACCTGACACTGTCTCCAGGTAGATAGTGTTAGAATTGAATTGAAGGACACCCAGTTGGTGTCCGCTGCAGAACTGATTGCTCACCTGGTGGTGGAGAGAACCCCTCCTCTCCCGATAGGGTTGCAGAAGTTGTCTTCTGTGTTGTTGATTGCTGTGGTGTGGGAGCAGAGGGGGGAAAAAAGCTGTTGGAGAGTTTTTTCCAAAACAATAGGAGATTATTTAGATTTATAAAAATAGAATCAAAGTAGATTAACTGAGCACATTGTGAAATATAGAGTAGAGCTGTGTGTAAGGAGTATATCTTAATGTCAAGCTGACACCAAATTGAATGTTTGCTGGAACGTTCAAAAATCTAAGCTTCCCAAATCTGTGAAAACACTCAGGTTAGTAAACAGTCTTATGCAAACAGCAAGACAATGCTCAAAGCCATTTAAGGAAAAAGAACAGTAACTGAATTCTCTTATGGAAATGTGAGATGTTGTTTTAGTAAGTACTGATGGTGTTATACTTTTTGTTTATTCGTTTGCTGGTATTTCAGTTCCTAAAATTCCTTCAAATATGCTGCAAAATACAAACCAAGAACTTGGTGGATTTTCCATTTGTTTTCCTGTGGGAAATGATGGAATTAAAAACCTTGAGGATTAGACCTTGAGAGTTACCTTCCAGTGTTTATGCCACCATTATACAAAATTCTGGAGGACAAAACCCTTCCCACTTAAAAACCAGTTAGTTTCAGAAAATCACCTCATGTTAGGAGACTGCATCATTATAGTATGTGTGTTAGCTTTAGGTATAGATCTAAAATATTTTTAATATTTTAAAAACTTAAGCCTTTCTTCATTAATTTGGCCTAATACAAGTTAGAATAACTTTAAAAATGAGTACAAACAACAAGGAAGGGCCAGGCGCAGTGGCTCAACGCCTGTAATCCGAACACTTTGGGAGGCCAAGGTGGGCAGATCACCTGAGGTCAGGAGTTCCAGACCAGCCTGGCCAACATAATGAAACCCCATCTCTACTAAGAATACAAAAATTAGCTGGGCGTGGTGGCACACGCCTGTAATCCCAGCTACTCGGGAGGCTGAGGCAGGAGAATTGCTTGAACCCAGGAGGCAGAGGTTGCAGTGAGCCGAGATCGCGCCATTGCACTCCAGTCTGGGCAACAAGGGTGAAATGCCGTCTCAGGAAAAAAAAAAACAGTTTCTGTGACTGCTAGACAAATGTTGAGCAAGTAAAACACCAACAATGTTGAACTTAGATATTGAAATAGCTGCTCTGTACAAATAAAGTCTACTGGGAGTATAGACTGAATTACCATCTTTTGACTCTTTCGCCATAATGATTGGCATTACCGGAAGGGATTACCTTGCTTTGAAGAGCTGCTGGACAGTAGAGCAGAGAGCATCTATTACCATTGTAGGTGCCTTTCAGTTAGGATTTTGGATTTATAAGCAAACTCCAAGAAAGAGCCTGGTTCTGAGTTTCTCTGAATAGCTTAGGTCAAGTCCTAAATTCTGAAGCCAACTCCTATAATTCCTTCTTTATGTCTTTGGCATGTGAAGTAGGCAAATTTCGAACTTTATAATAATAGCCTAGACTTACAAATACTTGCCTTGGTAATCAGGATGAGTTTTTGAGAGACAACATAGTCTAGTGTTAATCGCGTGGACACCAGACTGCTTGAGTGAAATACAGGTTCTACCATTTATTAACGGAGTAATGTTGGGTAAGCTATTTAGCCAGGGTCCTTATCTGTAACATGGTGATAATAATAAAGATTAAATAATAGGTGAAAAATGTTTAGAATACCACTGTGTTATTAGTAAGCACCATGCATAGGTGTTTGGATTTAAAAATACTGGCAAAGGCCAGGTTGGGTGGCTCACACCTATAATCCTCGCACTTTGGGAGGCCAAGGCAGAAGGATCGCTTTAGCCCAGGAGTTCAGGACCAGTCGAGGCAACATAGATTCCGTCTCTGCAAAAAATTTAACAGAATTAGTTGGGCATGGTAGCGTGTGCCTGTAGCTACTTGGGAGGCTGAGGTAGGGAGGGGGAGGATTGCTTGAGCCCACGATTTCGAGGCTGCAGTGAGCTTATGATCATGCCACTGTACTCCAGCTTGGGTGACAGAGCAAGACTCTGTCTCTAAAATAAAATGAAAATAAAACTGCAGGCAAAAATGCCAACTGAAGAGTGAACATGAACTTTTCTTTGCATTTTTCTTGGGCCTGAGACTTTAAGAAGTGCAGGGCAGTTAAAATGATGAGATATAATTCTCACCTATCAGCTCAGCAGAAATTAATAAGATTAAAAAGATGCGTAATATATAATATTGCAGAGTGCATGGGGGAATTGATATACACATTCATGAACTGGCAGAGACAAAAATGGGCACAGAACCATTTGGAAAGCTATTGTGTATTTTAAAAAATTTCAGTAGCACATTTTTTATATCATGAAATTTCACTTCAGAATGTCAGTCCTGTAGAAATACTGACGCAAGTGCAAAAACAACAAAAACCAACTTGTACCTTCAAGGCCAGAAAGAGTTATTTCACCAAATAACATAATTGAGGTACATTAACTTTATTAGAAGTAAATCTGATAATCTGCTCACATTTTAAATAGTTATGGTTTAACTTCAGTTCTTGAAGTCACATATTTTTACAATTAGGAATGCTAACAGGCTTTTTGTGCAATACGAAAAGATGACTTTAAATGCCTACAATTATTTTGTGTCCTTTTATTTTTTTTTAATTTTTACTGACCTACTACAAAGCACTAAATATTTTATGTTCTTAATCTGAAGAACAATAGACATTCTCTATAAAACAACTCTTGCTTATTCATGAACTTTGTACACAAGAAGCTTAATAAGACGGGCTCAAAATTATTTTTCTAAATATATTTCCTATACAAAATAATTTCAAGATATAATTGTTACTTTTGTGTCTAATACTGTATGTTAAATAATAAAATGGTAAGCATGTAAAAACTACAATACCACAAAGATTGAGCTATTTTGCCAGTAGTATACTCCAACTTTAGTTCTAGAACAGTTGTAGAAATGGGTAAACAAACTGTTTTAACTGTACTCTTAACTGAAATATAGTACCTTATGCAGTAGCAGAACATATCAGCAGAAGAACTTCACTTGACCTGTACTTAAAAACAAAACAGATGCAATTTATAAAATTTAGAGAAATATAGTGACCTTATTTGCATGTGGAAAATGTACTTCTTTCTGATCTACATATCTTCTGTTGTGCAATGTAAGCAGTAAAACAAATAGTACAGGATTCATCTCTGTGGGACCTAGACCCCCTGGTCTAACAAATAATTCTTGGTCAGTACTGTAATTCTGTGGTATAAAACTGATAAAATTAGCCTTCCTGTGACTAGACAAGAAGCCGGGCAGTTTAAATGCTGAAACTCACAAGAACTTCAGAAGCTTTAGCTTTAAGCTTTAAGCTTACTTAGAAATGTTATAAGACCTCCAGTAGTCACATATGAAGAATATCATGAAGATTTTTCCATTAAATCTTTATTATAGATCCCTTGATTGGTTTCTGTCTAGACTCATTGTGTGATAAAGGACATAATAATTTTTATCACCTTCATCTAATATAGGTTTGTCAACTCTATATTAGTTGTTTTCTTGAAGGCTGGTTTTCTTCCAAAATTCAGTCTTATTTTCAGTCTACACTAGCTTTTAAATATACTGTCCTTTAGATGCTTTATCTAACCTCAAATTTCTAATGGATTTGTCTTAGACACTTATTGCCACTCCTTAGATAGTCATTGCTATCTTTGAAGTTCTGGACGATACGTGTATTACAGAGGAACTGGAGACATTCCATCACCATAGTTAGCTTGATTGGATACCCTTTAAAAGCATATACTCGCGCCTGTAATCCCAGCACTTTGGGAGGCCGAGGCGGGTGGATCACTTGAGGTCTGGAGTTTGAGACAAGCCTGGCCAACATGGTGAAACCTGTCTGTACTAAAAATACAAAAATTAGCCTGGCATGGTACCACATGCCTGTAATCCCAGCTACTCAGGAGGCTGAGGCAGGAGAATTGCTTGAACCTGGGAAGTGGAGGTTGCAGTGAACCAAGATCTTGCCATTGCACTCCAGCCTGGGTGACAAGAGCAGAACTCCATTAAAAAAAAAAAAAAGCATATATAGCACATATTATAAGGTTTTCAATTTTTTCACCAAGTGTTTCATTTGGGTAGTCATTTATTGGTAGTTTACATCAGTTGAGTGGTTCAGAAAAAATACAGTAAGTTGCTTATAAAATTCTGAACACTTTGGCCAGGCACAATGGCTCAAGCCTGTAATTTGAGCCCTTTGTGAGGCTGAGGCAGGAGAATTGCTTGAGCTTAGGCGTTCAAGACCAGCCTAGGTAACAAAGAACGCCTGGAATGATTGTGGCATTTGAACTAATATTCAGGTTTAACAAGAGATAATTGACCATCACTCTATTTTAGAGGCTTTATTTGAACCAGATAGAAATCTATTTCCCACAGCTATCACTGCCTGTCACCTACAACTTAAGGGGGTTGGGGAGGAAGTGAGAGATTTTCTGTTAGGGCCAATAGGGACCTGCTAGATACCCCCCCATCCTGGGAATGGTGTATGGAACTCCAGTGTATGCTGGAGTTATTATCATCATACTTGTTTTTTTATTTTACTCTTCTGCTTATACAGATCAAGTCTTACGTTTTATTTTTAAGTTTAAATTGAAAACATTTACAGAGAACAATGCAGTGAAATGAAAAAATTACAGACTGCTGGCATTTGCATTTTCATGTAGCCTCAGTGACTAATTTTTTTTTATTGTACAGCATTGAGAAAATCCTAGTTCATATAACTAGTTATAGTTCATATAGATTCATATAACTAGTTTTAAGTGATAATAGTTTCTTCCTTTTTTTCCTCCACCATCTAACCAGATGAAGATAATAGTTTTTAATAGCTCACCGTAAATTTCAAGGTACTCAAGTTAAATTGATCTAGATGCTTGAGTTGAAATTTTTCTATCAAAGTTCAATAACATGCTTACATTCCTTATTAAAGTATAAAAGTCCTATAAACACACAAACTTGAGTAAGTACTAAAACTAGTATCAGTATTGTCACAATACAACATGTTATATTGTAACAAGAGCATTTGCTGAGAACTGTGCTTGTTACTCCAGAATGTTGCTTCTATGGTTGTACCTTTCAACTTTGCAGATCATTTGGAAGGAGGAGAGATTTGGGGTGGAGACAATTCGGTACTTCATTCACAGGATGTAAGGAGGATTAAGTAAAATAATGCTGGCTAAAAGTCCTTATTTAGCATACTGCCCAATGCTCACTAAATCATAATAGCTGTTTTTAACATTTGGTGAAGAATCTATTTAACAGGAGTGAGTTGAGGGGCATAGGAGATCATGTGAGTGTTTAAAGTAGAAGCAGCATTCCCCATTAAGAAGAGAAATACTGTGGAAGAGCAAAGACTTTAAAACACCTGGGTTCAAATCCTATTTGCTACATAATGGCTACTTTTAACCTATTGAACGCCAGTTCCCTCATTTGTAAAATAGGGACAATATTTAACCTATTTACAGGTTGTGAGAGAACTAGGCACCTAGTACAGGGTAATGTTGGCACATGGTAACCTTTAATAAACTGTTGCTATTCAACAAGCTATTAGATGTCACTAGGCAGTTAAGCAAAGGAAGACAGCTTTTGCTTGGTGTGACAATGAAAATCTTTCTGATTTCCTTCTTGGAAGAGTTCCCTGAAGATATGTCATTGTATTGACACCTTTATTTTTGCTAACCTATCCCTCTAAATTCTGGATATTGTGTGTGCCACAGCTTTTTTTCTTCCATATTCCTGCATTTATTTGGCACCTGTTGTGCCAGTAATAGATAAGGGGCTGCTAAGGGAGGAGGCAACCTGCACTGGCTTATAGCTGCTAATGTCAGTTCCTATAGCTTATCGTCAGTGTTATTCATGTGGTAAAAGGGTGAGAAAGTACTGGAGTCTAAAGAAACAAGTAGAAATCAGTTTGTAGCTATTACCGTTCTACCTGCTAACAACTCCTGTTTTCAAGTTATTATGTACAACTTTAGGTAGTTTCTCTAGCCTTAATCGTGGTTTCTCTGTATTGAGACTACTTTTGAATTCTATGAAGTACAGCCTTAGATGTACAGGCTACTTTAAATTTTTGCCTAAAATAAAAACATTCTCTCCAATTACATATGCTGGGGAGGAAACACCTGCTTCCGACAGGTTTAAAGCTTGGTTTTGGACTTTTTGTGAGAGTTCCTTATGTGTGCAGTAATCCAAAATTTGTATAGTTGCCCTTTATAAAAGTACATTAATCTAGTAGACAAATCTCCATGTAACTTAATTACATGGCATCTTCTAATCCTTCTGTGATAAGCAGAAATGTAAAGTTTTATTCAAGTTAAGGCAAACTAACTTGTATACACTTTCCATCTCGTGTTTTTCTTGTTGTTGTTAAGTAGGATAAGTTCTGAACGTCGAAAAGAAAAGTCTCGAGATGCAGCCAGATCTCGGCGAAGTAAAGAATCTGAAGTTTTTTATGAGCTTGCTCATCAGTTGCCACTTCCACATAATGTGAGTTCGCATCTTGATAAGGCCTCTGTGATGAGGCTTACCATCAGCTATTTGCGTGTGAGGAAACTTCTGGATGCTGGTGAGTTATTTTACAAGGGTATAAATAGGCCTGAAAATTAGAAGTTAGAAGTAAATAGAAATTATTTTTAGAAGGTGGTCGCAATGTTTTGATTTTGTATACCTCTTTATATTGTGATATGTACACGTTTAAAAATTTTTCTGTAATTCTCACTATTTTTATCAAGCTTCATTTTTTTCTCATCAGTTATTCTTTGAAATAATCATTCTTTATGCACATAATTTGTTTTGCTTTATTCTCTTAAACATACTCTCAATTCTTTTCTAATATAACATCCTTTTTATTACCTGCTTTTAAAGCTTTAGTCAGGAATAAGATACTGGCTTTTCCCCTCCCCCCTTTTTCTCCTGTTCCATCTACCTTTCTTCCTTTAAAAAACATGACTCAGGCCGGGCGCGGTGGCTCACGCCTGTAATCCCAGAACTTTGGGATGCTGAGGCGGGTGGATCATGAGGTCAGGAGTTCAAGACCAGCCTGGCCAAGATGGTGAAACCCCATATATACCAAAAATATAAAAAATTAGATGGGCACGCTGGTAGGTGCCTGTAATCTCAGCTACTAGGGAGGCTGAGGCAGGAGAATTGCTTAAACTCAGAGGGCGGAGCTTGCAGTAAGCCGAGATCAAGCCACTGCACTCCAGCCTGGGCGGCAGAGTGAGACTCCATCTCAAAAATAATAAAATAAATAAATAAATAAAAAACATTACTCTTCTTTCTTCTTCTATGGTTTGCTTTGCTGCATTACTTTAATCATGAAAAGCAGCTGGCACATCTAATTATAGTTTTTCTAGCTTCTGGCCTGCACTTTTCTGTGTTGAAATGGCTGTATATATTAAATAAAGTGTCTGCGAGAAAACTTTGTAAAAACATCTAAATATTATATCATTTAAGTACAACTTTTTAACTAATTATTTTCCTCTTCTTGTGCCCTTTTTAGGTGATTTGGATATTGAAGATGACATGAAAGCACAGATGAATTGCTTTTATTTGAAAGCCTTGGATGGTTTTGTTATGGTTCTCACAGATGATGGTGACATGATTTACATTTCTGATAATGTGAACAAATACATGGGATTAACTCAGGTAAAATGCACACATATTAAGAGCTCTTCTATATGTTTTTATGATTTTATGATCTAGCCCTAATTTTTAAAAATGTGTTTACAGTTTGAACTAACTGGACACAGTGTGTTTGATTTTACTCATCCATGTGACCATGAGGAAATGAGAGAAATGCTTACACACAGAAATGGTAAGAAAAGTCTGTTGTTTGATTTAATGTGACAGGTGGTTTTACATAATAAGATACTATTGCTAATTATTAAACTTTGCTATTGTACTTACCCAAGGCAAAATGTTATTTCATGTTTAATAAAATGTCTATTCTTTGTTAAAACTATTATTTTAGTTTTTAGGAATTTCATTTTGAAAGCCCACCTAATTGCATAAATAATTGTGTGGGTGTGAGAAATAAAATGGAAAAGTAAAATCATGACCAAGAGAGTTACAAATAACTTTTTTTTTTTTTTTTTAAGATGGGGTCTCGCTCTTTTGCCCATGCTGGAGTGCAGTGGCACAATCAGCTGACTGCAGCCTTGACCGCTGGGACTCAAGCGATCCTCCCACCTCAGTCTCCCAAGTTAGCTGGGACCACAGACGCGTGCTACCATGCCCAGCTAAATTTTTAAAAATTATTTGTAGAGACAAAGTCTCACTATGCTGCTCAGGCTGGTCTTGAACTACTGGGCTTAAGCCATCCTCTCACCTCGGCCTCTCAAAGTGTTGGGATTACAGGCATGAGCCACCACGCCCAGGCTACCTTTTTTTTCCTTTTCTTTTTAAATTGTGATAGGGGTTCTTGCTGTATTGCCCAGGCTGGTCTTAAACTCCTGGACTCAAGTGATCCTCCTGGCTCAGCCTCCCAAAGTGCTAGGATTATAGGCATGCGCCACCACACCTGGTGGAGTTAAAAATTAAAATACACCATTAAGGCAAGGAGAAATTATAATACAAATGGCAGATAATAGGACTTTAGACAGTCATTAAAGTTGAGGTGCCAGTTTGAGTCTAAGGCCCAATAAAAAAAGTTCACCAGAATTTTAAGACAAACAACTGCTTATTTGACTTCTTTGGATGTTCTCAATAATTCGAGACCGTGTAGTTAGATTATAAAGTATTACATTGTGGATGCCCACATATTAACAAAAATAGAGAGTAAGACCTCTAATTCTTAGGAATTAATTGTTAAAAATAATCAAGTGTTCCAAGATTTTTTGGAAACTACCTCTTGAATTAAAAAATTAAAGTCTTTCTACATTTTTATCTTGTTAAACAGTGTATACTGATCATAATTATTTAAAAAATCATGTGTTCTAAGATTTTTGGAAAGTACCTCTTGAATTACAAAAACAAGAAAGTCTTTCCACATTTGTGCCTTCTTAAGCAGTGTATACTGATCATAATTGAACTTTTCTTCATGATGGAAAGTTACCACAAGGAAAATTTCTTATGTTCTGCTGTTCTTTGTTGCTCTCCAATTTAAGTGCATACGTTTGTTTGCTTCTATATTATAAAACCTCAAATTTACTTTTTGTATAATTTTTGAGGTTTTCTTTTTCATCTCATTTATTATAATAATAGCTAACCTCCATTGAGAGAATGCTGTGTGCCAGGACACTGTTCTTCCTATTTTATATGCTTTTAACTCCTTTATTCCTCACAACAACCCTGTGAAGTTAACTGTTAGACAATTTCTATTTTACTAGGAAACTGAGGTACAGAGTTACTAAGTAACTTTCCCAACATTATTTGGTTAGTAAATGGCAGAGCTTGGGCTGAACTTCAGTAGACTGGCTTCAGAGTCCACGCTCATTAGTCCTTTGGAGCGCTTTTCATATTCTTGAATTCTCACATTCTGTCTTTTTTCACTCTGTCAGCAGGACCTGACTCCTGTTTTTAAATTTCATATTGTGTTTTTACTGTTAATTTGGAAAACAAATGCATACTTTTTAGAATTCTGTATAAAGGAGGAGTAAATATGCTGTGAACAAGGACCTAAGTGGGTTGTCAATGAGTTTAATATATGAGTTCTAATGTGCAGAGTTGAGGTTTATATTGACTGCTCAGTGCTTCCCTGGGGCTAGACTATAAATGGATGGATATTAGGAAGTCTTGTTCTGATTTGGTAATGATGTTAATGCATTATTCTAAATCAGATAGTCTTAATATAGTTTAAATGTATGTTTCGAACCAAATGTTCTTTTTTAAAGCACACAAACATTTTGAAATCATTACTAATGTGGTTAATGAATTATTGATGTTCCATTGGGAAACTAAAATGCAGATTTTTCTCTTTTAGAAATCAGGGACTATTGCAAAGCATCACATTTTAGTGATACACTGAGAGCCAGTGGTGTGTTTATACAAATAGTCCTATTTTCCAAATAAATTCTAGAAAAATGCTTTAGAATTTATAAATTATACAAAATATGACTTATTTTTAGAGAGTTTAAAATTTAGGTTTTTTTAATGGTTTGTTTTTGTTTGTTTGTTTTTTGTTTTTTTTTTCCTCATTAGGAAAACACTAGTACTTTTCAGTTACCTTGATTTTTAAATTAATCTGCAGGTCCCCATTCAAAGGCCTTGGGTTCCTTTCAAAGGTCAGTATAATTCAAGCTTAGTTTATGAAGGACTGAACATACCCAAAGGATTTTGCATGTGGATCTTTACTGCCACTACCACAACCATCAACACCTACACACACACGACACACACACATTCTCTCTCTCTCTCTCTCTCTCTCTCTCTCTCCCCCTCCCTCCCGCACTCCTTCCCTTCCCCCTCCTTTGCTCTCATGGCATCTTTTAAAAATATACTCTTAAATCCTTCCAGGGAGGGCAAATTCACTTCTTAATCTAAGTAAACCCAAATGGCATGCATCAGCACCAGGACTGCCCATCTTTCCTAGTTCCATTATTCATAGAGTATAGGCTGGAATTCATCTTGTTCCTCAAGAGTCCAGCATTTCTAGTTAACCATGCCTACATTTAAACTTACTCTCATTTCTTTTCTACTTTACAGTGTTTTTTCAATATACTAGCATTACAGTTTCCAGATTTGATTTCTCTCCTGTCTTATTTCCATCAGTTTTCAAGTCTATTAAGATTCTACCTCTTCATTTGTCTTTTGCCACCATTCTTTTCCCTCATACTCTACTGGCTCAGCCCTCTCATTACAGTCACCTAATTCTAACATATATATTGCTGCTAAGTTAATTTTCCTTAAGTTACTGATTGTGCTTTTTTAAAGCCCCTTGTTGAATATTTAGGCAGGACTCCATGTGGACATCCACAGCCCTCCGTGGTACAGCCCTAACCTTCCCTTCTAGCTTTGCCTTACTACTCTTCTACGTGTACTCTACATTGTGGACAAACTACTATATGCTGTTTTTCAAACATGTCCTATTTTTCCTACCTCTGTGCTTTTCATTCTCTTACTTCTCCTTGGAATACCCTTCTAACCCATCTCTACTTACTGACATTCTAATGTCTCTTTTTCTAAGCAAGACTTCTTGATTTCCCTTGACTAGAAATTATCTTCTAAGCTCTCCCTATCCTTCTTTAAAGCATTTTTATAAGTCTCAAGTACCAACTCTACATTGTGTTTTTGTTGACCTTACTATATCTACTACATTTTTAACTTCTTCAGGAAAGGTGGCGTATCTTACTCATCTTTGTATTGCCTACAATATCTAGTCCAGGTTCTGAATAATAAATATTTTTATATGTGTTCTGAAGCACACTGACCAATGAAGATAAGAAATCAAGAGGCTAGTTCCTTATTTTTTTTAATTTTTTTTTTTGAGACAGTGTCTCACTTTGTCACCCAGGCTGGAGTGCAGTGGCACAATCTCAGTTCACTACAACCTCTGCCTCCCGGGTTCAAGTGATTCTCACGCCTCAACCTCCCAAGTAGCTGGGATTATAGGCATGTGCCACCACACCTAGCTGATATTTATATTTTTAGTAGAGATGGGGTTTTGCCATGATGGCCAGCATGGTCTCAAACTTCTGTCCTCAAGTGATCTTCCTGCCTCAGCCTCCCAAAGTGCTGGGATTACAGGCATGAGGCATAAGCCACTGCGCCCAGCAAGATGCTCTTTTCTCAGTCACCTAAATATAATCTCATTTTTAGTTATAGAAGGTTTGAAATTGGAGTGAATAGACTTTACTTAATTCTGACTTTATTTCTGTAGCTTTTTTTTTTTGAGATGGATTCTCGCTCTATATCCCAGGTTGGAGTGCAGTGGCACAGTCTCAGCTCACTGCAACCTCTGCCTCCCACGTTCGAGTGATTCCCCTGCCTCAGTCTCCCAAGTAGCTGGGATTACAGGCACCCACTATCACACCCAGCTAATTTTTGTATTTTTAGTAGAGACAGGGTTTCACCATGTTGGCCAGGCCGGTTTCGAACTCCTGACCTCAAGTGATCCTCTTGCCTCAGCCTCCCAAAGTGCTGGGATTACAGGCATGAGCCACCGTGCCCTGCCTATTTCTGTAACTTTTGATAAGTCATTTGATCTGTTGTTGTTGTTTTCTCATAGTAACAAAGTAGAAGTAATTTTCTGCCTGCTTTACTAGATAAATTAAGGGGAAAAAAATAAGATACGTAAAAATGTTATTTGTTATTAAAAAGAAAGTTGTTATTTTAAAGGTTCTATAAAGACATAGAGTGCTTATTAGAAATTGAGCTAACACATTCAGGAAAGGATAGGAAGAGTTTGCTGAAGTTCTTTCTTTAGGGATTCTTGTGTACCGATAGCACAGTTAAAGAGCAAACTCATACCATTTTTATATTTCTGTGTATTTGACTAAGCTTACTGGCTTCAATGATTAACTGTTATCCCAAATATGGATTATCTTTCAGCCAACTCAGGGAATCACAGCTACTGAGTAGTGTGTGTCAGATCTCTTGGGTGTGCTGGAGTGAGTAAAAGGGGAATGAATTACTGTGTTCATGCTGAGACTTAATTGAACGGGTATTCAGTTGATCTAGGTGATGGGCACTTTGTTACTTTTATTGTAACAAATTTGTATATTTAGTTGCTTTAAAACTTTATTTCATGCTTTCATTAGGCCTTGTGAAAAAGGGTAAAGAACAAAACACACAGCGAAGCTTTTTTCTCAGAATGAAGTGTACCCTAACTAGCCGAGGAAGAACTATGAACATAAAGTCTGCAACATGGAAGGTAAGTGAAAATTATTTGTGATTGATTATACACTTTATTTATACATAGACATTGTAGTATTAAGATAACTTTAGAATTGTGAGGGAAGGTTTACAGTTCCATGGTGTTTGGTTATGTAACATTTATATCTTCAACTCATTTGCATGTGATCTCCAAAATGCAGAACCGTGTAGTAATTTGCCAATTTGAGGCACAAACTTAAATTACGTGAATTGTGGCACTGGTGTTCCAGGCTTAATCAGTTGGCTTTGCCAGCCACACAATATTTGAATCCTGATAGGGCTTAATTTTCTATTAATCATGGTTTTATATCTTTGTTCAATGTTGAAACATAGTCATCAGTGCAAGAAATAACTATCAAACAGCCATGATGATGAGATGAATGAAAAAGCAGCCTAGACTTTATACGAGGGGAATTTTTTAAAGAGTAATGTATAGGCCCTGGGCAGGAAGTAGGTCATAGGTGGTATCATAGGAAAAATGTTCATTGATTTTCAAAAACGTGATTAATCCACTAGTGACAGTAAATTTTATCAAAGCTTACTGGCCATGTCAGACTCAACTACTTATCTCTGCTTTTTTTTTCCCTAGCATTGTAAATATTTTTTTTAACTGCTTTGTTCTTCATACACAGGTATTGCACTGCACAGGCCACATTCACGTATATGATACCAACAGTAACCAACCTCAGTGTGGGTATAAGAAACCACCTATGACCTGCTTGGTGCTGATTTGTGAACCCATTCCTCACCCATCAAATATTGAAATTCCTTTAGATAGCAAGACTTTCCTCAGTCGACACAGCCTGGATATGAAATTTTCTTATTGTGATGAAAGGTAAATTAGATCTAAAATGTGAATTTGAAATTTTTAATTAGTCTACAGCATTACTGAATATTCACCATAGCAAAGATTCAGCGCTGGCCATGCATGGTGGCTCACACCTGTAATCCCAGCACTTTGGAAGGCTGAGGCAAGCGGGGGGTGGATCATCTGAGGTCAGGAGATTGAGACCAGCCTGGCCAATGTGGTGAAACCCCATCTCTACTAAAAAATACAAAAATTAGTGGGACGTGGTGGCAGGCACTACTCAGGAGGCTGAGGCAGGAGAATCGCTTGAACCTGGGAGGTGGATGTTGTGGTGAGCTGAGCTCACACCACCACACTGCAAGCCTGGATGACAGAGCAAGACTCCCATTTCAAAAAAAAAAAAAAAAATTACTCAATGTTAAACTATACTTTCCACTAAATTGAACAGAATGATACATCCTATAATATTAGATTAACTTTGTAAATTAATTCAGCCACATTTATTGAACATTTACTCTGTACTATGAACACTTACTTTACTAGGTGCTATCCAGAAGTTAAGATGAGTCTTTTTTTCCCCAATAGGGGCTCTACTTACTTAGAGAATTTCAAAGATATGCAGTGTGTATTTTGAGCAAAGATAGATTACCTTAGGTTGGGGACTAGAAAGCCAAGTGTTTGTACATCTCTTCATCCTACATATTTTCCCTGAGAAGCTTCAACCTTGCCCATGGTTTCTATTACTATTTCCCACATTTCTTCCTGTAACTAATTCTATTTAATTGCCAACTTAATATTTCTATCTGGATATTCTTCTGTATTGTAAACTAAGTATTACTGTAACAACTGTACTACTACTGCCCCCAAACAACATCATCATCAAAAACTGCCTTTCTTCCTATAATGCTTATTGTGGTTTAATACACCACCATACACACATGACTCCAGCAAAACTTTGGAAGTCATCTGTAACTTTTCTTTTACATTCATTGGCTACATACAGTTGGTGTCTAAATCTTACAGATTTACTATCTACATATATCTCTTGATCCATTTCCTCCTTTCCATCCTTGCACTCCTGCCATTGAATTCATTAGCTCATTATTACTCTTGACTTGAGTTGTTGGCATAGCTGCCTTTTTGCCAACAGATTTGTACCCTTATAATCTTTCATCTAAGTTGCCAGAAAGTGGGTGTCCTAATGTGAAAATCAGATCATGTCATTCTGTTGTTGAAAATGCCTCAAATGCTTCCCTCCATCTTTGCACACAAAAATATTTTGTTTATAAAAATACTAGATGAGGGAAGTAAATTTTTCATTTATCAAAAGAAGATGTGTATTTTAGAAGACTGAAAAAAAATAGACCTACACAATACAATCTAAACTTAGCATGGCAAACAAAGATATTTATGCTCTGGCCCTAACTCTGTCTTTGGAATCAGATGTTAGATTCACTCATGGCTTGCAGCTCTGATACTTACAATGTGGCCTTGGCCTTGGTACTTAACTGTTGTAAAATTCACATTCCTTATCTATAAAATAAGAATCATGGCTGGGTGGGGTGGCTCATGCCTATAATCCTAGCACTGTGGGAGGCCGAGGTGGGTGGATCACCTGAGGTCAGGAGTTTGAAACCAGCCTGGCCAACATGGTAAAACCCCATCTCTACTAAAAATACAAAAATTAGCTGGGTATGGGGGCACATGTCCGTAATCCCAGCTACTTGGGAGGCTGAGGTAGGAGAATTGCTTGAATCCAGGAGGCGGAGGTTGCAGTGAACCAAGCTTGCACCACTGCACTCCGGCCTGGGAGACGGAGTGAGACTCCATCTCAAAAAACAAAAACAAAACAAAAAAAAGACCTCAGAAGGATGTTGTCAGGATTAAAGGAGTCCATTGAGTGCCTAGTACAGATAGTGAATGCTTCACTACTGGTGTCAACTTTAAGAAAATGAATATAGAAAAGCTAAGAATTATTTTAAGGTGTTTACTACTAGCATGTAAATGTATGATGGGACAGAGATTTCCATCCTATTTTGAGGAATTATTTTTTATTTTTTTGAAAACTTAAGGTAACAAAGTAGAGAGGAGGCCAGGGAGAAAGGAAGGTAGTGGAGCAAAAATGAGAAAGGGAGTGACATTCCCCTCTAGTTATAGCAGAAAATTAGCAAAATGATCATGACAGGAGGTAACAGTAAAGACAGCCAGCTCATATATCAACCAAGACAGTTTTGAGTTTGACCAGCAGACTGTTATTTTCTGGTTTAGAGCTCTTTCCAGGAACTTCTTGCATCTATAACCCCTGAGAACCAAGCTATGGAAAAAATTTTGCTCAATTTTAAGAAAATCTAACATATCAAGCTCCTCAACTCCAAAATATTCCACAAATAGCTGCTATTTACTATACTGAGTAATAATCATTTAAAATTATTCAACACTTTATTTGAGCATCTACTATGTTCATGGCACTAAAGTAGAAATGAAGATGAACAGTTCCTGCCTCAAAATAAATGAGTAGTATACTGCTTTAGATCATGGGTTTCCTAGTCCATTAAAAACACTTTTTGGTCATATTTTCTGGACACCCCGACCCTTTTGGTATAGAATATAACCTATGTAATTCTCTAAAGTTAAATTAACCTCACTTTTCTTGCTCTAATATGTGTAAAACTGACCTTCTAGGAAAGCATATACAGTTTATATTTTTGACTTCTTGGTATCTTTTAGTGATAGACATACCTCAGATTGAGAAGCACTGATTGACATTAGATTAAATCAGAGCTTCCTATGACAATATAAACAATACCTTCATTAATCTGATCCCCCTACCTACTTCTTCAGCATCATCTCATATCTGTCTCCACTAATCATATTATAGAATCTTTGTTACCTGCACCATGTTAAGCATTTTTAAAAATCTTTTGTTTATACCATACCTTTTTCCTGAAAGCGGTTTTGCCTTTCCTTTGTCTCTAGTCATAAGTCTCCTATAAGAGGCTGTTCCTCATTCTACCATTCCTTTGCATGGATAGGATTCCATGGAATAGATTCTCATCACTGCATTTATCACATTATTTCCTAAGTAGTACAGTACATCTACTGGAAGATTAGCCACGTATTGAGTTTTGTCTTTGCATTTTCATGCCTAGAATAATGCCGGGCACACATAGGCATATTAAGATTTGAATAGTGAAAAAGTTTTTAATTCCATGGGGATTTTATTTAAACAGAAAAATATAAGACCAATTAGAATTATTTTTAAAGCATAATTTCAAGAAATATGACTGATTTTGTTTAAAAACATGTTTTCCTTTATAATGCTGCCACCTGGTGTTGCTGTGTTTAGAGATGTCCCTTTGTAAAGAATTGAGGGTTTGAGTTGAGTTTGGTTTGGTTTTTGGCAAATCAGCTTTTCCTTTGTATATTTATTTTGTAATAAACTATGGAAGATCTTGCCTTTAAGTGTGAGAACACAAGCAATGTTACTTTTATACCTTTATAGAATATCTTGCCTATGTCCTTCCTGTAGTTAGGTAGGGTTTTTTTTTTGACACACAGCATGTTATATAAGGTTTGCTTGCACCTCGGTAGGAAAGTCCTCTGAAATCTAAAGGCTGAGAATCTAAAAGCTTAACTCATGTTTTGCTCCTAGAAAGACTTGAGAAGAGAGTATTTCTGTTCAGCATGGTACTAAGAAGACAGCTTTCTCTTCCTCATGTCATGGTTGCCATTTCATACTGCTTACAGAGAATAAGATCTAGTCTCTGTCTTAAATAAAGGTCTACTCTCTGCCAGCGAGCTAGATAGGGTAATTGGATTGTTTTCCAATCTATTTTCATTTGAAATATTGTTTTATCTGAAATTACTCCCATAATTTCATGTAATGCCAAAAACTAAACTAAGTACAAGAGCATCTTCAAAAACCAACATAATTCCTTTAGTTCCCATTTAGTGTAGATGCTCTTTGGTTGATGATATTAGAATTGTGTAATGGCTATTGATCTCTCAAAGTGAGGTGTTGCCTAGGGGCTTAAAAGTTACTACATAAAGAATTTGGCTTTATGAAGAAATGTTACAGATTTTATCTATATTTTAAAATAAGTGTAAGTGACTACCTTTATAACTTTTACCATGTAGTTTAGTAGTATTTCTTATCTGTTTATTAATACCCTGCCTTGTTACCAAAAGTATGTATAATGAGATGTAATAAGAATAGGTAACAAGTAGGCTGGGCACGTTGGCTCATGCCTGTAATCCCAGTACTTTGGGAGGCCAAGGCGGGTGAATTACCTGAGTTCAGGAGTTCAAGACGAGCCTGACCAACATGGAGAAACCCCATCCCTACTAAAAATACAAAATTAGCTGGGCATGGTGGCACATGCCTGTAATCCCAGCTACTTGGGAGGCTGAGGCAGGGGAATCGCTTGAACCTAGGAGGTGGAGGTTGCGGTGAGCCAAGATCACACCTCATTGTGCTCTCCAGCCTGAGCAACACGAGGGAAACTCTTGTCTCAAAAAAAAAGACCAGGTAACAAGTTTGGGTGAACAGGATTAAAGAGTTAAATAACAGGAGGAATCTAGAGGACTTAAAGAAATGTGTGGTGTTGGATTTAATAACTGTAGTTGCCAAAGGTGAGGTGTAAATTTATTCTAAGCAAAGGAGGATGCTCATTTTTGAAAATTCACTTGTCCATAAGATTAATGCCTATCAGTTAACTTGGGAGGAGAAAAATTTTTCTTTATCAGTGTCTCCCTTTTTTTTCTTAAATCTTGTATTTTTTACTAACAGAATTACCGAATTGATGGGATATGAGCCAGAAGAACTTTTAGGCCGCTCAATTTATGAATATTATCATGCTTTGGACTCTGATCATCTGACCAAAACTCATCATGATAGTAAGTACAATGGAAGAACTCAGAGATATTCTAATTACTTAACTGTTGCAACCTCTGTACAGTTTGGCTACCCATCTAATTCTCTGGTTAAAAGTTCTAGACTAAATGTGTTAACAGGCCTATTCAGTAGAGATCTTGACCATTTTGTGTTTTGTATGTGTTGCAACAAATATCAGTAAAAATAGAATCATTTAATCATAGAAAAAACTTCCTGGCATTTTAAATACAAAGACTTTTGAAAATCCAAATATTATAGAGTATTGAATAGCATAATTTTCAGAATTCACATAAATACTCAGAACAGTGGTTGGTATGTAAAAGGCACTCAGAAAGTATTTGTACAATCAATGAATGTGAAGGTGGTGAACATCACCTTTGGTAATAAGTACCATTTTAAAAAA